>NC_000004.12:6345502-6651998 GCF_000001405.40 Homo sapiens
GGCGATCACAAGGGCCTTTATACGCGAAAGACAGACAGGAGGGTCAGAGACGTGAGAGAGGCTTGGCCGCTGTGGGCTGGGAGGATGGGGGAGGGGCCACGTGCCAGGGAACGCAGCGCCTCTAGAAGCCAGAAGAGGCAGGGAAAACGGTGCTCCCCAGAGCCTCCCGAAGGTACCAGCCCGTGGCACCTTCATTATGGCCAGTGAGCTGGCTGTGGGACTGCGGACTGAGACTATACATATGCCCTGTTTTCAGCCACCAAGTGTGTGGTCCTTTGTTGTGGCGCACAGGACGCAGCCCCGAGCCCCCTGCACCCCGGGAATCTCAGCTGGTCTCCAGCCTCCCATCAGTCCACGGCCACTAACTCCACACTTATCTCCAGGTGGCATTACTGCCTGGATATCTGGCTGCCTACTCGACCCATTTCCTTGGAACCCAATACGGGCCTCAGGCTCGCGGGTCTGAAACCTGCCTGCTGGTCCCTGGCACCCCCTGTTGTTCCAGGCCACGGCCCCACCTTCACCCACAGCTCAAACCAACCACAGAGTCACGCCCCACAAGGCAAAGCTCGACCTCCAAGCAACATCCAGAGGGGGCAGCCAGGTGAGCCCTGCCCCACCTCCCAACAACCCCCTCAGTGGGGTCACCATTTCTTCCTGCAGACCCTGCAGCGACCTCTGACGCCTGCTCCCCCGGGGACCCTCTGCGGCGTCTCCTCTTCCTCCTCAAGTCCCAATCTCGTGACAACCCACAGCTTCTCATTCTCAGCTCAGCCAGAACAAAACCCAGTCCCTCCCTTGACCTACAGGCAATGTGTGGAGTCACGGCCACTGCAGTGCCCTCCTTCTCGAACATTCTTCCCCAGAGATCGGCACCACCCACCCCCTCAGGGTGTCCGTTCCACTGTGGTCTCTTCAGGGAGGCCCTCCCTGACCCCCTCTGTCCCTGTACCTGACTTTGTGGGTGTTGGTGCCATTGCTCACCATGCCCTGACATGCGTCAGGTGTGTGTTCACTGTCTGTCTCCCCCGCAGACGCCAGCTCCCGACGGTGGGCCTCTGCTGCACACCCATGCCAGGAATAGGCGCCTACTGAATGCCTGGATGGCTGAGCGTGACACACGGAGCGTGGACAAACCCAGAGGAGATGAGGGGGTGGATGTGGGGGCCAGAACTTGGCCAAGGAAGGAGGCAGAAGCTGGAGGTTTTGGTGGGCCCTGAGCCTGAGTCCTGGGGCTGGTGTGCACCCTGTCTCTGACTGCCCAGCAAAACCAGACACCCTAAGGGAACAGTGTGGCCCCATCGCTCCCAAACAGCCCTCTGCCGCCGGCACCCAGGCTTCAGTCAGGGTCCTCTGGGGTTTATTCAACAAGTGTTTATTTCCAGACACTGTGGTAGGTGCTGGGGACAGACAGTGAGGGGAACCAGATAAGCAAAGTCCCTGCCCTCTGCCTGGGGGACACCCCACCTCCTGCCTGGCCCCTTGCTAGCCCTGCAGGGCTGTCTGGGAAGGAGGATGCCGTGGCCTGATCCCTCGCCTTCAGGGGCCTCTGGGATGGCTGTGGCAGTGTGCAGCCCATGGCCACAACCCAGTGCCAGGCAGCCCAGCTCTGCCACGATTGAATTTGGGTGACCTTGGGCCAATAACTGGAGCTTCTGTTTCCTCTTCTGAACAGCATCTCCTGGGGCTTGTGTGAAGATTCGATGAGTTCACAGGTAAAGCCCTTGGTAAGGGCTGGGCTCAGAGTGAGTGTTCAGTGTGAGCTGTTATGCTGGGGGCTGCTGTGTCACAAAATGTCCCCTGGAACTCGTTCAGCCCCAGACCTCCACGGATACCCCTGTGGGACCCCCACAGCAGGCCTGTGGTGGGTTCTAGGATGAGGGGACATGTTACAGACCCTGCTCCAAGGAGCCGGAGAAGATGGGCAGCCCACAGCAAGTTTGCTGGGTGTGGCTAGTTTTGGAAGAGGGAAGCTTTGGGGGCTGCAGGGCCACAGAGGAGGATCCAGATCTAAAGTAGGAGGCCGGGAAGCTTTCCTACAGGAGGTGACATTTAAGTTTGGTGCCTCCTTACCTTCTGGATGCCCTGACCCTCGCCCTAGAGCCCTGAACCCTAAAAGCTGGGCTGTTCCTGGCTGTGCAGGGACTCTGGGGGGCAGCAGGTGGCAAGACCAGGCTCCCCGACCAGCCAGCGCTGAAGCAGCAATGGGCCCACCCACCTTGGCCAGTCCAGGACATGCTCATCCCACACCCACCACCCCTGCAGCAGCTGCACCAGGACAGGACATCCCACCCGCCCGCCTGCCCAATGCACAGCCCCCCACCCCCAGGCACCGGCACTTACGCTTGGAATGCTTGTCACACAGGGCAGCTGCCCGCATGTCGCAGAGCCGCAGGGAGCCCTTGCTGCTGCTGTAGACGAAGAGGTTGCAGTGGTGCGGATGGAACTCAGATGCTGTGATCACCTCCGTAAGGTCCTCCATGTTGGCCGGCTTGATGTCCACGATGTCTGGGGGCAGTGCGGTCAAGGAAGGGGCAGTGAAGGGCGCCCTCAATGCTCCGCCTTCCCGGAGGTTTCTGACACCTCTCCCGAGGCAAAACCGTCCACCCTCGCGTCTGAGCTGCCTCTCTGTTCCTGAGACCCTCAAAATGCGTCCCCCTGAGCTGCAGACCTGCATGGTGAACTGCCTGCTGGCTACCCCTTCTAGGTGCCTGTCCCCTGTTCCCATGAAGCTGGACCCACCACTTCCCTCCTGACCTGCGGCCCCCCTCACCTGCACCCCACCCCAGTGAGGGTGCATCAGTTCCAGCCACACATAGCACTGACCTGTGGAGCCCCTCTCCTCTGCCTTCCTTCCCCTGTTGGTTGCCAAGCAGAAGAAAAAGAGCATTTATATTGTGCCGACTGCATGCTGGGCAGTGGATGCTATTGGTGAATGATTTCAAGTCTTCCCGGTCCCTTTTCAAATTGTGTCTGGAATTGAGTGTGTGGGCATCTGGGAGCTCCCCTTCCTGCCCCCGGCACCTGCTCCCCTTCTTCTGACCACAGTATGGAGATTCTCCTTTGGGCAAAGGTTCTTCTGGGTTTCTGGGTCGGCCCCACCTCGGCTCTGATCTGTGCTCTCCAGACCCCAGGACTTGGAATACTGAAAAGGCTGGGATGCAGCTTGGTCACCCCTGCTGTGCTGGGTGGTGTAGAAAGAAGGAGCTTCTATCTGCTGCCAGGACAAGGAGAAACCCTGGAGCTTGAGGGTGGGGCAGACAGTGGAAAGAGTGCAGAGAAAGATCTGGTGATGCCATTGGAATCCTGGATCAAGCTGCACCTGAAGCCATTCCCCCCAGACTGCTAAATGTGGGAGCCAATAAATGTCCATTTTTTGTTTAGAGTCAAGAACTTTGCTGCTTGCAAAGGCAGTATCCCTGACTGTTACACTAGAGCACAGAGAAGATGAGCAACTCGTCCGGGGTGGCCCAGGTGTGATTGGTAAGGCTGGATTCAGCCTCACAACCTCCCCGGCCCCAGCACCTGCTCTTTTCCTATCCCTTCCCTGCTGCCCAGCAGCAGATCAGAATCTCTTGGAGCATGCAAGGACTGGCACCCCCGAGCTTCTCTCCGGCTTTCCAGCTTCAGATCCCACCCATCACCCTGACAGAAAGGCCCTCTCCCCTCTCACAGCAATGACCTCAGGCTCCGGTCTCCCCGGCCCTGCATGGGGCTTTGCACGGTCTGTTCCCTCTGACTCTTCAGGTGCATGTGAGCCCTGGAGTTGGAAGGTCTGGGGTTTGAATCCCAGCTCTGTCACCTCCTGGCTGTGTGACCCTGAGTGAGTTCCCAGCTATCCATGCCTCAGCTTCCTCATCTGTAAAATGAGTCAGCAGTATAGCCTTATCACTTCGCTGTGAAGATCATCAGAGGCAAAGCCCTTCACACACTGCCTGATGCGTTGCAGAGCTCAATGAATGTCAGTTTCCATTTTTATTATTTTCTATCTGGAAAATACTGACTGAAACTCTGAAATCCATCTGCCCTCCCTCTTCCTCCACCCAAGCTGCTGCCTCTCTCAGTAAGAAAGCAGTATTTGTAATCCCAGCACTTTGGGAGGCCGAGGCGGGCGGATCACGAGGTCAGGAGATCGAGACCATTCTGGCCAACACAGTAAAACCCCGTCTCTACTAAAATACAAAAAGAAATTAGTTGGAGACAAGCCTGACCAACATTGCAAAACCCCATCTCTACTAAAAAAAAATTAGTAGTGGCGTATGCCTGTAGTCCCAGCTAATCAGGAGGCTGAGGCAGGGGAATCACGTGAACCTGGGAGGTGGATGTTGCAGTTAGCCGAGATCGCACCATTATATTCCAGCCTGGTGACAGGGCAAGACTCTGTCAAAAAAAAAGCAAGCAAGCAGTATTTTCTGACCTCTCTAAACCCGAGGGTTTATAAAATGCCAGGGAAAAAAATGGCTGATCTGTGCAGTCAGAAAGCACCTAAAAGGGTCTCTGTGCTCGTGCTCAAATCTTGCTTCCCGGAAGCACGTCATTAACCACAAACTGAGAATCACATAAAAATAGAAAGAGAGGGAAAAATGAGTTAAGGCATCACTGCCTGGCTGGTTTCCCAGGAAACTACAGTTTTCCAGTATGAAAAGAAGCAGCGATTAAATAATGAAAAATGATACTGAAGGCCAAGCAAGAAAAGAGCCCTCCTCCTGCCATGCTGATTTCTCCAGCGTCCACCTGGCAGCCCAGCCCTCCCAGGCCGAATGCCTCCCATGGCTTTCCAGGACACGCTGCCCGCTCGGAGCAGCTCTCAGGTCCTTACTGAACTTCACTAAAGTGGGATCCAGAGAAAAAGTGCGGCCACTGATGAAATGTCACGCACATTAGTGCGACGGCCCATGGATAATGTGCAGTAGAGAGGCAGGGCAGAGAGGGGCTACATTCTCTCTGCACACCCTGAGACACACAAAAGCCACAGGAGGCTTGGTGGCAACAGAAGCGCCCAGGAACGTGAGTCCCACAGGAGTTCTGTTTGCGTCATCAGGACACTCATTCTCGTTGTATTTCCTGGGGTTATAACTCATGGGGCGCAGTGGGTGCAGGAGGACTCGGTGGGATGAAGTCAAATGCTGACACCCAGGGGGTTCTCTGAACATTCCAGGTTCTCTCCCAAGGGGAGACCTCTCCTTCGGCCTTTCAGAACCCAGAGTGGCCAGAGGCTGGTTGCTTCTGCCAATGAATAGACAAGTGAGGCATGTCACCTCCAGGCTGAAGTTTTGAGAGCCAGCACGTGGTCTGCTGTGACACTGTTCCCTCCGCAATGAGATCGCACCAAAGCCAGCCTGTGACGGCCACACTTGCAGCGTGAGTGGGAGGTGTGAAGTGGGTGTTTGAGGCCTTGGAGACCTTCAGGTTGTTTGCTACCACTGCAAAACGTGAGCCCCCTGACAGGTTCAGTGTCCACCCAAACGCTCTTTCCTTTCCCACCTGGGGATGTTTCAGAACTTTTCAAAGTATGTAGGAGGCCAGGCACCAGAGCTCACACCTGTAATCCCAGCACTTTGGGAGGTCAAGGCGAGCAGGTCACCTGAGCTCAGGAGTTCGAGACCAGCCTGACCAACATACCAAAACCCCGTCTCTACTAAAAATAAAAAATAAAAAAAAATTAGCCAGGCGTGGTGGCACATGCCTGAAATCCCAGCTACTTGGGAGGCTGAGGCAGGAGAATCGCTTGACTGGGGAGGCAGAGGTTGCAGTGAGCTGAGATCGCGCCACTGCACTCCAGACTGGGTGACAGAGCAAGACTCCATCTCAAAAATAAATAAATAAATTAATTAATTAATTAATAAAAGTATGCAGGGCTCCATTAGGTCTGTAGCCCTGTGGCAAACACACCCGAGCCACGGCAACCCAGGGCCGGCTGAGGGGCACGGACACTCAATCGAGCACCCCATGTATAGGCTGGGGACACAGAGTCCCCAAAGGCAAAGGGATCGAGGGCCTGGCTTTGGGGAGATAAAGTCTCCCAAACCTGGGTCAGGACCCATGGGGGAGCCATCACAGGGGAATCTCTCCTGCTCTTTCTCTCTGTCTTCGGATACGGTGGCTGCTGTGAAACAACCATGTGAGACACAGAGGCCCTGCATCCACATCACCCTGCAGAAGGAGAAAAATCACTGTCACGGCCAATGCGGCAGGCCCTCCACAACAGGGTCCCCACGGTAAGATCTCCGTGGGGAGGCAAGCAGTCCCGAGCCTCTGAATCCCAGGGCCCAGAGCCGTGCCCAGAACCTCTGGGCAGCACAGCACCCTTCACGGTGTGGGCACCGGGCTGGGTCCATGGTCACCTGGTCCGTGCGACCGCCTCTCCAAGACCTTGGCTCAGGTGGCCATAGGACCTACCCGGGCCTGCAGCCCAGCCCTTTACAAAAGGAATTAATTACCAAGTGGGGTGGCCCCTGTTGGTGCTCCCTCAATCCATCATAACACAGGGCCCTGAAGATGGACTCCTGACAAGGGAAGTAGCTGTGGGAGAAGCCTCCGGAGCACGAGAATTATGCCCAAACTCAGCTACCGTGAACACAGCTTTCTGCCCCACACCATGCCCTCCCCCGTGTGTAGACTTTGAAGCATTTGGCCCAGTGACCACACTCGGTGGCTTTAACTTAGGCAGGACCAGCACCAGGTCAGAAGCTGAGGGCCCCCGGCTGGGCGTCTGGTCTTGGCTGTCACTCGGGGCCCCCGGCTGGGCGTCTGGTCTTGGCTGTTACTGGAACATCATTTCCATTCTGCAAGCCTTGCTTTCCCCATCTGCAAAATGAGGGCCTGGGCCCTTTCCTTTCCAGGACTAACCGCAGGTGGCCCCACCCCAGCTTCATGATACCCGCCTAAATCCTGCTTGAAAAACTGCTTCACAAGGTTCATTTCAGGACTGGCCTCCCTTGGGAACAAGCATAATTAGGCTCATTTAAGAGTCCCCTTTCCCCTGGCAAAGCTGCTTGAATTATTCATCTTCTGTTTTCCCATCTAATTCCACTCCAACTGTCTGGTGGGATTTGTTTCCCTTCCAATCACACTCTAGCATCTAAGAGTCATTTTCCCTGCAAGAAAAGTTTGTCAGACACAGGTAGGAATTCCAGAGAGAGGAGCAAGTTATGCAGAGAGGATGAAAAGGAGAGAAGGTAAAATCGCTCTTCAATCCCATATGCCTCAACTGAGCACAGACTATTTTTCTCCACTGCAGTGGGTTGAATAATGGCCCCCACAAATACATCAGCATAGCATGTGTCCATAACATCCTGATCCCCAGAGACTGTGGAGTGTGATCTCATTTGGGAAAAGGGTCTTTGCAGATGTAGTTAAAGATCTTGAGATGAGATCACCCTGGATTACCCAGGTGGGCCCTAAATGCAATGACAAGTGACATTCTAAGAGACAGAAGAGGAGACACCAGAGGAGAAGGCCATGTGGAGACAAAGGCAGAGATGGGAGCGATGGCTACAGGAACATCTGGAGCCCCGGAGCTGGAGGAGACAAGGAAGCCTCCTCCCCTAGAACCTTCAGAGAGAGCACGGCCCTGCCAACACCTGGATTGAGAACTTGTGGCCCCCAGGACGGTGAGAATATATCTGTATTTTGAAGCCATGAAGGTTATGGCAATTTGCCACAGCAGCCACAGGACACTAACCCACCCAAGGTGCTTCCTGGGAGTTGGGAAATAAGAGCAGACGCAATGCCAGTGCTATGGGCAGCCACCGACAGCCCCCCAACACCGACAGTCCCCCCACACCGACAGCCCCCAACACCCAACAGCCTTCCCATACTGACAGCACCCCAACACCGACAGCCCCCCAACACTGACAGCCCCCCAACCAACAGCCCCCACACTGACAGCCCCCCCACACCGACAGCCCTCCACACCGACAGCCCCCCCACACCAACAGCCCCCAACACCCGACAGCCCCCAACACCCAACAGCCCCCCCACACCAACAACCCCCCACACCGACAGCCCCCCACACCGACAGCCCCACACACCAACAGCCCCCCCACAGTGACAGCCCCCCACACCGACAGCCCCCCCAAACCGACAGCCCCACACTGACAGCCCTTCACACCGACAGACCCCCCACACCAACAGCCCCCAACACGCAACAGCCCCTAACACCCGACAGCCCCCCCACACTGACAACCCCCAACACCGACAGCCCCCCACACCGACAGCCCCACACACCAACAGCCCCCCACACCGACAGCCCCCAACACCGACAGCCCCCAACACCGACAGCCCCACACACCAACAGCGCCCCCACACCGACAGCCCCCAACACCGACAGCCCCCAACACCGACAGCCGCCCCACACCGACAGCCCCCCCACACCGACAGCCCCCAACACCGACAGCCCCCAACACCGACAGCCCCCCCACACCGACAGCCCCCCACACCAACAGCCCCCACACCGCTCCTTCTCTAGAACTCCCATTTCCTCATCCCCAGCCCTGGGGCACCAAGCCAGGCATCAGGGGGCTTCTTCCTCATTCTAAGCCCTTCCCTTGTCCAGCCAGCCTTCAGGTCCTGGGGTTCCTCCATCTGAACCCCTTGCGCTCTGCCCCTCAGCCCAGGCCATCAGCATCTCTGTCCCCATGGGGGTCCGTGCCCAAGCTCAGCTAGAGTGAACTTCCTCAAACAGCTGCGGGACTCCCCACCACCCTGCGTGTTGGCCTCTCCCACCCCACCGAGGAGGTCGGACTTGCCCAGCGTGCTGCCCCTGCCTGCTCTTCCTCAGTCTCACCTTGGCCGCTTCTCCCTCCATACCCGCCAGCCATATCCAGCAGTTCGAAGTTGCCGGAGCATTCCTAGTCTCTGCCTGAACACCAAGGCAAGGCCTTACCCGTCTGCTCATCCTCAGGACCATTGTGCTGTGTATGTGACCATCTGTCCCGCCCTGCAGTCGGCTCCAGGGCCAGCTCCACCTCCTGATTCACCTCCGTGCCCCCACACCCCTCACACACGACCTGCCCAGAGCTGGTGCCTGGGACATGTTCGCTGCATGACTGATCCGTGGGCAAATATTAGATGGGGAGACGACTCTGAACCTTTCCCTGGGAACAGCCCTTCCAATTTAGAAACTCTGTTCACGGTCATTTGCCCCCCACCCCCACCCCAACACACACTAACAGGGTGCAGAAGGCAGCTGGTGCTCCACTTTGCTTTCCTTAGGTCCAGAGACAGGCTCAGAGGGTTCCACAGTCAGTGAGCAGCAGAGCTGATACCTGAGCCCGGGTGCGTGATTGCGAATCCAGCTTGGGTTCCTCCGCCCACAGCCCCCCACAGCCAGGCCCCATTGCCCCTTAGAAGAAGCTGCAGGTTGTGCGCACGGAGGAGGTGTCCAATCAACCCAGGTCGTGTTGGGCACATTCCCACTGCAGGGCCCTCACACTCATGCCCTTCAGATCCCTGCCTCAATGCTCCTTAACAAAGTAACCTCCTGTAAATCTCCTCTGCCCCTCAAAATAAACATTTATTTTACCTTGTTTAATTATAGATTTTCTGCTTTCTCTTTTTGCAAGCATTAATCACTGCTTATTACATTATTGGCCTGTTTGTTGCTATCTGTCCCCAGCGAGGGCAGGGACCTGCCTGTCAGGATTGCTGCTGCACCTTCAGTGCCTGGCACACAGTAGGTGTTTAGTAAGTAGTTGCTGACTGAATGAATGAATCAGCCCATTGTGGTCCCCTCTGATCAGGGCTCAGGGGGCAGGAGGTTGCAAACCATCTCAAGGGGAAGCAGCTGTTAAAGTTGAGATAAGAGGCATGGTCACAACAGTCCCCAGAGTGTGATATTCCCCTTCCTGTGTCCATGTGATCTCATTGTTCAACTCCCGGGGAGGGATAGCATTGGGAGATAGACCTAATGCTAGATGACGAGTTAGTGGGTGCAGCACACCAGCATGGCACATGTATACATATGTAACTAACCTGTACAATGTGCACATGTACCCTAAAACTTAAAGTATAATAAAAAAAAGAAAAAAGAAAGCCACAGAAAGCACAAAAAAAAAAAAAAAAGAGGCATGGTCAAGGAGGCCCCAGGGTGTGAGGGGTTTTTTAGGAGTGGATCGTCACTGACAAAGGCCATTCAAAGGAGCCGTCCCCCTGCAGCGTGTTGAAAGTATTGCTGCTGCGGTACAAACGCAAGAGTGCTGTGCTGGCCGGGCATGGTGGTTCACGCCTGTAATCCCAGCACTTTGGGAGGCTGAGGCAGGAGGATCACTTGAGGTCAGGAGTTTGAGACCAGCCTAGCCAACATGATGAAACCCTGACTCTACTAAAAATACAAAAAAAATTAGCTGGGCGTGGTAGTGGGCACCTGTAATCCCAGCTACTCAGGAGGCTGAGGCAGGAGAATCACTTGAACCTGGGAGGCAGAGGTTGCAGTGAGCTGAGATCGTGCCACGTATTCCGGCCTGGGTGACAGAGTGAGACTCTGCCTGGAAAAAAAAAAAAAAAAAAAAAAAGAGCACTGTGGTCTGGGAAGCACGTCACACGTGCTGCGGGTCCAGTGAAGTCCATCAGGAAGAACTTGTTCCTACACTGCTTCCTCTGGTCTCCACTGCACCTGCTCCAAGGCCCATGAGCGAGATCTTTTTAGGTTGCAAATACTGGCTGACCTGCTTGTGTCATTCACCTGACTAGGCAAAGTTGTTCTACTGTTTATATCCCCCAAACCCCAGCCAAGCACCTAGTACCTGTCGCAGCTAACACGTGCGGCCGGCTGGCTGGGTGGGACTAGCTTCGCATCTGTAGCTCATCCAATCCCCTCTGCCTTCCATGAGTGAGGTGTGCCCCTTCTACATTGGAAACAGAGGCTCGGCGAGGAGAAGCCAATTGCTCAGGGACAAGGAGAGAAGGGTCAGACCAGGCCTGGGACTCAGTTGGGCTCCAGAGTCTTCCATACGCCCTCCGTGGCTCCAGAGTGCAATCCTTGCCCCCTGACCATCTGGGGGTGGCTCCAGCTCTGCCGCTTGCTAGCTATGTGTCTTTGGGCAAGTTTCTGAACCTCTCTGTGCCTCGGTTTCCCCAACTTCAGAAGGGCAATTGCACTCTGCAGCTCCCAGATGAGGATGGGGTAAGGTAGTCCACGTGAAGCGCTGAGAACAGGACCAGGCTCAGAGTGGGCGCTCTGTAGGTGAGCTGCTGAGAAGGTCTGCGGCCTGTTCTGCCTGGCTGCCAGGGACCCTGGGTTCCAGCCTCAAATCCACCTTTCATCTGCTGTGGAGCCTCGGGCTAGCCTCTCAGCCTCTCTGGACTCTGCGTCATCTGAGGCTCAGGGAGCAGGAGGAGAAAGTCACAGCTGCAGCCACCGGCATGAGACAGGGACAGTGAGGTGCTGGGCAGGGAGGGGCTGTCAGGTGGGACCCTGGGTCCCAGCCTCAAATCCCCCTTTCATCTGCTGTGGCACCTCGGGCCAGTCTCAGCCTCTCTGGACTCTGTGTCTTCTGAGGCTCAGGGAGCAGGAGGAGAAAGTCACAGCTGCAGTCATGGGCATGAGACAGGGACAGCGAGGTGCTGGGCAGGGAAAGGCTGTCAGGTGGGACCCTGGGTCCCAGCCTCAAATCCCCCTTTCATCTGCTGTGGCACCTCGGGTCAGTCTCAGCCTCTCTGGACTCTGTGTCATCTGAGGCTCAGGGAGCAGGAGGAGAAAGTCACAGCTGCAGTCATGGGCATGAGACAGGGACAGCGAGGTGCTGGGCAAGGAGGGGCTGTCAGGTCCCTGGAGGGGCCCGGGGACCTGGCAGTTGTCTGGCTTCAGCCCCCCATGTCTTGAAATGGACCCCCTTTTCCTTCCAGTGCCAACATTCACAGGTGTTGGCAAGTGTTTTCTGCAAAGAGTCAGAGAGTCAATATTTCAGGCCTAGCCAGACGTAGGATTTCTATCGAAACTGCAAGGACTCAACTCTGCTGTTGTAACAGAAAACCAGCCAGAGGTGCTAGCTAAACAAAGGATGGCTATGTGCACAGAAAGCCCCACGCACAGTGGATTTGCCCTGCCGCCCACAGCCCCAGGCCTACAGGAGGCGATGCAGTCTTGCTTGGGTCACACAGCCTCCCTTCTTTACTGCACACAGGCCCAGGTTCAATGTCAGATGGAGCAAGTGCAGCCCTGGAGGGACAGGTGGGCCTATCCCGGTCCCCCATCCACAGTACAAGGAGCTCCTCACCCTGGTGGGTGGGGGTAGGGGTGCTGGGTGCCCCCAGCTGTTCAGACCACCCCTGTGAGCTCAGAACCTGCACCTGGGGGAGTCAGCAAAGCGGGGTTTCTTCCACCCAAGAGTGAAGTCTGCAGCCATCCCTTCCGAGGACACAGGAGGTGTGATCCACACAGGCCTCCCGTATAGTCCTCGGGCATGCAGAGGTTTTTATAGAAACTCCTTCATCTCCCCATCAAGCTACTAATGACTTTCTTCACAGAACTGGAAAAAACTACTTTAAAATTCATATGGAACCAAAAAAGAGCCCGCATTCCCAAGACAATCCTAAGCAAAAGAACAAAGCTGGAGGCATCACGCTACCTGACTTCAAACTATGCTACAAAGCTACAGTAACCAAAACAGCATGGTACTGGTACCAAAACAGAGATATAGACCAATGGAACAGAACAGAGGCCTCAGAAATAACACCACATATCTACAACCATCTGATCTTTGACAAACCTGACAAAAACAAGAAATGGGGAAAGGATTCCCTATTTAATAAATGGTGCTGGGAAAACCAGCTAGCCATATGTAGAAAGCTGAAACTGGATCCCTCCCTTACACCTTATACAAAAATTAATTCAAGATGGAGTAAAGACTTAAATGTTAGACCTAAAACCAGAAAAACCATAGAAAAAAATCCAGACAATACCATTCAGGACATAGGCATGGGCAAGGACTTCATGACTAAAACACCAAAAGCAATGGCAACAAAAGCCAAAATAGACAAATGGGATCTAATTAAACTAAAGAGCTTCTGCACAGCAAAAAAAAAAAAAAAATGGCCATCAGAGCAAACAGGCAACCTACGGAATGGGAGAAAATTTTTGCAATCTACTCATCTGAGAAAGGGCTAATATCCAGAATCTACAAAGAACTTAAACAAATTTACAAAAAAAAAATCAAACAACACCATCAAAAAGTGGGCAAAGGATATGAAGAGATACTTTTCAAAAGAAGACATTTATGCAGCCAACAGACACATGAAAAGATGCTATCATCACTGGTCATCAGAGAAATGCAAATCAAAACCACAATGAGATACCATCTCAAACCAGCTACAATGGCGATCATTAAAAAGTCAGGAAACAACAGGTGCTGGAGAGGATGTGGAGAAATAGGAACGCTTTTACACTGTTGGTGGGACTATAAACTAGTTCAACCATTGTGGAAAACAGTGTGGTGATTCCTCAAGGATCTAGAACTAGAAATACCATTTGACCCAGCAATCCCATTACTGGGTATATACCCAAAGGATTATAAATCATGCTACTATAAAGACACATGCACATGTATGTTTATTGCGGCGCTATTCACAATAGCAAAGACTTGGAACCAACCCAAATGTCCATCAATGATAGACTGGATTAAGAAAATGTGGCACATATACACCATTGAATACTATGCAGCCATAAAAAAGGATGAGTTCATGTCCTTTGTAGGGACATGGATGAAGCTGGAAACCATAATTCTGAGCAAACTATTCCAAGGACAGAAAATCAAACTCCACATGTTCTCACTCATAGGTGGGAAGTGAACAATGAGAACACTCGGACACAGGGCGGGGAACATCACACACCAGGACCTGTCATGGAGTGGGGGAATGGAGGAGGGATAGCATTAGGAGAAATACCTAATGTAAATGACGAGTTGATGGGTGCAGCACACCAACATGGCACATGTATACCTATGTAACAAACATGCACATTGTGCACATGTACCCTAGAACTTAAATAACAAAAAAAGCACTTGAAATGTAGCTAGTGCCAATGTTGAAATGATAATATTTCGGGTATATTTAGTTAAATACATTTTATTATTAAGATTTTTATTACTAAAATAATTTTATCATTAAAATTTATTTCACCTGTAAAAAAAAAAAAAAGAAACTCCTTCATCTCCTGCTACCAGAGGCACAGCCTGCTCTCCTGGAGCCCAGCCACGCGAGCTCAGCCACACCAGCCCCACGTGAGGCTGGAGGAGGTGGCTGCACCTCCAGGAGCCATGGCAGCTAAGCTGCACCAGTCTGCCCCCCGGTCGTCCTCTCCTGTAAGGTGGGCACAGGAACCAAGGGCTGCTCGCTCCTCTACAGGGCAAATCTCTGCTGACTGGAAATATAGCCAGGTATGTGAAATGAAGAAGCATCACTGGTTGGTTCTGGCAAGGAGCTCAAGAGAGAAGCAAGTATGCAAAGCACTCCACAAACGCCAAAAGCAGTGTGCAAATACTGGTTCACCTCATGATGGGCCCCAGTGGAGATCCCACGACAAGCTAATCTAAAAACCACAGCAAGTAATTGAACTTTGAGACATGGTAATAACCCCAGAGAGCCATGCCTAGCACAGACCAGTCAAATAGTCCACCCCTGCAGGCAGGAACTGCCCATGTGCCAACCCCACCCAGGAGGAGAGGGAGGCCCAGGGTGGGCAGTGATTTGCCCAGGGCCACATGCAGAGCCCTGGCAGAGTAAGGACTGAAATCCTGGCTCCCTAACTTCCAGTCAGCGTTCCTCCCACTGTTCTGGAGTAAACGCATTTCCACACCATCTGCAGCTTTCCCCATGGGGTGGGCACCCCAAGGACCCTGATGCCAGGCTGGCTGGACTGGCTTGTGTCCTCAGCAAGGGGGATGCTGGGTGCAGAGCAGGGATCCATGAGAAAGAGGGCTGCAGCCTTGGGCTCCACCGATTTCACCGAGCACAGTGAGGCTCATCCAGATGTCTCGGCAGGAGCCTGCTCTCAGGATGGAGGAAGCTGTCGCCATGGCAACCAAGCAGCCACCGGAGTTAGGGATGGAGGCAGCCCTGCCAAGAGCCACAAAAGGACTCACGCATGAGCTCACCAGGGACGCCGGATGCGGAGGTGCCCTAGAAGGCCTCCCACACATGGAGTTCATCTTGAAAAACTGCTTTTTCAGCAAATCTCCAAAAGATGACCTGACTACAAACATGAGCTGCAAGCACTCAGACCAAGGCATGTCAGATCCTACAGGAGGATTCCTGGCTGCCATAGCAAAATGCTACAGACCGAGTGGCTTAAACAGTATGTGTTTCTCATAGCTATGGAGGTCCGAAGTCCAATAACACGGTGTTAGCAGGGCTGGCTCCTTCTGAGGCCCGTCTCCTCGGCTTGAAGGTGACTGCCTTCTCCTTGTGTCCTCACATTCTTATTCCTGCATCTTAACATCTCTCTGTGGGTTCTAATCACCTCTTCTTATAAGAACACCAGTCAGATTGGATTAGGGTCTACCCTGCCAGCCTTATTTTAACTTAATTACCCCTTTAAGGCCCTGTCTCCAAATATAGTCTCATTCTGAGGTTCTGGGAGTTAGGGTTTCAACATATGAATGGGGATGGAGGAGACACAATCTAGCCTGTAACAGCCTCCTTTCCTTCTCCACTCGGAACACCTTAATGATTATGCAATTCCTCTCAGGGAGCAGAACCCAGCTTGCTGGAACCGTAGGAAAGGTGCTGTTCTATTTCACCGCTCACTGCACAAGCCACTGAGCCCTGCACGCTCTCTGTGTGGTGAGTCCATCTTCACAGCTCTGCCATAGCCCACCTCAGGTGATTCATAAGTGCTTAGAAAGGAATCAACCAAGCTATGAAAAAGGAAGAAAGTCCTGACTTCTGAATCACAAAACCCAGAGCTTGAAAGTCCAGCCCCACTGCCTAACATCTGTGTGATCTCTTGAAAACTCAGCCTTTCTGTGCTCTGCTTTTCTTATCTGTAGAATGGGTTGATAACTTCTGCTTTGCAGGGCTGTAATGAGGATTTCACCAGATGACATATGTCAAAAGACCCAGCACATGGCTACAGTTAAATTGAATTTAGTTAAATTAGAACTCCCAGAGTCTTTCTCTCCCTCTGGGAAAAAAGCATACAGCTAAGCAGGATGCAAAAGGTACAGTGCTTGTCACCCCCTGGGAGGACTAGGAGGGTCTGTGGTGAATGGCATGCCTTGGTTTCCAAGAACTGAGAGGGGGAATCCAAGGTTGGACAGAGCTGGGATGTGCACCCAGGCAGCTGTACCCCCACAGCACTGAGAAGGAGCAGACCAGACCCCGCCCTGACTGCTGGGGCTCCCAGCCTGGCAGGGAAGCAGATTTAGCTCCATGATCGATCGATGGCCTAAGAGAGACACAGGTGCTCATGTCAGAGATTTATAACGAGGCCCTGAGATGGTGCAGAGTCAGGGAAGGGCCCTCCGAAGCCCATGGTGAGTAGGAATTATCCCGGCAGAGCTAGTGGGTGGGAAAATGTTTGGGGTGTGTGTGTGTTGGAGGGGGTGAGGGGGTTGAAGAGGGGGAGTGCAAGGCTCAGAGGTGTGAGAGGCTGGGTGGCTGAGCATGAGGGAGGGAGGCAGAGAGGGTGAGAGCCAGGCTGGAGAGGATGCGGCGCCAGCAGAACTCAGAGGGAGCATAGGCTCTGTCCAAAAGGAGAGGAGTTCTAAGAGGGAGGGAGAGGCTCCAGGGTGATGGAGTATGAGCTATGAGGGTGGAGGGGTCCTGACATAAGGCTGGGAGTGGCAGGACCCATCCTGAAGAGGGAAGCAGGCCAAAGGTCTGGGGCTCAGGCCTGGGGTCAAGAGGATTTTAACAGGGAGCGAGTTCTAGAAATGCCAGGGAGGTCTGTCAAGAAGGGACAGGAGGCAGGCCAGGGTCGCACACCTCTACCATGCCACCTGCAGGGCAAACGTGAGGACTGCCATACAGCTACTGACAGCCATGCTCATAGCAAAACAACCTCCCATCTATCCTGCAATTGGGCCTGTCTTTCCACAGGACCTAAAGCAAGAACCAAGAAATACGGCTGTCTCAACAAAGCTGGGCAGGCCATCAGAAGGACACTTGGCTCAGAGGGGCCTTGGGCAAGGGAGCCCACCTCTCAGTGCCCATCTCCACTTCTGCTGAGTTGGGACAGTGACAGCCCCCACCTGGCGAGTGGTCATGAGACTGAAATGCAACAGCGGCATCTTGCATTTGTTCACCCCAGCACCAGGCAGGCTGCAACTGGGGTTGTTACCATCATGACTGAGAGGCGGTGTAGCATGACAGTTAAGTGCATGGTTCTGCATCCAGACAGCTTAAATCTGAATCCCAGCCCTGGCACCCCCTTTCCCCTGCACCCCCTTTCCCCTTTGACTTTGGGTAGATTACTGAAACTTACTGTGGCTTTGTTTCCTCATCTGTAAAAGGGGGATATTAATAACGCCTACCACATAGTGTTGTTGGGAGGATTCAACCAGTTAACATCGGCAGCGTGCTCAGAACACCGTGTGACACAGCAAGTAGTGACAGTGGGGTGGGAGGTGGAGATGCTGACCTCGACGCAATGGCTCACAACGGGGTCAGCACCATGGACAGAGCCATGGCACGCAGGAAGCCCTCAGTCATGTTGGAGGCTGACTGACCAACTGCCTGGCCTTGTGAAGGCCCCAGAGCAGTTGTGTGCTGGTAACTTGAACAATACCCTCTCTTCTGGGGAGGGGAGAGATTGATTTTGTAGTGTTTGTAGATATCTGTAGAAATACTACCACCAGGCCAGGTGCGGTGGCTAACGCCTGTAAACCCAGCACTTTGGGAGGTCAAGGCAGGTGGATCACGAGGTCAGGAGATCGAGACCATCCTGGCTAACACGGTGAAACCCCGTCTCTACTAAAAAATACAAAAAATTAGCCGGGCGTGGTGGCGGGCACCTGTAGCCCCAGCTACTCAGGAGGCTGAGGCAGGAG
Organism: Homo sapiens; assembly: GCF_000001405.40. NCBI lineage: Eukaryota > Metazoa > Chordata > Mammalia > Primates > Hominidae > Homo > Homo sapiens. The sequence goes on from NC_000004.12 coordinate 6,363,490, forward strand.
AATGGCGTGAACCTGGGAGGCAGAGATTGCAGTGAGCCGAGATTGAGCCACTGCACTTCAGCCTGGGCGACACAGTGAGTCTCCATCTCAAAAAAAAAAAGAAAAGAAAAAGAAAGAAATACTACCACCATGGCCAAATTCAAGCTGCCAAAGAGATGTCCATGAACATGGATTTGGGAAGAGATGTGCACACCTGGCTGTTACAAGCTGTGTGTGACCTTGTGTCATGCTAGCAGCTGGCAAGACACAAGGTCACACATAGCCAGATCAAGGGAGACCCGGCAAGGATAGCCCAACTGTCTAAATGAAAGCCAGTTTCAGGACACCAGTCCAGCCAAGAGAAGGGGAAACTGGTGTCCAGGAAGGTGAAGCAAACTGCCAGGGGACCACGTGGCAGGTCCAGAACAGAAGCCTCAGTGTCAATGCCTTTCCATCAAGGACTTTCTAAGGAGGCCGGGGTCCTCCCCACCTTATCCTAACACCCATCTCACTGTATTACACTAGTTCCATTATTTGAGCATCTACTCTGGACCAGGCATTATTCCAGGTAGATCAAACAAGGTCCCTGCTCTCAAGAAGCTGCCAGTCCAGGAGGGAGAGGCGGGAAATGAACAGGGAACGAGGTAGAGGCCAAGCCTCTAGGGAAGGGGCTCGAGGGAGTCATGGAGGGGATGGACTAGTTCCGACAGACTGGTCAAGGAAGGCCTCTTTAAGAAGGTGTCCACTGAGTGGATGAGGATGGAGAAACTTCACAGGCGGAGGGAACAGCCAGTGCAAAATGGCTCTGCTGCAGGAGATGGCTGGAAATATGGTGAAGAGCAGGGGGCCGGGAACGCTGAGCCCAGGGAGCAAAGGGAGAGAGGAGGAAGTGGGCCAGGGAGGGGCCAGGGCCAGCTCCTGCAGGGCCTTGGAGGCCAGAGAAAGGGGCGGAGTTACTTCCAGTTGGGAGAAGTTGCTGAAGGGTTCTGAGCAAGGAGTGACATGATCTTGTCGTTTTTTTTTTTCTCATGTTGTAGGAGAACAGACTGTAAGGAGACACCTGGGGAAACACAGCTAATGAAGCAATGATGCTGCAGCTCGGTGATTTGCCAGGCACTGCCCTAAAGGCTTCCCAGATGTCATCGTAGCACCCAGTCCTCAAGCAGCCGTATGGTGTCAGCAGGGGCTTTTCCTCGCTTTACAGGTGAGGAGCTGAGGCACAGAGAACCCAAGTGAGCTGCCCGAGGCCGCGGAGTCCCTATGTCTTGGGGCCAAGGTCTGAGCCCTGGCAGTCTGGCTCCTAGACCTAAGAAGGGAGGCCAGTCAGGTCACCATCATGATCAGAGTGAGACAGTGGCCTAAACACATGCTGGGGGCAGACAGGCAGGTGGGCTCTGGGTGCATTTGGACGATGGGATCACAGGACTCATCGAGGCTTGAGCAAGAAGAAGACTATCTTTTTGCTCACCTAGAAAGTTCACCTGGATAGCATCAGGATCCCCATTCACTCAGAAAGTGCCTTTGTGCCAATTATGAAAAGACAGCTCTTCCTTGCAGAACTGAAAAACAAAAAAGTCCCTTCTTCCCAAGGTGCTTGGCTTGGATCATCACCTCTTTTGGGCAGCAGACAACCCATACAACTGTACTCGCAGGCCCTGGCAGAGACCCTGTCTGCTTCCCTAGCACCAAGTCCAATGCTCAACACAGAGAAGACTCTCGGCCAATGCTGCTGAATCAACCAATGAATGCACAGAACCGTGGGCAGGTAGTGGCAGAGCTGGAGTAAGAACCCAGGGGTCCAGACTCCCAGCCATCAGTGGTATGTATCTGACATGCCGTGAACAGAGCATTTCTGAGCAGGGCATCCCAGTTTCCTTCTCTGTAAATTAGCACCAAGGGCAGGAAGAAGAGGTGGCCTGTAAGGTACCCGACAGTGGGTCATGTGCTGGTGAGGGTTGCTTGTCTACACGGCACCAGGCCCCATACTCATCGGCCATTCCACCTTTACAGCTCCTGGTAAAGGAGACACACTCCCATGGGATAAAGGGGGTGCAGAAAGACTGAGTGACTGATCAGGGTCAGTGGCAGAGGCAGGGGTAGAGCCTGGGCTCAGGGTCCCTTGGCCCAGCACAGAGTCTGCATGCAGAGGGACTGTGTCTGCTCCCTCCTTTGTTCTCTGCACAGAAGACAAGCTGAGTCTTCAGGCAGGCATGGGCTGATGAAGGTTCTGAGCCTCCTGCGGTGAATGGCTGCACCCCCCTCCAGCCCACCTGGCCGTGCGGACCTGCTCTGTAAATGGGAATTAGAAATTCTCCAGGCCGAGGCTTGGTGTGATGCCAGTTCCCACCGTGAGAAATCACTAAGGGAGAGAAAAATCAATCGAACCGTCTTTTAAATTCTCTGGGTGCTAAAAATAAAGCAGAGGTCCATCCGCTGAGACCTCCTGTGCAATTTGTTACCTTTAAGATGCATCAGACTCAAGAAAAATCACCCAGTGCTGTGTTAACAGTCTCAAAATGTTGGTATTAAAGGACGCGAGAGGTTGCTTAAACAGACGTTGAAACTGCACCGTGGAAAACGGAGTTTTAACCATCAGAGATGCAGGGATTTTATGAGAACCAATCTTAAATGTTTGAAGGGCTGTTGTTTAAGAGACAAAATAAACCATCCTCTTGCTGGGCTCCAATTAGGCACCAGGCTCTTTATGTGAAAGATTTCTTTATTCCTTACAAATATCCTTATAAAAGGGAATTTTCTGATTTTATATTCAGGGAAGCTGATGGCCCAGCAGGCTGAGCAATGGGTCTCAGCCCAGGCCCGCCAGGGCCCAAAGCCCGGGCTCCTTCTCCTGCACTTTAGGGTCTGGGGTCTCTGATTCCCCAGGCGCCCAGATCAAAAAGGAGGTGTCTGTATCCTAAGACCACATGGAAGTGGTGAACTTCCAGCCCACTCCACCTACAACCGTTCATAAGTACCTCCTATCGCCAAGTCCTATGTGGAGCAGGGGATGCAGAGAGGCCTCACCCTGGGTTCCTAATCTCAGGGCTTCCACCATAAAATGGAGGAGGCTGTCACAGTAACAAAACACTCAGTGTGACCGGGGGCAGCCAAGGAGCCGCAGGCTTAGAGGGGCTCTGACCAGCCTAGGAGGGGTGTGGCAGGGACAGGTCAGAGGCTGTCCCAGATAATGGGCTGTGAGATGCTGCAAGTGGGCAAACAGGAGTCAGCCAGGCCAAAGAGGCAGATGGCATGGTCAGGAGAAGGGATGGCGGATGGCAGTGCTCCACCCCACCCTGCCCCATGCCAGGGACCCAGCAGCTGAAGGAGTGAGCCAGTGTGACCCGAGAGGTGGGCAGGGGCTGGTCACCAAAGGCACAGGGCACTGTGGAGGGGCTCAGGCTTCCTCCAGAAGCCAGAGGGGAACCCGTGAGAGTTTTAAGGGGGGCTGACATGGTCAGACCAGAGGTTCCGATGAGCCAATTTCACAGCTGTGCAGAAGGCTCTGGGCAGGACAGGGCGGGATTCAGGCAAGTGTCTGGGGAGAGTAGAGAGGGCTGGGCACCTCTTTCCATTCTGAGGGTGAGAGAGAGGGAGGAGGCTGGGAGGGCTCCTCTTCCTTGAACCTTGGTGACTACACCGAGACAGGTCACAGAGCCTCAGTATCACCAGGCTCCCTCCCTCCAGCAGAGATGTCCTCTGAGTCACCTTTCTCATTGTCCAATAGTCAAAGCAATGCCCTCTTTTTCTCCTTTACTAAGAAACATTTTCCTTTCTCTTGATATGGTTACTAAAAGTCCATTTTGCTGAGACGGGAAGTGTTAGTGATTGGACTTAGGAGATGCGACATGGTGGAAAACCTCCAGTGGGCACGGAGGACTGAACAGTGTCATCGGGCCGAGTGAGGACCCCAGAGAGCAGGGGTCAGAAGGATGCAAACCCCAAGTCCAGCCCAAGCCTTCCCCTGGCTCTGCGCGGACACAGGCCTCCTGACCCTGGGTTTTTCTTGTCAGGACTCATCAGAACTGTCACCCTCTGACAGCCAGAATCCACCCCACTGAGACTTGCTTAGAAGGTATCTCAAACATTCAGAGCAATTCCCAGCTCCGCATGGGGTCTCAGCTGCCTTTCTGGCCTCCTCCCATGTCAGAAATGAAACGCCTCCTCTCATTACTCGGCTGCTATCAGTCCTCATCGCAGCACCTGCAGCCCACAGTCCTCACACTTTCTCTGCCAAGTAAGGCTTCTCTCTGTGGTGTGAGCCCTGGATCTGTGTCTTGTCACTGCAGCAGCACCCCATGGGGAGCCAAGCGGCAACAGGCCATGGGGAGCACCAGGTGCACTGAGGTTCCCCAATGAATAGATCCAATCGGGGAGGTTTCCATGGCCACCATGTGCCCCTGGAGACTCCACTCAACTCCTGCCAAATGCCTAAGTTGCCCTATCAGGGCTGCCTCAAGCCCAGCTCAGAATCTTGTTCATGCTATAGACACACACTCCTCTATCACTAAGGCCAGGGTGCTTTATGTTTTGATGAATTAATAATCATTTTCACAGAATGGGAAGTTACACAGAGATCTGACACTGAGTTACACGGCAGGGTGTGCGGCCAGGGATGTTCCCAGGATCCACAGGGGCCCCCGATCTGCTGACACTCCTCCCTTGTCACTGTCCCTCACCTGGCTCAGATTCTTTGGTCAATAATCATTATTTTCACTCTCTTGCACACACCATCAGCTCCGTGTCTACATCCTCACTTGGCAAAAACCACACCCCTGGCTTACCCTCCACCGACCTGAGGCCTGCAGCCAGCAGCAGGCGTGGCTGGAGAGAAATGTACACGGCTGCGCTGGCTGGGCCACCGACTCCCTGTAGCACCCACGGACCACCTGCTCCAATGCCGGGTATTTTACCAATGGTTTATCACGTGTCCACTCCTGGAGGCAGAATCTTTATCTAGTTCCAGCATCACCCAAGAGGGCTGGCACACAGTAGGTGCTTAATAAATACCTGCTGGTAAATGGTGTGCTCTGCAACATGCGGACAGGGCACAATCTGTGTGTTCGGGACGGGACAGGAGGCAAGGCTCACGGTAACGGCCAGGGAGGACTTTGCAGTCCTGGGATGAACCAACCCCCTTTTCTTCTTTACAGCCAACCTGTCTGAATGTCTTGTGGCCACCCCGATCCAAAACTGGTTATGATACAATCCAAATCTATGACACCTCCATCCTTACAATCTCATTCCTCCACCGCCTCCCACCCGTGGCCACGCTCTGGCCCTGCCTCTCACTCTCTCTCCCCGGGTCTCCTTGCTGGTTCCCAAGCCGCCAGCCTTGTCTGCTGGAATCCAATCCACCCACGACACACACCCACGACATACACACCTCCAAAGCTGGCTAGTGACACGCCCCTGTTTACAGTACATCAATAGCTTCATAGTTTCCCGTTCCCTGGAAGCAGGCAGGTGGGAAGTCGGCACAGCCTCCAGTAATGTAATATAGATGCAGACGGGGAGACAGGATTCAATCCTTCTGATGAATGAAGGGGGATGTCTCTGTTTTGCACTCTCCCCCTTAACATTGAAGCACATGTTTACCTCCATCTTTTCAGAGAGAACCAGCTTCAGGGTCTAAGGGCAACCTGGAGAGAGGCTGCAGCGTCCTTGTTCAGTAGCCACTGGCCACATGTGGCTATTTCGTTTGAAGTATGATTAACTGGAACTAAATCAAATTAACGATGTCGCTCCTCAGTCACCAAGCCACGTTTTAGGCACTCAGCAGGCACATGGGGCTGGTGGCTGCCGCCCCATGAGTGCAGACGAAGCAGTCTACTACCACAGAAAGTTCCAACAGACAGGGCTGAGCCTGTATTTTATTCCCACCATTTTGTGTGCACAGCCGTTATGGTTGAGGCTACCTCCTATTTATGGTATGTGATACTTTAACTTATCATGGTGAAATTCAATTCCCTTTCAAAAGAAAATTACTTCGGCAAAAATAAAGCAACTTGACTTAAAGAAAACAATTTTTTTTAAATGGGAAAAGTAAAGGGAAGCACACGTGGCATGTGGAGGCAGGCACAGCTGTGGGGGGTTTTGTGAATGACTGGCATTCGGGGCCCCTACCCCAAGAGAAAGCCCCCTGCCTGCACCATCCACAGTGCCACAGCTCCGGCACCTTCTGCCTCCTCATGCATCCGCCTCCTGCACACCCATGCCCTCAGGCAGCCTCCTCGAGCCCAGGGAGCTTCCTACCGAAATTCCTTCTCTGGCTTCCTTGGCGGCCCCCACAGCAGCTTGTCCAGACCCTGGGCTACAGCAAGGATGACTCCCTCACTTCCACTGCCATGGCGGGGCTGTGTCCCCCAGCAGCCCCTGAGCCCTCCAGGGAAGGGTTGAGTTTCTCCCATTCATCCCCATGTCCCTAGGGCTCAGTGTGGGCCTGGGAGTAGAAAGGCGTGGGGAATGAATGGTTGAATAAATGAAATGAAGCAGCATCCCTTCCATACTCTAGGGCTTTATGGTTCTTTAGAAAGGGTTTCGGCATCCATAGTGTCACGGAATCCTCACAGCAGCCCAGACAGGAAAACCGAGCAGCAATTACCATCCCCACCCAAGTCCGGCAGGAAGGAAGCAGGTGCTCGAGAAGGGTGGCTGCCACTGTCCCAGGGCTGCAGGGGGCAGGCCGAGGCCAGGGCAAAAGCCCTGGACCAGGCATGGAGGCCCGAGCATGAGCTCTGGCTCTGCCCCTGCCAACTGGGGACTCTGGGCCAGTCCCTCATCTCCCCCAGCCTCCGTTTCCTCATCTGTGAAATGGGGTGATCATCAAATTACCACTGTCTCTGAGCACCAAGTGAGACAACGAACGGCAGGCTGATTTGTAAACTGTACGGTACGGTCCAGGCCGCTCAGTGAGCCCCACACCCTCCCCATTTGCAGACCTGGAGCTCCTGCTAGGAGACCGCCCCTCCCCCACATCCAGGGGTTGGGGGCGGAGCTGACTCCCTCCAGCACCAGGGAGAGGTACAGGAGTCCGGCCTGGCCAATCACAACAAGGCATTCACCCCCAATTAGAGCCCACAAGATGCCATTTAGGGTCCTAGTGGGACAGTTCAGAGAGAACTGGTCTCGTTTCTCCTGGACTTTATTCTGGGAGGGTGGGGCCCCAACTACTGGCACCTGAGATTGAAACACAGAAGACAGCAGAGGCAATCAGCCCAGAGAGCCATCACCCACGATGCTCCAGCCCCTGAAGCCACCTGGCCCGCAGCTCTCTTACAGTTATCCACATCAAACATGCTCGTGCAGCAGAAAGAGTCTAACCAACTGCTGCTATGAGCACTGTGGACTGGTGGGGCCCGATGTCCTTTCGGCTTCAGTGGAGGGTCAGACAGATGTCCAGCCCAGCCCTCTATGTCCAGAGAAATCTGAGCTTCAAGCCTTCAAAGCAGCTCAGGTCCCAATCCTTCCTGGAACCTTCCTGGCTGGCCCAATCCAGCCTCCCAGCTCTGGGCACTCCATGCCTTTGGGACAAGAGAAGGGAGAGAGATGCTGATGCTTCCTGATACCCACCAAGTGCTGACTTAGGGTTCGGCACATCACACATAGGGGCTCACTGACGGCACCCCACAGGTCTATGAGGAGGCATGATTGAAAAGACGGAGTCTCGGAGAGGGAGGTGAGTGTACTCACCCAGGGTCACAAAGCTTGAAGGTGGCAGTCAGACCCAAACAGACTTTCTGCCTCCGAAGCCCACACATGTGCCCCGCACCCTCTGGCTGGCTCAGGGGACATCCAACGCTTTGCTCTGTTCCCTTCCCGCTGTTTTCCAAGGGTCTCCCTGCCCAGGGGTCTCTGGCTGTGCCTGGATCTCAGACCACAAAAGCCATTTGTTACTCTCTTTCACCCTTCCTGGAATGCTCCCTGCCTCCCCTGCTCCCCACAGCTATCCCGGCTTCTACTGCTCCGAGGGACACAGCCCACTCCTGACCACTGCTGGGTGCCCAGGCTGCCTGGAGTCGGGAGGCCATCCAGTTGCATGGAGGCTCTCAGGAGGGTCTTCCCACCCCTTCCAAGACACACCTGGGTGGCATCCTCCACAAAGGGCAGTGTGGTATGGAGGTTAGAAGCGGGGACTCTGGGGCCTGAGGGCCTGGGTTTCAGGCCCAGCTTTGACACTTGCTGGCTGTGAGCTTTGAGCAAGTTAACTTGAGTGCTCTGTGACTCAGTTTCCTCATCTGTAAAGGAGACTTAGAATAGTACCTACCTCATAGGGTTGTTGTGAAGGTGAAATGAGTTAAAATGAATGCTTGTTGATGTTAGTCACAGAGCCTGGCACACAGAGTCTCACTGTGTGTTATTATAATTATTATTATCATTGGTTGTATGCAGAATAGTGACATCACAGCAACCTGCCTGCCCGCCCACCAGCCCCCCGGCAGGCCAAGCCTCGCCCTGCCTGCAGGCTGGTGCTCATGTCATCACCAGCTCTCTTCCCAGCAGTCGGCGGGAATCGTCAATGCTGCTGCTTCCCCTAGCTTGCCCTGACACAGGAGAACACCGAGCAGGGGGCCCTCAGGACCCCAACCCAGCTGGGCTTCTGACACCCTGGTTGTCACCCGAAGCCCTGGCCGGGGCCCCAGTGCTGGTCCTCCTATGCTAACACAGCCTGCCTTGGGTCCCAGTGGGGAGGGCCCCGAGGCGCCTTCAGTGGACGCTGAGCAAGGCCAGCAGTCCCTCGTCCAGAGCAGCTGAACCCTGAACTCTGTCTCCTTCCTGGCCCCTTGTGAGGCCCTAGGATGAGGGGATCATGGCCATGCTGGAGGAGGCGATGGGTGCAATGCTCAGCAACCACGACTTTGCGGTTTTCAGAAACAGACGTGACATGATTTTGTATCTGGGCCTCACACGCATACTAGGAGCCAGAGGTGCCTCACTGAAGAAGTTAAACAATGCAGCCATCCCCAAACCAGCTGTCTGCCAATCAAACCAAACCCACCACCCAACGGAAGCTACTCTGCCCGTGGGAGGCACTGGCCAGGCCACAGTGAAGGATACTGAAGCTCCTGTCGGTGATGGCCAGGTGCCAGAGGTTGATGCGCAGGTCATCCGCCGACATGTAGGTCTCGCAGTCACTGTTGACGGAGATGGAGTTGATGTGGTAGGTGTGGCCATTGGCAAAGATCCTCCGAGGGCTCACCTCCACCATCAGATCCATGGGCTTCAGCACTGGCACCTGCAGAGGATGAGGAGGCAGGGAAGAGGTGAAGGCCAGGTGGTGGCATCAGGACATAGCATGCCGTGAGCATGTGATCCCAACCGGAGGCTGGAACACAGGGGTGGGCGTCCATCCTGATCCTCCGTGGTCTGAAATAGGCAGTGACAGATGGCAAATGCCCGCCGCCCACCAGCCCTGCAAGAGAGGCATGGATGCTTACCTGCTGTGGGTCTGTGAATAAGTGGCTGAACCCTCCTATACCCCAATTTCCTCAACTCTAAAATGAAACAAAAAGATACTGTGGCAGAGCCAGCCAATTGTCTGCCAGGCCTCCTCACCTCCTCCTGCAATGCAGTGCTGTCACTGGGAAACAGCTGTCTACATGTGGACTACATTTCCCAGCAGCCTTTGTGCCCAGACATGGCCACATGACTAGTTCTGACCAATGGGATGTGAGCAAAGTGATACCTGGCCCTGATGCAGCTAAGCAGCGGGAGCACCTTCCCCACCTGGAAGGTGAGGACCCAAGCCTTAGGGACTGAGACTCATGGGATGGGGATGGAAGGATCCTGCAGGAGAGCTGTGTCCCAACCAGCACATCCACATCGAACCTTCCCATAGTGAGAAATGCATTTCCGTGCTCGGCCCTGGACTGCTGGTGTTGTTTTGTTACAGCGGTGGAGTTAGCCTGACTCATACGAACTTTCATCTCAGACAGTTGGTGCGAGGAGTCCTTGCCATGGCATCAGACACTGAGCTTTCACAGCCCTGAAGGTCCCTTGCACAGCCCTGACCAACCCTGAGGCTGTCAACTGGTCCCATCAGCTTTCCCAGTGGACTAGGGATCAGCTACGGGAGCAAGGCGTCACCTCTTGTTTATCTCTCCATCTCTCTAGCGCTCAGTCCAAGGCCTAGCAGAGAGACTCTCCAGTGAATGAGTGAATGTGTGAGAGAATGAATGAATGGGCTGTGTCCCTGAGCTCTCAGGGAACAGCTGAGATGGGAGGTGACAGCCTCGGTGCTGCAGTCGGAGTGACAAGCACTGAGCTCCTTTGGAGCAGAGGCAGCTCTGCAGCCCACGTTAAATTTTCCCACACACCAGGGCACCCAGCCTGTGTGTGTGGGAGTGTGCATGGCTGAGAGTTCATGTATGAGTGTGTGCATATGAGTGTGCATGTGAGTGTGCATGCATGACTGAGTATACGTGTATGTGCATGCATGTGTGTGTGTGTGTGTGTGTGTGTGTGCACGCAGCACCGGTGTGAGTGACAGCCTGGCTCTGGGTGGTTCTTGCATTGTTGCCTCTGTGTCTTTGCTTCTAGGTTGTGTGCCTGGGAGTTGGTGTTAGTGTGACTCCTCCAAGGCATCCTCCCTGCACGTATTCCTGTGTCAGATATTTTAGCTATGCTGCTAACCTTCCCTTCCTTCGGGGTGCAGCCACTGCCCACCCTGGGGATCCCTGGACTCTCAGGAGAGAGAGGGAGCCCAGCTGCTCTGGAGAAGGGCAGAGCATCACTGGCCCAGCAAAGTCTTGGCATCTCAGTCCACCTCCTGCTTCCTTCCGGCAACATTGCTTTCTGTTTTCTCCAGGCGGCCTTGGGACCCAGTTCATCCAGTGCTCCAGCCATTTGCTGCCATCCACCAAACCAGAGCTCAAAACCAGTTTTTTAGTAAAGAGAAGAAGAGAGAAAGGAAACCTTCCCTGAAGGTTTGGGGGTTTCATGAGTAAAACATGCTGCCTCCGCAGAAGCCACAGTCTAGTCAAGATGAGGGGCAAGGAAGATACAGACACTAAGGACAGACAGTGTCGGATCCAAAAGGCAAGAGGGGACACAGGAAAGATCACAATTGTCATCTGGCCTGCGCAGAAAGGCTTTACAGAGGTGAAGGCCAGTAGGGTTTTATGGGATGTATGGGAGTTCACCAAATTGACAAAGTAGAGAAAGGCCTCCTGGGGTGCCCACGGCCTCTCTGTGTTCCTCTGTCACCGCACTGAGCGCCAGTGTGATGGCGATTCCATGTCTGTTTCCTTGGGGGCTGGGGACACTTTGGGGACAGGTACTGAGTTGAACCTTGCTCACCTCTAGGGCCCCAAGGGCTAGCCCGGGGCCTAGCGTGGAGCAGCTCCTCAGTAAACAGCTGCCTCCAGTGTGAACTGCGCAGGGTGGGTAGAATGCTGTGCAGGGTTGGCGTGGCGTGGGTGAAATCGGAAGCAAACAAGGTGAGAGGCAGGATGAGGACAGACCAGGGCACCCAGGTTCTCAGTGACAGTTAAGTGTCTTGGGATGTGTGTGACTTACAGAGAAAAATCTCCAACGCTGGGAGGGACATAAACAGGATTTTTATGAAGGCCACTGGCTCTGCCCCAAACACCAGGGTGATCAAGATGTGATCGCTGTATCCTTCCCTCTAGATGAAACCCTCATAAACTTTCTTGGGACGGGGGGTGGGGCAGGGGGCACCAGCACCCTCATTACTCAACATCGAAGCTAATCGGCTGCCCACTTCCTCAGAATTTATTTGTGCAATTTGCCAGTCATTTAGGCCAATGTATTTAAACATTTATTTCTTCTTCTCAGGAAGAGCACTGACTACTGCTTTATATTTATGGCGGCTCACTGGATGCTGGGCACGTGTGTGTCTGTTTCAGGGTATGTCTGTTTCAGGCCTTTGTAGATGCTGAAGGCCTCACACGGTCCAGGCTTCCTTCTGCCCTCAGTAAAGGACTCAGGAGCCACAAAGCTCTGCTGACCCATTCTCTTTCTGCCTCTGCCTACTCACTCAGCTGAGCAGTTTTAGGTGAGTTGCTGTCTCTCTCTGGGCCTCAGTTTCCCCCTTCTTATAACAAGGGATTATCTGCCTTGCTCTCCACCCTCAGCTATAGGTGAAAAGCACTTTACAGCCATACACCACCCCTGCATGCTCACAAGAAGCCTAGAAGAAACGTGGTCATCTGTATGCTGCTGGTGAGGAAACTGAGGCAAGGGGCAGGAAGACGCCCGTGGCCGCCCAGCAGCCAGCAGCCCAACCAGGGTCTGCACCTGACTCTGGCTCAAATCTCAAAGGCTTTTCCAGCCCTAAAATCCTCAGGTGTAATAAAGAGGCGTGTGCCTGCTTCCCCCTCACCGGAGCTCACCTGCAGTGACGTCACCGTGGACAGGTCCTTAAGTTTCCCCTCTTCATCCTTCAGGTTGTATCCTTCGGGCCTTTTATCTCGTTCGGTAATCTTCCATAATTTGATAGTTTTATCTTTAAAAACAGAACAAAATAAAGCGAGTCACATAATTAAGCAGCCGGATGGAAGAGAAGATCCACTTTAGAAGGTGAAATCATGAGGCACCTCCTGGGGAAGGAGGGGGTTCTGCCAACAGACGGCTTTGGACCAGAACTGCAGCTCTGTCTCGAGGCCTCCAGCCTTCGGCCTCCCTGCAGATTTCGGAACGGCCAGCCTCCGCAGTCAGGTGAGCCACTTCCTTAAAATAAATCCCCCTTTCTCTTTCTCACTCTCATACCCTACTGATTCTTTTTCTCTGGAGAACCCTGACTACTACAGGAGTCAAAACAAATAGCACCATGTTGATGAGAAGGAACTGGGAAGAGAACTGAGAACTGGGGTCAGTGGAGCATCTGAAAGGTACCCAAGGCCCTGCCATTAGGAAAGAGTGAAGCCAGGATTCAAACCCAGGTGGGAAGCTTTGAGGGGAGCGGAGTGTAGGGAGTGCTGAAAGATGACCTTTTCTGTAGAGAGGCAGGAAGAAAGTGACATGTCTTTTTTTTTTTTTCTTTTGAGACAGGGTCTCACTCACATCACCCAGGCTGGAGTGCAGTGGCACCATCTCAGCTCACTACAGCCTTGACTTTACCGGTCTCAGATGATCCTTCAATCTCAGCCTCCTGAGTAGCTGGGACTACAGGCTCTCACCACCACACCTGGCTAATATTTTATTTTTTTGTAGAGATAGAGTCTCACCACGTTGCCCAGGCTGGTCTCAAACTTCTGGGCTCAAGTAATCCATCCATCTCAGCCTCCCAAAGTGCTGAGATTACAGGCATGAGCCACCGCATGTGGCTGACACGTCCTTCTTAAATATTTTCAAAAGGAGCAGGTGCATGGGGACAGGACGAGGCTCCTGTCCCCCAGGGCCTGCCCTTCGGGAGGATCTCTCATGCTCTGCTGGCTCAGGTGACAGATTTGCTGGGCAGGGCCCCTTAGGGGACACAGATCCTGCCTTTGAGGTGCATGGCGGGAGAACACCATCAGAACAGCAGGTGCCCAGAGAGGGGGTGAACCGGAGTTAAGAGGAGCCAGGGTGTCACAGGAGGGATGCCTGGCTCAGTGGAGAGGTCAGAAAAGGCGGGCACCCAGCAAGGCTTATGGGATGAGGAGGGAGTTGGCCAGGTACAGGGCGAGGATAGCCTTCAGGCACAGGCGGGCTGGCAGAAGCTGCGCCTAGCCATGTTCGGGAGAGCCTTGGAGGCCCCGCTGAGGAGCGTGGACGTCCTCGGGGAAGGCGTGGGGACAGCACCTCGAAGCCTGGCTGGTGCTTGTGCAGCGGTTACTGTTCTCAGGGGGTTGAGTGGGCACCATTTCACGGACCCCAGAAGGGAGATGTGTCCACCCTGCTGGGGCTCAGGAAAGCAAGGTCACTGCCCAAGGGAGGCAGGGCAGGGACAGAATCCAGGTGTGTCCTGGCTGGGCACAGTGGCTCATGCCTGTAATCCCAGCACTTTGGGAGGCTGAGGCAGGCGGATCACCCGAGGTCAGGAGTTCGAGATCAACCTGGCCAACATGTAGTGAAACCCCGTCTCTACTAAAAAATACAAAAATTAGCTGGGCATGGTGTTGGACGCCTGTAATTCCAGCTACTCGGGAGGCTGAGGCAGAAAAATTGCTTGAACCCGGGAGGCGGAGGTTGCCGTGAGCAGAGATCGCGCCACTCTACCCCAGCCTGGGTGACAGAGCAAGACTCTTGTCTCTCAAAAAAAGAAAAAAAAGAATCCAGGTGTGTCCTACCCGACCCCAGGCTGCCTGGGTCCGCAGGGGGCCCAGGTGAAGGAGGATGGGCAGGGGGCGTGAGTGGGGGACCCAGGCCCATGGTGAGCCAAGCAGGACAGCCCCAGCCACTCCCTCAGAGTGGAGCCTGGGAAGCAGGCGTCAGGCCGAGAGCCTCCGGTGCCTGAGGGGTACATGCTCCTCCCTGAGGCAAGAGGATTAAGAGGCCGGCCGGGGTCCTAAACCAAGGCTCCTCCCACTGCCCCGCAAGGCCGCGGTGACAGCCCCAGTCTAGGGGTCTGGATTCGGCGTGGGGAGGAGGGGTTCACTTTGTGTCAAATATCCCCCGTGTCTGCGACCTGCATCCTTGTCCATCACACTCCCTCACCCCAAAGCAAAGGCCTACAAAGATGGCTCGGATGGCTCTATTCACAGCAGGGGGCAGCCCTGTGTCTGGCCATGGGGAGCTTCTGAGAGGGTCTGGCATACTCACTCATGGGATTTACATGCTGCTCAAAAAGGGGGGCAGCCCTGTGTCCAGACACAGGGAGCGTCTGAGGGGGTCTGGCATACTCACTCATGGGATTTATATGCTGCTCAAAAAGGATATTATTTTCTAGGCGTTCTGAAGACATAGAAAAATGCTCACAATATAAGTGAAATACAAACCAGCATTTGGTAGAAACATCTACGGCCTGTGCCCATGCAAGCGAGGCCGGGCAGCGCCTCACCGTTGGTGGACAGGAGTGAGTGGGCGGCGTTCTGCTGTGGGAGCCACTTGATCTTGTTGATCTTCTCCTCTATCTCCAGGCTCTTGAGATAGTCAAACTCCGGCTCGTGGCTCTGGAAAGTGCTGTACACGTCGTATTCGCCCTGGCTGTGGGGCGCATTTTTACTCTGCAGGGAAACCCGGAGAAGGGGCCTGAGCACCGTGACCTGCAGGGCGACGGCTAGGACCTCCGGGGACCCAGCAGGGCCGGCCGTGGGACCAAGTGCCGAGCCGTGCCAGGGATCCAATTCGAGGGTCAAATGAAACTCTCTGCAGCTTAACCGGCCCATGACTTGCAGTGTGCCAGGGACAAGCCCCGCTCCCGTGCGGTCCCATGAAACACTCACACCCGAGCCGGCTAACTTGCTAATGCGAATGTTCCCCAGCGCCTGCTACAAGCTGGACACCCCACTAAGTCCTCCCCGCACCATCGCATTCTACCCTCCAGGCCTCCTCTGCTTGAGCACCACGACTCTCCCCATTTCACAGACCAGCAAACAGAGACTCAGAGGGGAAGTGACTTCCCAGAGCCGTGAGGTCACTCTCCGGCGAGCACCCCTCTGCCGAGGCCTGCCTGACGCCAAGGCTTGAGGCTCTGGCCACCCTCGTGTCTTGGGCCCTGACTTGCTCCTGGATTCCACGTGTCCAACTCAGGCCTGACTTGAGGAATAAATGAATTTGGGAGCAGACTTTAACATTGGGACAGAATGTCTGGCAATGTCAGACCTGGATTGGAATCTGTCCCCGGCTTTCCTCAGCAGTGCTTGGCCTGGTTTAGGCAGCAGAGCTCCTTCTAATAAAGACCCTTGACCGTGGAGCTCCCAGCATAGTCAGGTGGTGAGTCCACTGTGTGCGCCAGGGACCACGTTCCCAGGAGAGAGTTCAACTCATACGACAACACGAAACCCCAACCAGGGAGAAACGGAGACATTCAACCCAGAACAATTTCAAGATTTCCTGGTAATTTTTTTAAGTATCTATATTTCTATCCCTGTCTTGCTTTTGAAAAGCTTAGAAGTTCTCCAATATTTTTGCCTCTAATTCACTTCACTTCCCATGAGCACTCGCTATGACAAAGGTCAGTGGGACTAGAAGGAAGAAAACACTAAAGGAGAAAAATTCAAAATGAAGAAAATCGCATCAACCAATCCGATCTCTTTCTGCAGCTTGGCAAAAAGAAGGCTGAGCTTCGCAGTGCCTGGTGGGACACCCCACAGGTGCATCTGGTGAAGCCCACAGGTGCTGGCCGAGTGCTGTGTTTGAGGAACTGATTGGCAGCTAGGATGTGCCCCTTGTCAACTATTTTAACCCTCTGCACTCTGGGCTCCTCCTCTGTAAAATGAGGGGAGTAGCCGCACTGCACTACACCCACAGGGTCACCGTGAGGAGGGTTATGTGAGCCACCAAGATAAAGTCAGACTCAAGGATCCTCAGTTCGTGGGCCATGCTCAGGAGTGAATCGGGGGAAAGATGATTCCGCAGGTCCTCTCTTCACCCCCGGCTTCCTCCCCTCCCTCCTACCTCCCCTTCTCCACCTTCTCTTCTCCTCCTCCCCTCCCCTCCCCTGCCTCTCCTGCTCCATCCCCTCCTCCCTCCTCCTTGGTTTCCTGGATGTCTTCTGCATCTAATTCCAGGCACAGTCCGTGTTTGCGGGGGGAGACGCCCTCTCTGAGGCCGGGTGGTGTGTGACGTTGCTGGCCACTGTCCTGGCGTCGGGCAGCCAGGTCTGCTGTTCACTAGCTGGGTGGCTTCTCTGAGTTTCCGCATCTGTCACAGGGGTGTGGATCTGGCCCTCGGAGGTGAGCAGTGCAGAGTAAACCAGAAGCAACTCCAGAATACTTAGCAAGTGTTCTCAGTAAATGGGCTTTTGTCCCGAGGCTCTTTCAGTGTTCCAGAAACGTGGTCCTGGGCAGGTTGTCCAGGCCACTGCTGTCTTACCCAGAGTTCTGCTGGACAACAAGCCCCCGGGGGTGGGGGTGAGGACAGGGGTGAGGACAAGGGCCCAGGCCTGAGCAAAAACCACCTAGCTCAGTCTGAGGGCTGTGACAGCTGGGCAAGAGTGGAGTCCTCCCGCTCCCCAGTCTGGCCAGGACAACGCAGGTCACCCAGGCAGAGGAAGGTTTCACTGAAGGCACAAGCTGGGGCAGCAGCTGCCTGTGCCACATCCTGACCATTCATCCAGGGTCTAGGACAGAGCATGGGATGCAGGCAGCTCTCCGCAAACATCGGCTGAGGGCAGGGGGCTCAGAACCTGGCTTTGCCAGCCCACCCAGTGCACTCCCCCTACCACCGCCCGCCACTCCCACCTCGGCATTCCAAAGCATCCCATTCCCACCCCTGGAATCCATGCCCCTGGGAGATGTGATCCAGGCAAGACACCCCACACCTCCTGTCAGTTAAAAGCCCTCTTGTGGGTTGGAGTATAGTCCCCTCCCACCTCTCACCGCATCACCCCTTATCCCCCTTATCCTTATCCCCTCCCACCATGCCCGCCTCCCACCTGACTCTGCTCCCCACCCCTCCCACCTCCCACCAGACCCAGGGCTTCGCACCTCTGGTTCCCGCTGGAAGATGACGACCCGGCCGCCCTTGTCACCTGTGGCCAGCAGCTCTCCCGTGTGGTTGAACTCAACGGTAGAGATGATGTCAGCTGGGAGGGGAACAGCAAGACGGGAAGGGGTGGCTGTCAGAACCCGCCTCTCCCGGGTGCTCAACAGTGCCACAGCAATGGCGAGCTCCCCGCTCCCCGAGGCCCCACAGCCCTGGGCAGGAGGCAGCAGGGAGCCTGAGGGGTCAGGAGCATCGGCGAGGGGCCACCAACCTGTCCCCTCCTGCCCTCCTCTTCCCTCTGCACTGGCTGCAGGGCAGAGATCTCGGGACTTGGCACAGGCCTGGGGCGACCACAGTGGCTGGCAGACTTTATAGTAACTGGACACTCTATGGGACTCACGGTGGTATCTGAAGCCACCTGGATGTGGCCTCATCCTCCTGTCTTGAATCTCCCACACCTACCCCTGCCACCCAGGCCCCCATGCTCCAGCAACCTGGGTCAGGGAAGCCCTTCCCAATATCTCCATAGATAAGCGCAAGGCAACCCTCTGCTAGGGGCCCACTCAGGGCTTCCCACACAGTAGGACAGAGGTGAATTACCCCCTCTCCTTCAGACTCCTGCTCTGTGGCCCCACCTCCAGGCAGGCCTCTGGGATCGCTCTCTAATCTCTGCTCGCAGAAGCGAAGCTCAGCCCTGCCTGCCCTGACCCTCCCTGCACTTCATCCCAACCATGTTTCTTCAGGTCACTCAGGAACCTCTCCTTATGGAGTCACCCCCATACCTGGAGTCTTCAATGCCCAGGGCTGGCCTTCCTGGATGGGCAAGTGTTTGGAGAAAAAAGACAGCCCCATCTCCAGGCCCCACTTTTTGCATGTGGGAACTAGGGGAACACCCCTTCCATCACCAACATTCTCAGGTTCTACGAGTCACAGAGATGAGTGGCCTGCACATTCTGGGTGGCCAGCCCTGGGAGTGGGGGAGAGCAGGGGAGGACAAGGCCCTAGCCTGGAAGAGAAACCCCCACTGGAGGACAGCTCACCAACCTGAAGCCTGAGGCCTGCTCCACCAACAAGTTTTACTGCAGCCCCAAAATGATTATTACTTTTAATTTGAAGTCATTCTTAATATTTGAAAAGTAGAAGATTTCCTATAAAAATCCACATTTCCAGTATGTCTTGGAAGATGGAAAGTTCTAGAATACCATCCCCATAGGCCCAAGCAGCAAAAGCTAGTAGGAGCCCGGGATGGCCCGCTGCTGTGAATGGGACCTCTGTCGTTCTTTGCTCTCCTGGCCTGGATTCTGTAGTCTCCAAAATCTGTGATACCACCTTTAGCAAAATGGATCTACTTTCAAACCAGCCACAGATCTGACCGTTGCTCCCTGTAGCCACAGAGAGGACACTCCACAGGGTTCCCTGTCCCAGCCTCTGTTCTCCCTCTGGCGGCCAACGTGATGACCAAACTCCTGAGCCAGTGCATCCCTGTGTCCCTCTATTCAAAACCCTTCATTGGTCACCATAACTGAATTCTGATCCCTCCTCAGCCTCATCCTCTGCAGCTTCCCCAGTCTCAGGTGATGACAGCTCTATTGTTCACTTGCTCAGGCCCAAGCCTTGGAGTTTCTCGTTCTCTCTCTCTCTCTCTCTCTCTCTCTCTCTCTCTCTCTCTCTCTCTCTCTCTCACACACACACACACACACACACACACACACACACACACACCCCACATCCAATCCTGCCTGCTCAGCCTTCACAGCATATCGGGATGCCAGCCACTCTCCCACCTCTCACTGGATGACTGCCACAGCTCTTTCTCCCTGGCTATGACGTAGCCTCAACAGACTGGCAGCAGAGAGGCTGGTAACACCCAGGACTGATCCTGGCACTCCCCTGCTCAAAACCCTCCAGCGGCTCCCATTGTGTACTCAGAGAAAAGCACAGAGTGTTCTAAAGGCAGCCCCCACCTGCCGAGGCCCAGGTGGGCCGCATCTGGAGCCAAACCTTCACCCCTCCCATGGTGGGCCAGGTGACCTGTTCTCTGCCCCCCACCTTGATTCTGGGCTTGTCCCTGTGTTTTGCTTTGGCCTGCAGAACGGCAATTCGACAAGCCGCAAACAGAGATGCAAAGGGGCTTAGGTACTGGGGGTTGCCATCAACGCCTCTGGCGGTACCAGGAGCAGGACCTGCGCAGGCTGGCCCACTGGCCCCTGAGGGGGAGGAGGAAGAGTGGGTGCAGAAGAACCCCCCCAACCCCCGGCCAAGCCCAGCCTCCAGCAGGGCCCCACTGACCCACAGAGCAGGGCAAGCCCAGCCAAGCCCAGACCACAGAATCGCAGATGCAAGATGATGAAAACATTTACTGTTGTATGCACGGGGTCTCGTGTTTTTAACTCAGCAAAAGGTACCTCCTCCCCTTCCCCAGCCTCATCTACTGCTCTCCACCTGCTTATTCCCCTCCAAACACCAGGCTCCTTGCCCTTTCCCAAAAGTCCTGGCCACCTGCTGTCCCAAGACCTGCTCTCTCGGCCTGCAGTGGCTTTCCCTGGGTACCAGCATGGCTCCTTCCTATTCTTCCAATTCTGCCCCACTGCTGCCTTCCCGTGAGCACAGCTTGGATCACCTTGCTGAAACTGCTGTCTGCACCCCAGCACCCTCATACAGGACACCCTGACCATCCCTGCCCCAACCTAATCTGATGTTTTTCTTTCTGTAAAGGCTTTTATCATCTGTAGGCTCTCTTCCTGGCCAGAACGTAAACTTCATGAGGGCAGGAGCCTCAGGCTTAATTCACGGCTTCAAATGGTGCCTGTATGCAGTAGCCAGGCCAGAGATATCTATCCAAGAAATGCCTTTTCTTTTTCCAGTCTGGGCCTTTTAGGACAGCTCCTGGCCTGCCCTGGCCTTCTGAGCCATGAGTCAATGCCAGCTTTGAGGCAACAGAAAAGATTGAGAGAGGGTGGTTAGAAGTGGGATGACGGGCTGGACGTATCCATCCATCCATCAAGACAGATGCACATGTCACTGAACTTAAAAAGACAAGATAAGAAAAGCAGCTCTGTGGGAACACGGAAACGCCCACCGGGCATGGAGTCAGAACAGGGTCAGGTCCCAGCTGTCCTGACATTGTCCCTCCGTGGGGCAGCCTGCCCTGGCCCAGGGACACCCAGACACATCTGGGCAGAAGCCAGAACCACCCAGCCCAGCTGTGCTAGGGTCCCCGATGGGGCGCTGGTTCTTGCTATTTCATATTAAAACCCCCTGAGGGTGAAGGAACGGGATATAAAATTGGGTATAAAATGCTTGTAATGATCTACATCAGTGATTATAGCCATGTGAAATAAGCAAAGAAACTGGGCAGTGGGGAAAAAAGCTGGAAGAGAATTCTCCAAAATGTGAACGGAGGTAGCTTTAGGGTAGCTGGAACAAAATAATATTTCCTCCTCTTTCAACTTGTCCATATTTTCTAGATTTTCTATAATGAAGTTACATCATTTTTTAATAGCTGTATTGAGGTACAATCAATATATAAAACGCTGCACATACTTAATGTATATAATTTGATGAGGGTGGGCATACACACAGTGTATATTATTTTTATGATGGGAACATAACAATGCTATTAAATTAAAATGCCAATATAACTATTGCTATCCCAAGTAAATGCAGTCCACAAATGCTGGGTGGTTACCAGGCAACACACACTAATGTCTGTGGGCAATTTACAATTTATATGTCATTTTCATATCTGCTACCTCCTTTAACCTCACGCCAGCCCCTGCGGGAGACACTACTGTGATTTCCATTTGGCAGCAGAGGAGATGGAGGCTCCCTCCATGAGAGACTACGCCATGAGCTCTTTGCAGACAGAAGTGCTGGTTGGAGTCTTGGCTCCAGTGCTTCAGCTGTGTGGTCTTGGGTAAGCCACACAACTTCTCTGAGCCTTGGTTTCATTATCTGTAGTGTGCTTATGGTGGAGCCTTCCCAGGATTAGAGGTTCAAGTGAGACAAGGAGGTGAGAGGGTCTGGGAGGGAGGAAGAGAAGACGAGGACTCCAGGAATAATGAATCACCAAAATGTACTGGACAGAAACTAAAGCTCCCGGTCACCTGTGCTCCTGGCTGCCACAGAATTGACAGCCACAAGCTCTGCAATGTGGCGATGGATCTGGGCGCCCAACCTCACTGTGGATGGTCCCGCCTACCAGTCCCGCCAGTCGCTCCCTGCAAACATCTACAGAACCACCACCAGACCTCAGATCCCCTCTTGCCTGAGCACTGCTTCCTCTGGCCCATGAAGGAGCTAGTGGATGTTTAATGTCTACTCATTTTTATAGGTAAATGTCTTCAGGATTTGCCTTAGGAAAAGTTGCCTCTCTTGAGTGCCAGAAATTCTCATCAGTAAGGCCATAAAATTGGTTGTTTTGGCAGCCACCTCTGTGAAGAAAGTCCATCTTCTCATCTTGGATTATCTGACATTTCCAGCTCCAATACCACCTCCTCCAGGAAGCCTTCCTGGATAGTCCCCTTTCCCCCTCCCCCAGTTAAGTGGTCTCTCCTACAACTGCAGGCTTTTATTTTATTTATTTATTTTTTTGAGACAGAGTCTCACTTTGTCACCCAGGATGGAGTGCAGCGGTGCAATCTTGGCCCACTGCAACCTGTACCTCCTAGGTTCAAGTGATTCTCGTGCCTCAGCCTCCCGAGTAGTTGGGATTACAGGCACCTGCCACCACACCCAGCTAATTTTTGTATTTTTAGTAGAGATGGGGTTTCACCATATTGGTCAGGTTGGTAAACTCCTGACCTCAAGTGATCTGCCCACCTCGACCTCCCAAAGTGCTGGGATTACAGGTGTGAGCCACCGCGCCCGGCCTACAAGTGCAGTCTTAAGGCCATTGTGTGCTCTTCACTAGGTACTGACACTTCCTGCATGGTGCTGTCTGTGTCCACGTTGTCTCTAGCCTTGACCAGAGGAAACAGCGCCGCACTATGGTTGACCACATTAACTCACATTTCTTAAGTGATTACTGTCTGCCAGGCCCTGCTCTAAATGCTTCCGGTAATAGCCTAGTAGCTCCTAGTGCAGCAACTCTCTCACAGATAACTATAGACTATAAACCCTTGAAAAAACAACAACAAAATGACACTCTGAAGGCATCGGAGGGTGAGGCCGCAGCAGATGCTGCAGGCGGTCAGCAATTGGGAGGAACAGCCGGCGTTGGCTTTCCTGGTCTCATGGCTTTCACAGCCTGAGGACAAGTCCCAGCCTGTGTCATAGGGCTGCCAGAACTCAGACGGAAAGCCAGAGTCTCACTGGCTTGATAGAGCAGCAAACAGAGTCTGAGACACTCGCAGCAGCTGGAAAAATGTGGGAGTAAATTCTGGAATGAAGAGAGCCACCAAGACAGATCCCCAGAGGGGGCAAATAAACTCTGCCCATGTCTTGGGCTGACCCCAAACCACACACACACAGGACAGACTTCCAGCAGCTGCAACCCAGCCAGGGCTAGAAGAAGTGAACAGAGGCTCCTGCCACTGCCCACCACTCACGACTGCAGATGGTTTACAGTTGCTTTCAGCCAAGTTAACTGCTTGCAAATACAAAGCAAAACAAAAATGCTCTTTGGGGAGAAGTAACAAAAATCTAGAGTCGCTCTTATGCTATCATTCACAACACCCAGGATATCATCCAAAATTATATGAAGATATACAAAGAAATAGGAAAACCAGCCATACTTAATATAAAAGACAGTCAGTGGAAACTCACCTGAAATGTGCTGGCCGCTGCAATTAGCAAATAGAGATTTTTAAACTTGCTATGATAACTGTGTTAAAAGACGTAAAGAAAATTGGCTCATACTTCATGAAAGAATAAATCTCAGCAGAGAAATATAAACAATTTAAAAAAGAACTAAATGAAAATTCTATAACTTAAAAATACCATGTCTGAGACAGAAAAAAAATCACACCTTAACAGAAATTGCTTAACAGAAAGTCTGAGAAAATAGAAGAGTTAGTGAACTTGAAGATGATTTCAATAGAAATTACCCAGTCTGAAGAATAGAGAGAAAAAAAATTTTTTTAAAAAGAAAAAGATCCTCAAAGACCTGTTGCATATCAAAAGGTTCAACACACATGTGATTGGAGTTGTAGAGGGAGGGGAGAGAGAAGATATACTAAAAAGAACACATAAAAAAATAATGACCGAAAAATTCCTCAATTTGGTAAAAGACATCAATTTACAAATTTAAGAAGCTTAGCTAACTCCAAGCAGGATAAGCACAAGGAAAATTATACCCAGGTACATCCTGGTCAAACTGCAAACTACTGGAAACTGAAATAATGAGAAAATGTTAAAGCAGCTAGAATAAAAACAACATATTACATTCAGAGACACCAGGACTCAGAGACTGCTGACTTGTCAGCAGAAATAATGGCACCCAGAAGACTCTTTTAATGTGCCGAAAGAAAATGTTAAAACCTGGAAACCCAGAATTCTGAATTCAGTCGAAATATTCGTCAAGAATGAAGGGCAGGCCGGGCACAGTGGCTCACACCTGTAATCCCAGCACTTTGGGAGTCCAAGCCGGGTGGATCACCTGAGCTCAGGAGATCGAGACCAGCCTAGCCAACATGATGAAACCCTGTCTCTACTAAAAATACAAAAAAATTATCCGGGCATGGTGGCGGGCGCCTGTAATCCCAGCTATCTGGGAGGCTGAGGCAGGAGAATTGCTTGAACCTGAGAGGTGGTGGAGGTTGCAATGAGCCGAGATTGCACCATTGCACTCCAGCCTGGGCGACAACAGTGAAGAAAAAAAAAAAAGAGTGAAGGGCAAAATAAAAAGACATTTCAGCTGAAGCTTTCCCAAGGACCAGCACTTTCATCTCAGAACAATCCCATCGACCAATTATCATTCCTTACTTAGAGACAAGGAAACTTGGTCAAACTTTCCCAAAGTCCCCTAAGTGGCAGGGCCTTTGGCATGTGCTCTTTTTGGCCATCGCTGTCCCCACACTGCAGGGCCTGGAGCTGCCACTGGCTGCAGCCTCGAGCTCAGGGCCCCAGATCAGCCACTGGGTGCATTATTCCAAGTCACTCTGTGTGGGTGACGAGAAGCCCATGGAAACTCATGCTGTCCTTCCCCCCCTGAGGTGCCTCCTCCCTTCCTGGGCAGCTCTAGGGCAACCCCCAAGTGGAGAGGCACACAGGAGCCACTGAACAAGGAGGCCTCAGCCAGCCCCCTGGTGCTGGGCACAGCACAGGCCTACCAATGGGTGCCCAGAGAGGTGAGAGGTGGTATCCCTAGTGACCCGCCCAGTAACAGGTCCCTGCACGCCAGAGCCAGAGATGGGCAAAGATGGTATCGTGGGTTGAACTGCATCCCACAAAAAGATGTTAAAATCCTAACCCCTGGTACCTATGAATGGGAACTTATTTGGAAATAGAGTCTTTGCAGATGATCAAGTTAAGGTGCGGTCATACTGGATTATGGTGGGCCCTAGATCTAAGGACTGGTATCCTGATAAGAAGTCCATATGAAGACACAGCACACACAGATACAGGGAGGAGGCCATGGGGAGACAGAGGCAGAGGCTGAAGGGAGGCATCAAGAATGAAGGGCAGGACGGGCATGGTGGCTCACACCTGTAATCCCAGCACTTTGGGGGGCCGAGCCGGGCCTCCCAATGCCTGGAAATGCCCGGAAATGCCAAGGATTGCCAGCCACCACTAGAAGCTGGTGGGGAGGCCTGGAACAGAGTCCTCCCTGGAGCCGTCAGAGGGAGCCCAGCCCTGCCAGCATCGTGATTGCAGACTTCTGGCCTCCAGAACTGTGAGAGAACAAATTTCGGTTGTTTTAAGCCACGCAGTTTGTAGCACTTTGTCACAGCTTCCCTAGGAAACTGACACAGAGCTGAGATGAGAGTGTGCAGGCTCCAGCCCCCGAGAACTGGGCTACCCCCAAGCCGGTGGCACTTGCTGGCTTTCTTCTCCACGTGCCACCTGGGGGAGACATCGCCCTTGGATCTTACAGATGCCCCCTGCAGCTTTCATCAAAGCCGTGGTAATCCAGTCCCAGCCCCACTACTTACCAGCTGTGTGCCCTCACCCAAATCTCTTGCCCTCTCTGAGCCCTGACTGCCTCATGGATACAATGGGAATTGACATCCCTGCCTGGCCATGGTTCTCCCAGGGTAAATGTGAAATTCAAACGATTCTGTGGACTAGGACGTTCCCTGGAAACTCTGGCCGAGGCCTGCAGACAGGAGATGAAGATGCTCGTCACGGACTTCCTCCCCAGCACGTCGGGGGACTTGCTCCCCTCGTCCATCACCATAAGTGCTGCTGACACCATTAATGATCCATCAGGGCTCAGGGCAGAGAGGGGGCCTTAGGCAAGCCCAGCTCGAGCCTTCTGATGAGGTTGTTGCATTTAATTAGCATTGTCAGAGGTATCAGGGCTGCTAAGGATGGAGGTGGGCGAGGAAGGAGGGGTCCGCCTGCTGCCGAAGGGAAATGTCAGGGAGAGGAAGAGGCTCCTGCAGCCATTAGCACCTGGTATGGGCTTGGCGAGCGAATTTACCCAGCAGCGGGCTGACACTGGGATAAGGAGATGGGGAGCCCCCTCCTCACGGAGTCCAGGTCCAGCGGGGTGACGTGGCGTCTGTGGTTATCACAGTACACCTTCTGGGCACTTCCTGGGAGCCAGGCCCCAGCTTTAGCATTTTACACCTATTACTGAATCTTCTTAACAACTCCAAGATGTTCTTGTGTGCTGTTATCACCCCCATTGCACAGATGAAGAAACTGAAGCACAGAGAAGACAACTTGCCAACAGCCGCTCAGCTAGTAAGGGCAGGGGAGAGATTGGATTCCAGCGGTCTGCCTCCTGAGTCCTTGAACTTGCCCCCCAGGCCTGGTTCTCCTCTCAGCGTTTATGGGGTCAGAGATGGGAGGCTGAGGAGTTGGTGAAGGAGAAAGCAGGTGCTGAGCAGACGCCCCACCCACGTCTATGAAAGAGACCCTCAAAAGGCCCAAAATGATTCCTGCAGGTGGGAGACCCTAGCCTGAGACTCACAGCAAAAGGGTCTGGAGTTTGGGGTCTGATTCTGCCAGGGATGCAGCTTTTACCTCCACGTACTTCCAGGGGACAGGGGAGAGCTGCTTAGGACCACCTTAGGTCCTGAGTGCCGGCTGCCCAGAGGGGCGTGGAGAACACAGCAGAGGGAGGCTGGGGGTGCACACACTGTGCCTGGGGGATTGAGCAAAGCCACAGGATGCTACTGGCCACAGGACATACAGCGGGGTCTCCCTAGGTAAGGACTCTGCAGGAGACAGCTCTACAGGAAACTTCCAGACTGCCCTGTGAAGGACTCCTGACAGCTGTGAGCAGCTGTAATCACCCACCAAGCACACTCAGAGTGGGCACAGCCACCGGCAGGTAGAAGGCGGCCCATCCCCAGGCTCCCTTCCCAGCCAACAAGAGCTGCCTGAAAAGGGCTGCAGCCAGGCCCCTCCCCATGTCACCCTCCAGCAGGGAGCACGCCGGGCGGCGGGCGCATGGGAGGGGAAGCGCCAAGTCTGGGCGGAGTCAGACTGTTGCCGGGACTGGACATCAGCACTGAGTGAGTGACGGAAGGCCGTTGGGCTCTCCAAGGGCGATCAGAAAGACGAAGACCTCATTCCGGGCCAGGGAACGGAATATCCCTGATGGGATTTTATGTGAGGGGTCTGAGAGCCGCAGGGCCACCGGGGTCACAGATCAGGCCTGCTCACCAGCCCTCTGCACTCACCTAGTCCTGGCTCATCATGAGTCCAGGCACCGCCCGGCAGTGATGATCACCTTATTACTGAATTCCACTCTCGCTGAAGAACCCCCACATTTCATCACCACCCCACCTTCCAGCGGGCCTGGTGAGACGTTTCCTCCTGCAGCCTGAACTTGGTGGAGATGGGGCAGCTCCCAGGCCTGTGGTCAGAGGTTGGGTGGGGAGAGTGGGGACAGTGTGGCCAGGGCAAATGGGCCCTGAGCTGTGCTTTGGTCACTTGGCTGGAGGAAAATGTGAAGGGGCTGGTGGGAGTATTTTTGGGGGGTGTCAGAGAGTGTCTGTATGGGGTGGGTGCCAGCTGCCACCTGCCCACCCACGTAACCTGGACACCCAGGAACCCAGGATCTGCCTGTCAGGGCTCTGCCGCCCTGGCCTCTGGCAGGAGCCTGGGTCCCACCCCCACACACACCTTGGAAACAATCCCTGTTCCACCTCATTGTGGCTGTGACCCTGGGCAAGCCACCTCCCCTCTCTGGACCTCTCCCTCCTCCCTACCGTGTAGAGGACACAAGCAGATGAGGGAGGAGGCTGGGACGAGCCATGGCAGGCGCTGTGCAGGGAACTCGCCCTTATTGCCACATTGAATCCTCTGCACACGCGCTGGGCCTCGCCAGGCAAGTCCTGGACTTAATATCACCTCCCCTGAGCTTGGTTTATAAAAAGAAAAGCACACCGTAATAGCAGAGCCGGCAGATGATGAGTTACATAAACATTTAAACTGGGCACAGTATTGATTTGTGTTAAAGGCCATGGAAAAAGGATTCCATGATCCCGGCCTCCACCCCAAGAGCACCAGGTGAAATGGGAAGCTGAAACCTCCAAGTGTGGTCCCAAGACGTGCCTGTGACTGGTGGTCAGCCTGCCAGAGCCGAGGACACCAGGAACATGTGGCCGACACAGTGACCCTTGGGGGAGCGGCAGCAGGGGAAGCCCTGGGTGGGGCTGGAGGCCTGGAGGTGCCATGGCTATGCCCTTTGCATGCAGTGATCCCCCAGAACTGCCACTGTGTGGAAAGGGGGAAAGACCTGCGTTTGAATCCCACCCTGACCAGCTGTGTGACCTTGGGCAAAGCCCTTCACACCTCTCTGAGTCGATCTGTCCATCTCCGAGACAGATACGGGAACACACACCCTCCGAGGCGCCAGGTTTACTGGCTCATCACCTAGCTTGTGACCGACACACAGGAAATACACTTAGTCATTCAATTAGTCATTCAAAAGAATATTAATGAATGGCGAGTTCTTGTTTAACAGGTACAGAGTCTCTGTCTGGGATGATGAGAAAGTCCCAGAAATGGATGGTGGTGACAGGTGCACAGCAACGTGAATATACTTAATGACATTGATTGTACATTTAAAAATGGTTCAGATGGTAAATTCTATGTCATGTATATTCTACCACAATAGAAAATTTAATTAAAAAGCATTAACTGAGCACCTACCCTCTCCTCAGCACTGTTGCATACACTGGAAATTCAGCAGTGCACACTCCCCAGAGAAAGCCCACTCTCGAATGGGAGAGACAGCCAATAAGCAAATTTTCATGTCAATAAATAGCTCTTGGAGGGAGATATAAGGGCTAAGATGAAAACTATAGTATGGTAAATGGCATGGGAGGGGTGGGAGGGGCTGTTTTAGCTGGGGAGGCCAGGGAAGACTTCCTGGGGGAGACGCATTTGAGCAGAGACCTGAAGGATGTGAGAGAGGGAGCCTCACAGATATCAGGTGACCAGCACGAGCAAAGGCCCTGAGGTAGGGTGAGTTTGATCTGTTGCAGGCCAGCAAGGAGGCCAGTGTGCGTGTGAGAGGGATGGGGCAGGACATGAGCTCAGAGCTCAGAGAGGTGGGCTGGGCCGGGGTCCTGCACCCAGCAGGCCGGGAGAGGCCTGAGCATTTTATTCTGCATGAGCTGGGAAGCCACGGTCTGACTTAGGTTCAATGACCACCCCATCCTTCTGTCTTTCTAGCATGGACGAGCACTTTCAGGGGTGGGCGTGGACCCTTCTGTGCCCAGCCCATGCCTCACACATGGGTGACTCTCGGGTTTGTTAAGTAAGTGCCAGAGGAAGCAGACCCTCACTGGGCAGGCAGCGAATGAAAGGAAGCTCTCCATCCCACCCCTCATCTGCCTTATATGGCTTCTCTCTCAGGCCTCGCTCCAGGTCTATGAGGAAAGGCGTTGCATCATGATGATTTTGTTGTTTCTATTTTAGCATTTCTAAAGTTGAGGTACAATATACATAACATGAAATTCACCACTTTTAAATGTACACTTGATTGGATTTTAACAGATTCACAGAATTCTAGAACCATCACCACAGTCTAATGCCAGAACATTCCCACCGCCCCAAAAAGAAACTCAGAACATTCCCACCACCCCAAAAAGAAACCCCACATCCGTCGGCAGCCATTCCCTATCCCCTCCTCTCCCCAGCCCCCGGAAATCACTGATCTACTTCCTGTTTCTATGGATTTTGCCTACTCTGGATATTTTGCATAAATAGAATCATACAGCAGCACGTGGCCTTTGGGGTCTGCCTGGCTTCTTCCACTTCGCAGAATGTTTTCAAGGTTCATCCATGTTGTGACACAGATCAGTACATCATTCCTTTTCCAGGCTGAAATAATAATTCCATTTTAATCACGATGTCTTTTAAGGCTGGTCCCTTTCTCTTCCAGCAGAAACCCAGTCCCCAGAAGAGAGTGAGAAGGGACTCATGAGCCTACGAATGCCCCCATGGCCCCGGCCTCCAACCCGTGTCTGCACCCAGCTCTGCTACTGCAGGAGCCAGACCCAGCGTGGAAGGCCACTGCCCCTCCCATGGGCAGTGCACAAGGGACAGGGATCGGGGAGGCCAGGGGCTGTGGCTGCCAGTTTCTCCCTGGCCAAGCCAGGTGGGGCCCGCCCGATGGAGTGTCTGCCAGCCTGGCTGGCACAGAGGCAGATGGGCCTGGGGGAGGTGGACGGGGTAGTTGTGGATTTGTCTGTGGTCAGCAGGATCCGGTCAAGCTGCTGGGTTTGACTCTAGCCAGGCTGGACTGTGCTCAGAGCCAGGATGACACCCAGCCTGGCTTCAGCACGACCAACCCTCCATCGGATCCCCATGGACCTTCAAAGGCAACCAGGCAGCCTGAGGCCAGCAGCTGGCCTTGGGACAGGGTCAAGGTGAGGGAGACCGAGAGAAGATCACATGCTCCCTGCCTTCCTTCTTGCAACACAGGCTCCGGAAAGCCCCACCCCCAGTCACCTGGGCTTCTCTCCTAAAGACGAAGCTTGCCAAGGCTCTGCCCAGACGGACAGGACCAGAATTGCTGGGGCCTAGAATCTGCATTCTGACAGGTTTTCCTGTGGTGTGCCAAGGTTTGAGAACCACTGGTAAAGGGGAGACTGGTAAAGCACCTCAGTGGGGCTGCCTGATTCTCAGTAAGTTATAAACAGTCTCTGAGCCTCAGTTTCCTAATCTCTAAAATGGGTTTCATATTCAAGGTTGATGGTGAAGATTCAACGAGGCAACAAAGACAGAAGTGTCTGGCACCAAGAAACTGCTAGAAATTGTTGCTATAATTATTGCTACTATGTACCCAAAGCAAATCACAGAACTATGTGGACATTGAAGCAAAGATTAATCAATGACAGAGAGAGGAAAAGGGTTTGAGATGTGGTAAATTGCAGCTGGGGGACCTGGTTCGACTGTCTCCTGTCCTGCTTATGTGAGTCAGAGAGACTCTAAGTCTCAGTTTTCCCATTTGCAAAATGGCAATAAGAGTCACCCCTGCCGCAGGGCTCTGCAAACTGTGATGTGCTGTTCCCATCCCAGGATGGGGGGCATGGAGGCCTGACACTGATGCGGACCTATCACTTGAGTCTCAGCCGGGCCAGATGGCCTGGCTGGCTTCTGTGCTCCCAGCACCTGGGGTCCCACAGGCCCTGTCCTCTCTGCTGGGGCTACAGCCAGCCTTTTAGACCCCAGCCGGCAGGCGGGCGATGGGGGCCAAACTGGCCTGGTGACAAGAACACCTCTCAGGTCCCATCACATCAGCGTGTCCATCAGCCCCCTTCCCAGGCCTATCTGCTCCAGGGCAGGGGTCAGGCTCTAAGCTGCTTTGTCTCTGGCCATAATTCCCTGAGCTGGGTGCTGGGGTCACAGTTGGCAGAGCCAGCAGCCCCCCTCCGCCCACCTCCCTGCCTCCGCCCTGGCCTGGCCATGGTCACCTCTCACCCGCGAGCCTGCAGCCGCCTCCTCTCTGGATTTCCTGTCTTCATCTTGACCCCATCCACCCAGCAGCCAGAAGGACTTTTCTAAAATGAAAACCTCATCCGATGGCCCTCCCTAAAACCTTCCATGGCTCCCCACTGCCCTTTGAATAAAGGTCCCATCTGCCTGGCTCACCCTCTCGCTCTCCACTCCTAACACTGCCCCTTCCCCGTGGCCAGCCTGGACATTCTTCATTTCCCCAAAGGAGGCCATTTATTTATCTGACAAGTATTAACTGAGGACCTACTAAGTGCCAGAGCTTATGCCAGGCAACGGGAATTCAGAAACGGACCCCGCGGGCATGTCCAGGCCCTCCCAGACCAGTCTGACCAATGAGGGTTGGGTATGCAGCAAGGACCACCCGGTGTCCAGGGTAAGGCTGGTTTCCACCTCCCTTTCCTCCCTCCTTGTGGAGAGGCTCCGTGTCTCGGTCTCTGGAGGACAGTCTGCTAGAGGGTGACAGTCCACCCCTGTGAAGGTGTGGGGTAGGGTGTGGGCAGAGGCGGGACCCCCCACAGCGGGGGCTGATCAGCAGGTCCAGCCTCTGTTGGTGTGAGAGCTGCTGTGGTATGCCAAGGGCGCAGACCCGCCAGTCATACAGAGTGGTCAGCTCTGGCTGTGCGCTGGCCCCGTGACTGCTGGCAGCTCAGCCTCCAGAGGCTCGCTTTCCTCCCCTGTGAAATGGGCAGACCCTCCTGATTGAGCTGTGGCTGATCTCCTGAGGACCCTCTTTACTGGCAAGGAGCATCCTGGTAGCCCCCCAGCTGCAGGCCTTGTTCCCCAGCTGGTGTGAGTCCCAGCCTCCCCCAGGCCCCCTCTCTGCAGGGCATTAAGGCTTATGGGCCCCCTGCAGGCACAGATGTTCTGCTTGAGCCACCAGGCAGCAAACAAGGAGTGGCTTTGGAGATGTTCCTGTCCTGGTTACACGCCGGCCACCCCAGTGGGACCTGGGTCACCGGGGAACTCACACAGGAGCATTACACACAGTGTGTGCGAACCCTCGCGGCAGCCCTGGCAGGTGCGTGGCATGCTGCCAGCTTCCACATGGGGAAACCACAACTCCCGAGGGTTGAACTTGTACTCCACCCAGGAGCAGGCTGCTTCTCTGTGCCTGGTGGACTCCAGGGCCTGTGCTCTTGATGCCATGAAGTGCAGATCAGGCCAGCCCCTGGTCCTTCCACTGTGGGACAGCCATGCACCTGAGCCATGAGAGTGACGGAGCTGCAGTCAGGCCATGCCTTGTACCTTGTGGCCTGTACCCCAAAGCCCACCACACCCCTCTCAGCTGGGATCAGTGCACCCATTATAAAGATGAGCAAACAGAGGCACATTCAGCAGGGCTGACGGAGATAGGCAGGTCTGGAGCCCTCCCTAACCCAGCTGCTGCCCATGGGTTATCGGGCTCCTTTCCTCCAGTTTTTCCTGGAGACACCAACTCCCAGCCTGGGCACATTGTCCAGCTGCTGCCATGAGGAGGACAATGGCAATGGCCAGGGTGGTGAGCACCCCTCACACTTGCGTATCACACTCAAAACTATTCACAAGCATTTCATACCCATGATCTCATTTAAGGGTGTTGATGATGCCTTAAGGTGTGGGCATTATTCTCCCCGCTTCCAGATAAGGAACCTGAGGCTCCAGGAGGCAGAGCCAGGGGTTTGCCAGTGCAGTTAACAATCAGGTCTTCGGGTTGGGGCTGGGAGGGGGTAGAGAGAAGGCCCTGATTTGCGGCATTTGCCAAGTCCGTGGCATGAATACTCAAGCCAGGGCTGATTTCCATGCTACCCACAGTTTAACAACTGGCTCAAAACATTCCTAAAAATGTAACTATTGACTCCCGCGCACTGATGCGAGCCTACTCAAGCCAGGGCTGATTTCCATGCTACCCACAGTTTAACAACTGGCTCAAAAAATTCCTAAAAATGTAACTATTGACTCCCGCGCACTGATGCGAGCCAGCTCTGGCTCACTCTGGGCCAAGTGAGCCACCTAAGTGCACCCTGGCAGGAATCCTTCAATCCCAGTGTTCAACCTCAGAGCTTGGACTCCTCATACAGCCACAAGGGCACCCCTGTAAGAGAAGCGTGGCCCTTCCAAAGCCCACGTCCCAGTCGGCAGGACCCTCATCCTGCACAAAGCCCCTACCCATGCCATCCCGCACAGCAGAGACCAGGACAGGGAGCTGGCTCCGATGACAGCCAGGCCCCCAGGCACCCCTGCTGCTTCTCACCACCAACCAAAAATCACCCCAGGCCAGGGGGAGGCCTCAGCCTCGGGGCCTGGCTTGATAAACAGAATATTGTTGCCTGGGAAGAAACATCCGGAGGGATGCTCCCTGCGCTGCGGGGGTCTCCCGGCCAAGGTGCAGGGTGAGGGAACAGAGGCGGCCCTGGGGGTCCCTCACTGACCTCTTTGGGACAGGATAAACAGAAGTTGGAAAAGAGGCCTCATGCAAGAGCCTCTTGCATGAGGTTCCAAGAACCTCACAAGTTCTTGGCTAGGGGTGTGTACCAGGAATGGTTGGAACCCACAGAGAGGGCAGTGCAGCCTGCCTAGAGGCTAAGGGCAAGTGCAGCTGCCAGACCTACCAGGGGCAAGGCTCACTTCCTCCTCAGTTACCTGGGAAAGTTACTCATCCTCTCCGAACCTCAGTTTCCTTATCCATAAAATGGGCTTAATATTCACACCTGCTTCAGAGGGTCCTAAGGATTAAATAAGCGAAAATATGTTCCTGTTAGAACAAGACCTAGAATAGCCAAAATGACTTTGCAATAAATAAATAAATAAAGGAACACAGTTGGAGGATTTACCCCAGCTGATATAAAGATACAGTGATACAGACAGTGTGGTCCTGGTAAAAGGACAGACATGTGGATCAATACAACTAAACAGAGAATCCAGAACTAGACCCACAAGTCTGTGGTGAACTCAGATTGTCATCAAAGGCACTCAGGTGATTCCACGAGGAAAGCACAGTCTTTCCAATAAATGACTGGGGGCAAAATGAATATCAACTCTTACACCATCTGACAAACTGACATTGAAATGCATCATCTACCTAAACATAAAAGCTAAAACCATGAGCCTTCTAGGAGACATTATAGAAGAAACTCCTTGCAACTTCGATTTCTCAAGACACAAAAAGCATGAAAAACAACAAAAAATGGACAAACTGAACTTTATCAAAGCTTAAACCTTTGCTATGTGAAAGAAACTGTTATGAAAAGAAAATGGCAAGGCATGGAATGAGAGAAAATATTCGTAGTACATGTATCTAGTAAACCTCTTGTAGCCCGGATGTATAAAGACCTCTTACAGCTCAATAATATAAACACAAGCAACCTGATTTAAAATAGGCAAAAGATTTGGGCAGACACTTCCCAAACCAAAATACAAGAATGGTCAGGAAGCACATGGCAAGGGGCTTAACATCATCAGTCATCACAAGACGCAGATGCAAATCACAACGAGATACCAGTGTACACCCATCAGAGTGGCGAACATTAAAAAGACTAATAATATGGAGTTGGTGAAGAGGTGGAGCAAACAGCCCCTCACACACTGCTGGGGGAATGAAAAACGATAGAGCCCCGTGGGAAACAGCAAGGCAGTTTCTTAAAGCGTGAAAATAAGCACGGGTCTACCATGCGAACCAACCATCCTTGTAACCAAGAGTCACGAAAGCTCACAAACTCACAAAGGTGCATACGTACGTGTTCATAGCAGCTTTCTGCACAGTAGCTCAGAATTAGAAAAAACTCAAATATTCATCAGCAGGGGAAGGAATAAATAAATCATGGCATATTCACAGAACAGAATTCTCCTCAAAGAAAAAGGAACAAATCATTGACACACACAGCAACCAGGGGGAAGTTCAAAATACCCACACTGAGTGAAAGAAGCCAGACCAAAAAATGCATGCATCTATGACTCTATTCATATGAAATTCTTGAAAGTGCAGACTATCCTACAGTGACCAAAGGCAAATCACTGGCTACCCAGGGTGCAGGGCAGAGATAGGAATGGACCACACAGAGAACAGGAAACGTTTTGTGGGTGAAGGCCATGCTCCAAATCTTAATTATGGGGGTGATTTCACAAACATATACATAGCTTGCCAATTCTAAGAATATGGAAGTCTACACTTTAAGGGGATGGCATTTATTGTACTTAGTAAAGCTTTGAAAAGTCTTCGTTTGCAGTAAAAGGGAAAGAAAGAAAAGAGGGGAGAGGAAGTGCCAGCAGCCACCTGCACTCATCTGAAACCCAGCAAGCTGCTAATTTAATCCCCTCAACGTAATCGAGTCCACCACCCAAGCAATCGCATTAAAGGAAACAGTCATTTGGTGCATTTTTCATCAACTAAGATCATTGATCAATCCACAAGTTCACCCATCCAGATTTGTCCAAGGTGGTCTGATCCACCCTAGCTTTGGCATGAGAAATGAGTCGTGCCAGGCACAGGGTAGAATTCATTAATTGCATGCTGAATAAATTAACATTCACCTCACTCTCCCAGGTGTACACAGCTTCCAGGGGCCAGCAGGAAGCCATAGCCAGCGTGGGCAGCCTGAGCTGACCCTAGGAGAGGCCCAAGGCTGCCCACCTCCATGGAAGAAGCCTTTTATAGGACATTCTCGGATGCTGAGAAAGGCAGAGTGAGGACCGTTTAGATGTGGCATTAGGGGTTCAGGTGAGCTAATGGGTAATTCAGCAGCCTGAAAATCAGTGGGCAGCCGACAGACAGTCAAATGCAGAACGTCCAGTCCAGCTGGACAAGGGAAGTCTGTGGCTGATTGAAACCACTGGGGGCAGTTGAGCCAAAGATGGGGGTCTTTGATGGGAGGCTGAAGTCAAGCCAGCCATGGCTGTGTTTCCTGCTCTGTCTCCATGTTGGGTTCAGTTAGAGCTTTAATGATCCTGAGTCAATGCATGTGAATGCATTGAAGTCTCTTGGGGTTGAAATGTTTTCTCTTTTGTCTTCATCTTGAGTTTCACCCATCACCTAAATCAGCAGTTCTAAGACTGTGGTCTAAGTACCTCCAGGGGACCCCAAGACGTTTTCAGGGGATTGTGGGGTTCTCCCTTTTCCAACTACATATCTGTTTGAGGATAGATGTTCGACAATACCTCAACCAAACAATGTATCACAACAGACTGAATGCAGGAGCTGATGTGAGAATCCAACCATCATCTATTAAGCTAGAGATTAAAGAGATTGATACACACGCCACTCTTCTCACTTTTTAAAACAAAACACAGTTATTTTCCAAAAAAAATATTATTTACGTTAACATGTAATGGGTTTACACTTTTTATTTTTCAATGAATTCATATAAATCTTTTTAACTGTCTGAGTTTTAATTTCAAAGTTGGCAAATATTGAAGGATATAGCCCACATACACAAAACCTCTTTGGGAGCCACAATAATTTTTAAGAGTGTAAAAAGGGGTCCTAAGACCAAAAAGTTTGGCAACCATTGCCCTAAAAGTACATTGGGTGATTTGGGTGTTTGATCTACTAAGGCATCTATTGATCTAAGCAACTAAGGTATCTATTGACCTAAGTAACTAAGGCGTCTATTGATGTAAGCAACATTCCTTAGTGTTTGGAGCTCCTGGCCCATCCAAGCCTCTCCCATGTTCTAAGGCTTATGCCATTCATCACAAGATGCCTAGAGCTCAAAGGAGAAGTTAAGGTTGGCCAATGGGACCCCTGAATGCAAACATCTCAGAAATGAACTGAAGCCGTTGCTAGCTTGCTGGCTGGCTCCTCAAACCTCTCTGTAATGCCTCGCTTCCGCTCATGCAGTCAAAGGGATGCGGAAGGGAAACTGAGCTGGGAGTTGAGGAACATTTCAAGGGGTAGAAGGGCCTCCATTCATATAGACAGTGTGTCCAAAGTAGAGACGTTCCCACACACGTTGGTCAAGTGGCACGTGGCAGGACATGGAAACTGACATTTAACCTAAGGCCAAATAAAATATTTATGAGGACATTATAGAAAGAACTTCTGGACTATAAAATATGAACATGAAAACAAGTCTCAAATTGTATTCAACATTTTAATCATTAATCTTCTTGGAAATGTTAGTACTCCCGTTATTCAGCTTGCCTGCCCCTCTGAGAAAAACCAACCCAGGTGAAGACTTTCCCCTCCATCTCCTGGATATGGTTAATGGTAAGGAAGCAGTTTCGCCAAAGCAACCCACAAATAGAAGCTCTGGCCAATACCTAATGAAGCTGTTTCCGAGTATTGTCAGGAACCGTCTTTGGACTGCCTCCTTCACTTCTACATTTATTTTCAATATGACTGTACATGCTTGCACAATAAGTTGTTATGCACATGGGCTACGATGGCAACATCCGAGATGCTAAAGTCACTCATCCCAGAGAGTTTCCAGATGAACAAGATGCAGCTATTCAGCCTTCCAGAGACCAAGGGCAAGGGCAAGACCAAGGCCTGAAAGAGCAGCTGGGGGCCAAACACAGCACCAAGACCTAACCTCTGGAGCATCCCGGTCTGAGATAGCCCTTTGAGCTCCACCCTCCTCTGTGTGATCTCATGAGCCTGAGAGCCCTCTGTCATCACAATTTTATCCAAGTGTCTCCAGGGACCACACCAATGAGTGGTGGCCACAGCTCAGCTCAGGAGCACCCTGACAATGAACTCACAGAGGAAAGTCACAAGTGACACTGGAGAACAGCGCTATTTATCTTCCTGTCGCTCAAAGGGCAGAATCTGGTGGGAGAGGGGGGGTATCTGCCATGGAAGCTACCTGCCGATGCCAGACACTGTACTGGATGCCTTCATACCTCACACAACAGAGTGGAGTCAATGGCACTAATATCAGAGCCAAGAACCCAGGCGCAAATCCTGGCTCTGTCACTCACGCACTGTGTGACTTTGGGCCAGTTGCTCAACCTCTCTGTGCTTTGGCATCCTCATCTGCGCATTGAGGTTAATGATGTGGTAAGGATCAACTACCTTCTGGGGCTTCAGTGAGGATAAGAAGAATACTGTTTGGGAAGAGCATGCGCTGTTGCTGTTCATCGCCTTGAATCCACCTGGACGACTGTGATCTTCAAGTTTCGAAGGCAAAGGTGCCCTGCTCAGGGTCACAGAGCAGGTAAGTGGTGCCCACAGGTACACAGGAAGGCTGCGCACCCACACCCATCTGACTTCCAGCCCTCGGCACTTTCCACTTTGCCTGCGGCTCTTCATACAAGCGGCCCCATTTCCCCAAATCGAACAGTAGCTTTGCTAGGCTGAAGGGAAAGTATAATGAGCTGCCAAGGGTGTGCTTGGCCCTGCCACTTCCCGGTTATGTCTCCTCAGTGTTCTCACCTGCAAAATGGGCATGGTGCTACCTGCCCACCCTCCCTCTTTTCTCTCTTCTCCTTTTTCCTTCTCCTTCCTTCTTTCCTTCTTGCCTTCCTTCCTTCCTCCCACCCTCACGCCCTCCATTTCCGTAGACATGTCCTATGGGACCGCGCTAGGCCAGGAGTAGGTGGGACATGGAGCGGCTTCTGCCCCCTAGGGGCTCCCAGTCTCATGGGGCAGTCATGGATGTAAACAAGCACCACATGGCATGGCCAGGGCTGCGATGGAGGGAGACATGGGGATTCTGAGGGCCCAGCCTGGGGATCAGGGATGACTTCCTGGAGGAGGAGGCACTGCATAACCTGAAGGGTCAGAAAGAGCAGAGACACTGCTAGTGGGAGGCATTCAGGTGAGAGGGGCATGCATGCGCCCAGCTGGAGCACCTGTCCCATGGAGAGTGGTGGCAGAGAGGAGGGAGGCAGGACCTCAACGGCAGACAGAGGCCTCAACTGCCCGCCCTCTGCAAAGCCATGAAGGCCTGCCAAGAAAGACCAATGCAGCAGAGGGAGTGCTAGGCTCTGCACGTCTCCCGGCTCACTCACACCTTCAAAGATCAGCTAGTAAGACCAGGCGGCAGGAGGGCAGTAATTTCCACTGAGGCCAGAAGGGGCCACTTTGGGCTAATTAGAACCACTGAGCAGTCTGAAGACTTCAATTATGCACATGGCAGGACAGTGGGTGCCTCCCCACGTGGGTGGGAGATTACTGCCGCTGGCCGGGCTGTCGCTCTCATGCAAAATATTAAGAAAAGGCAGGGCCCACAGCAATTCTCATCTGGCTGAAATGGGAGGATTGATCATCTCAGAGGTCGGAGCCTCAGAGACAGAAATGCTGGGAGCGGAGCGGAGCCCCTTAGAAACTGGTTTGGCAACAAGAATTACTCCCTGGCCTCTTCCTCCTCGCTTCCTGCCCCCTAGGTGTTTTTATTTGATTAGAAAAAAAGAAAAAGAAACCGAAATCGCACTTCAATCCCAGCTCTGTTTACAGCGGGGTGAGGCTGTGCGCCAGGGGTTGCAGGAGGTCCCCACCCCCACGGAGGCTTCCCAAAGC
The DNA here is from genome assembly GCF_000001405.40 of Homo sapiens. NCBI lineage: Eukaryota > Metazoa > Chordata > Mammalia > Primates > Hominidae > Homo > Homo sapiens. The sequence continues at coordinate 6,403,514 of NC_000004.12, forward strand.
CTTCCCTGGCCTCCCCTGGGAGCACGCTGGCAGAGGCTGTCTTTAAAGAGCTTGGAACCTTTCCACTGACATGAGTATTTAGTTGTGGAGGATTAAAAATACAACCTGGGAGGACGAGGCAGGGGGATCATTTGAGGTCAGGAGTTCAAGACCAGCCTGGCCAACATGGTGAAACCCCGCCTCTACTAAAAATACAAAAGTTAGCTGGGCGTGGTGGTGGGTGCCTGTAATCCCAGCTACTCAGGAGGCTGAGGCAGGAGAATCGCTTGAACCTGGGAGGCGGAGGTTGCAGTGTGCAGAGATTGCGCCGCTGCACTCCAGCCTGGGTGACAGAGTGAAACTCCGCCTCAGAAAAAAAAAAAAAAAAGTACAACAAATCCCCTCCTGCCTGACAGGGATACACTGTGCCATTTCACCCGTCACTGTCATGGGAGAAAAGAGCACTGGGATGGGAGTCAGGGGACTGCCCTCTCTCTCCAACCTGCCACCACCTAGCTGTGTGACCTTGTCTGTGACATGACCTGCCTGTGGAGTCCCTGACTGTACCCATCTCATGCTGAGGTGCTCAGCATTTGTTCCCACCAGGAGAGTTGATGTCCCAGGAAGGGGACTCCTGGGGACTGCCTACCTTAACCATGAGGCTGGGGTGCTGGGCACTGCAACAGGCTTCTGGGGAGCTCCTTGGGACAGGAAAGGTCCTTAGAGGTCCCCCCCTCCCATACACAAGTTCCCCAAAGCCCGGCTGAAGGTGCCTTGATGTCCCTGAAGTGCAAGGTCCTTGTACACAGCAAGGGGCAGGCACACAGAGGCGCCCTGTTGAACTTGTTCTTCCATGGCCAAGAAGGCAGCTACTTGCAGATACTCCTACCCTATCTCGCCAGAGGCATGGAAACCCTTGGGGACGGGTGCCAGCTGCTCCTGACCTCGCTTGTATGCACAGCACTTTGCAGATACAAAGTGTGTTCACTTCCTACACTTGGTTGAACATTTGCAACATCAGTTATGAAGCACCCAGGTAGCACGCTTCTCACTCTAAAGGTTTGGAGGGACGGCCCTAAGTTGCCTACTGAGAAAGCAATCACCCGAGGGGCCTGTAGGAAATTATGGGCCCTGGAAATTCTGAGTTGCAGAGGGATGCTGGTGTGGGCCCAGGAAGCTGTAGTTAACAGATTCCAAGGGGGGTTCTAAGGAGGCAGGTGCCCATGAGGAAGCAGGGGTCTGCACCAAGCACAAAAGCAGGGAGGCACGGAAAAGCGAGGTGGATTCAGGGCACCCGCAAATGGCAGTGGAGATTCTGAGACACAACGGGCAGAGCAGGCGAGGGGGCTGCATGCGTGCTAAGAGGCAGGCAAGGGAGGGCCAACTGCGGTCAGGTCCGCCCTGCCCCGTGTCCTTCCACTGTGCCATCTTGAGCAAGGCACCGCACCTCTGCCTACCTCAACTGCCTCATCAGCAAAATAAGAACCATGGACGTGACCTCCTTCCTAGAGTTACTGGGCAAATTAAATGAGTGAATAGACATAAGATGCTCAGAAGTGTGTCGGGCACAAAATAAGTGGGACATGAGACTGAGGGCTGCTATTAACGCCCTGTGCCCGACAGTGTGTGGGAGTTTATATCCATCGTCCCCTTTAATTCTCACAGCCCCCCTGGAAGGTAGCTGCTATTATATTAGTCTCCCCGTTTTACAGATGAGGAAGCCAAGCGAGCGGGTTCCCCAGGTCGCAGAACTCCCGCACAGCAGAGCTGGCTCAGGGCGGCTCCATAGCCACTCTGCTCTTCCCACAGCAGCCTGGCTGCTCCCACCTCTGCCTGTTGAGAACAGGAAGCTCAGTGCCCTAAACCGGCTCTCAGCAGGCATTCAACTGTGGCTTGATAAACAAATAACTGGATAATAAGTGCTGAACAAATGAATGGGGGGAAGAAGGGATGAACAGACCACAGGGAGGATAAAACCCTCTCTTCCAGCTCAAAGGCAGAAGGAGGATTCCGAATTTAATTATGAGGAAGGGACCCCAAGGGCAACCCCGTGCAGAGCAGTCACACAGCACTTTCATTACTCTTTATGGCTTCCTGGGCCCATTAGCAAATCCCCCAGGTTCCTGGGGAGTGATTAGATGGAGGGAGGGGCTGGGCCTGCTCCCAGGCCACAGGGGAGGGTCAGGGTCTGGGAAGCAGCCCCTCTTGAATCCAGATGCTGACATGACAACATCACGAAAACCTCATTTGCAAACCCAAATTAGTGCCATCTTGATGATCATATAAAAGAAGGATGGGCCTATAAAGCCAGCCACGGACAAGCGTGGCCATGGGGAACGGCTTCGCGGAGGGGCAGGGGGAGTCCAGAAAGAAAGGTTTTGTCATCAAAACCCATCTTGGTGACTTATGGATTTGGCATTTGGCTCGATACTTTGTTTTGTTTCCTGGCAGCAGGGGGGTCTCTTTTTCCCTTCACTTACCTATTATCAGTCTCATTAATAACAGAGGTATAGGATCAGGACATAAATATATACCAATGAGAATTACAATTACCACAATTAAACTGAGCATTTATTAAGTGCTCATGTTGAGCCTCACCCTATTCGGAGCACGTTACAAGAACTAACGTATTTATTTTTGAACAATTTGAGACATTCTTGCCTTTCTGCTGTCTTTGGGTTTGCCTTCCTGAATGTGTCTGATGTGCTTCTTCTTCAAATTGACTCCCCTCCAAAGGGATCTAAACCTCAGCCAAAGGGATCTAAACCCAGCCAGTGTGGACCAGCACCTTCCATGGGGAAGTTGGTCTTTCTTAACCCACTATCATTTTAAGAATTTCAAAGCTTAGAAAAATAAAGTGCTGATTTGTCTTCTTTGCTGCTTCTTCCTGTCAAAACACTGACACCTCACTGCAATGGGTTGAATGGTGCCCCACAAAAGATATGTACACACTCTTGGCAGGGTGCAGGGCTCACGCCTGTAATCCCAGCACTTTGGGAGCCCAATGCGGGTAGATCGCTTGAGCCCAGGAGTTCGAGACCAGCCTGGGCAACATTTTATCTAACATCTGTTGGATGAAAACCCTGTCTCTACTAAAGAAAAAGCCAAAAAAAAAATAGCTGGGTATGGTGGCACGCACCTGTAATCTCAGCTACTCGGGAGGCTGAGGCAGGAGAATCCATTGAACCTGGGAGGCGGAGGCTGCAGTGAGCCGAGATCGCACCACTGCACTCCAGCCAGGGAAACAGGGAAAAACTCTGTCTCAAAAATAAATAAATACATTAAATAAAATAAAATAAAAAACAAAAGGTATGTCCACACTCTAATCCCTGGAACTTGTGAATGTGACCTTATTTGGAAAAAGGGTCTTTGAAGACATAATTAAGGATTCTGAGATGAGAAGATCATTCTGAATTATCTGAGTAAGCCCTAAATGCAGTGGCAAGTGGCTTTATAAGAGACACACAGAGGAGAAGACATGGGGGAAAGAGGAGGAGGTGATGTAAAAACCGAAGCAGAACTTAGAGTAATGTGGCCATAAAGCCAAGAGATGCTGGCAGCCTCTAGAGAAGGAAGGATCCACCCCTGCAGGCTACAGAGGGAACGTAGGCCTACGGACACCATGATTTTGGACTTCTGGACTGTAGAACAGGAAGAGTGTAAGTTTCTGCTGTTTAAACAACCAAACGTGTGATAATATGTTATGGCAGCCACTACAAGAAACAAGCTCCTTAATCAGAGATGAATGTTGATGGTGTGCCACATGGCCTTACAAGTGTGAGGCAAGTGGGGGAAGTCAACAATGACCCAGCAGAAACAGGACACAAGTCAGGATGAATGGACTAATCCTCCAAAACTCCAGCAGATTTTATGAGCATTTATTGCTAGAAACCCAACTGGTTTTTTTGTTTGTTTGTTTTTCAGATGGAGTCTCACTCTGCTGCCCAGGCTGGAGTGCGGTGGCACGATCTCAGCTCACTGCAACCTCGCCTGCTGGGTTCAAGCGATTCTCCAGCTTCAGCCTCCCAAGTAGCTGGGACAACAGGCACCCGCCACCACACCCGGCTAATTATTTTTTTTGTATTTTTAGTAGAGACGGGGTTTCACCATGTTGGCCAGGCTGGTCTCAAACTCCTGACCTCAAGTGATCCGCATACCTCGGCCTCCCAAAGGCTGGGATTACAGGTGTAAGCCACTGAGCCCGGCCAAGAAACCCAACATTTAGAAGTCAAATACCCTTAGACAAATGGACTGGGAAGTTCTTAAACTATTCAAAAGTGAGGAAAATGGATTCAAAAATACATACTTCCCCAAGGATACAAAGTAAAGCCATCATTTAGTGCTGCGCTATCCAGTACAGGGACCACCAGCCATGGGTGGCTAATGAACCCTTGAAATGTGGCTAGTCTGAGCTGGGATGTATGGTAAGCATAAAACACACACCGAATTTTAAAGATTTAATATGAAAAACAGAATGTAAAATGTCTCAATTACTTTAGATTGATTACAGTTTATACTATTTTGGATATACAAATTATTACAATTAATTTCACCTGTTTCTTTTTACGTGCATAACCTGGCTATCAGAAGTTTTAAAACTACACGTACAGCTTCCGTTACATTTCTATCGCTCAGCACTAACTTAGAGGATGCTGGAAATTATTGGGAATTTAAAAATTAAGTTGTATGTGCTCTTGGGTTTGTTAACAAGAAATTAAAGTGCCAACAAAATGGCAGAAGAGACCTAGACCCCCAAAAGGATGCAAAAACCCCCACCAGGGGCCAAATGTTAGATGAGCTGATACTAACAGTAGAACTGGTTTCTCCTCCTCCCCTTCCCTGGCGCCTAACTACCCCCGGTACAGGTTCTTCACTGCATGATCACATCCCCATGCTGCCCTCCACTGATTGGATCAAGAGGTAGCCACACCCTCCTAGAGGCAGCCAATCACCAGGCCTCCCAGAGAACTGAGCCAATCATCTTTCTCTCCCAGGATGGGTGGGAACCTGGGCCATCGTGAGCAGTAAGGTTTCAATGGGGAGGTAGGATGGTGTAAACTGAGGCCACCCTGGAGCACAGATAATCCAGAGCAGGCGAGTGATTTCAGACCTCAGATGCAGGGCAATTACAGTGGGCTTGATTAGTATTTGGATTCCTTGGCCCTGGCTGCCTGCAAGCCTGGGCGGGGCCTGGGAATCTGAATTTTAAACAAGTCCCTGAGCACTTGGGCCACAGGTGATCTGCGGGGCACCCTGAGAAACTCCAAGGGCGGAGGATGCAGAGGCAGTGGGTAGAGAGAATGGAGCCTGGGGAGTGGACAGGGGGCTGCAGCTGGTCAGGGGTGTCACTGTCTCAGAGGGCCTCTCAAGGATCCTGTGGCTTTTTTTTTTTTTTTTTTAGGATTACAGATATTCACATTTTATTTTAAATAAAATACTTGTTGATTTTTTTAAACATTAAAAGATGCCAAGTGTTGCATTTTATTCACCACCCTGGACAATCAAAACTGTGGAGATGTAGGCAAACAGCTAGAGTGAAAGCACATATAAAAGGACCATGCTGGAATTAAAATTTTAAAAATCCAGGAGAAAACAGCAGTGTGTGTTCCCTGTGGCACCCAGCATTGTGCAGCACCCATTGGGTCCATTTTATTACACAAAATACGGAGAACAGGAACTATACAACCAAATAATTGTTATATTGCAGGAAGGTAATTAAGGCATCATTTTATAATGAACTTTTATTTTACAAATAAATATATCTTATGCTTAAAAATATACCATAAAGCAAAGGAGAAAGACAAGAATGAAACAAGCAGGTCACCTTGGCCTAGGACCTGCGAGAGTGCAGCTGACTCCCAGGCCAGAGAGAAAACAAGGCCCATCCAGGATGGTGTCAGTGAGCTTCCTGGAAGACGGGCCAGTGGTGCCAGGCACCAGGCCCACCAGCATGGAGCGGAGGAACCGAGAACCCCACGCCCCAAATAACAGCTCAGCCCACCTTCTGGGGCTGCCCTGAGATGTGCCCAGAGCAGCCAGCCCATGAGGAAGAGGACTGGAGGAGGCAGGCACTGGGGACAGGTCTCTGCAGGAGAGTAAAGTGCCATCGTCACTGGCCAGAGAGTAGCAAGAGGGAGGCACAGGAGCACCACAGCTGAGACTCCCTGTGACCACAGATCAGAGGCTGCCACCCCCCCATATCCCAGCCCTGGAGACACTAAGGTTGGTCGGGGTTCAGGACTCACCCCAAGTCATGGGTGGAGCTGGGGATAGAGCCAAGAGGAGAACTCAGGTCTCTGGCCCCAGGGAACATGCCCCGCTCCCCAAACATGCGGTGCCCTTTTATCCTCCAAGCCTTTGCCCAGACTTTCCCCTCTGCCTGGAACACCCTTCCTATCTTTTATCTAACATCTGGTGGATGAAAGTTCCATTTTCACCTCCAACTGAGGCCTTCCCTGCCTTCTGCTCTCAGGAAGTAGAGTTTAAAGTGAGGAGCCAGTCTGGTGTCATCATCTGCATGACATGTGTCCCTCAGAGGCCTTTACTTAAGCAGAGGGGGCTCCAGCTCCACACCACTGGGCAAGCTGGCTCGGGGCAGACACCCCTGCTCAGAAGCAGGATCCCACACCTCAGGCCCACTCTCTTTAGAGCCCAAAGGTGTGAGCCCTCCCCACAGCCTCAGCGAGCTGATGAAGCAGAGTGTGAGCTGTGATTATACCAGGCTCGAGTCTGCTGGAGTAGTGGGAGCAGGCTGGGCGCACTTGTTCACACAGAGCCTAATGAAGCGTCCCATGTTCTACAAACCTCAGCGTGTGATTTAATTAGCCCTCTGTTCCGGGTATGCCCTCGTCACCCATCATGGACAAAGGGGACTCTCGACCCCTGACTCGGGGGGTGGTGGCCACGAGTGAGTAACTGGGGCATGCACTAGGAGCAGCTCCAGAAGTGGCAGAGCAGAGACCCCATGCACCCACCAGCTAGTGAGGTCTGGGATTTCAGTTCGGATTTAGGTGGAAGGTAAAATATCAAAAAGATGGGGATGGGCAGAGAGGCACGCCAGGTGGTAGGTACTGTGTGGGGAAAGGTGCAGCAGAAATGTGTCTGGTGTGCCATGCTGGCTGGTCTGCAGGTGTGTGAGGGGGTGTGGCTGGACGTGAAGCAACTGCATACACCTGCCTAATATCACAGGGGAGACGTGGAGAAGCCCATCCCTGCCACTTACCACCCCAGTGAGCCTGGCCAGGTCACCCTTTCTCAGAAACGTGTGCAGCGCCAAAGTCCTTCATGAACATTGATCTCACTAGATCTTCACAACAGCCCTATGGAGTAGGGACTACTATTCCCCCTGTTTTATTTATTTATTTATTTATTTATTTATTTATTTATTTATTTATTAGACAGAGTCTCACTCTGTCACCCAGGATGAAGTGCGGTGGTGCGATCTCTGCTCACTGCAGCTTCAACCCTCCCAGGTTCAAGCAATCCTCCCACCTCAGCCCCACCAAGTAGCTGGGACTACAGGCGCATGCCACCACACCTGGCTAATTTGTGTATTTTTTGTAGAGATGGAGTTTCACCATGTTGCCCAGGCTGGTCTTGAACTCCTGAGCTCAAGTGATCTACCCACCTCAGCCTCCCAAAGGGCTTGGATTACAGGTGTGAGCCACCAGTACCTGGCCCCTAATCCCATTTTAATGATGAATAAATGGAGGGCCAGAGAGGGTGAGTAACGTGCCCACAGTCACACAGCCAGGAAGTGGTGGGGCCAGGACTCCAGCCCCTGCAATCCTCCTCCTCACCATTGCACCTTTCAGCCCCACTAGGAGGACCCTGCTGCCAGCCTCACAGGGCTGGAATGAATACTGGAGCTGATGGCGTGACGCTCCCAGCCCAGGCTGGCACACAGCAGGAGCAGCAGGAAGGAGGTGTCTCCTCCCATCATTCCTCCCTAGGAAGCCCCTGCTCCGTGCTAATTCCATTTCTCCCTATACTGCCCATACTCTTGTTGGTGCCTCTTAAGTTCTCTAATTTGTGTCTGTACTCCACCCTGACTTTTCATTTCTTTTTTTTTTTTTTTTGAGAGGGAGTCTTGCTCTATGGCCCAGGCTGGAGTGCAGTGGCGCAATCTCAGCTCACTGCAAGCTCCGCCTCCTGGGCTCACGCCATTCTCCTGCCTCAGCCTCCTGAGTAGCTGGGACTACAGGCGCCCGCCACCACACCTGGCTAATTTTTTGTATTTTTAGTAGAGACGGGGTTTCACTGTGTTAGCCAGGATGGTCTCAATCTCCTGACCTCGTGATCCGCCCACCTCGGCCTCCCAAAGTGCTAGGATTATAGGCATGAGCCACCGCGCCCGGCCTCCACCCTGACTTTTCTAACAGCCCACTATCCCAGTGGCCCTGCCATATTCCTTGGTTACTTAACATCCCTGGTGCATCATCTGGGAAATGGTAGTAATTAACGATTAAATGAGTTAATAGTTGGAAAGTGCTTAGAACTGTGATTCCAGGAGACTGTGTCCCACCTGAACATGAGCTCCTCAGAGCTAGTTCCATGATGTCCAGCTCTGGGCCCCACAGACCCTGGCCCCAAAAGGATGGATCACAAAGGAGCCTGGCAAATCCTCACTGAATGGTCAGCTTGTTTAAAAGATATTTTGGATCAAAAGTCAGTTTTGATGGCATCATAATAGTTTAAAAAGACCTTCTCTTAATGACTTCAGAAGGTGATGACTATTTGCCAGTCAAAACAAGGGAAGAGGAAGCTGATGGGATGGAACAGAGTATTGACTTCTAAACAACGTTCAGGGGCTGTGCAAGAGACTGTAACTGTTCACCTTACTGACCCCTCAAAGTAACCCCAGGGGAGGAGCCCCTGCCCTCATTTCACCAGTGAGAAAAATGAGACCCTGGAAGGGAAAGCTGCCTGCCTAATATCACAGGGGCTCACCCCTCTATTTCTATCTCCCTGACACACAGCAGGCATGTAGATGCCAGCTGTGTGCTTGAATAAAAAATGAAGGAATGCCCAAGTCACACAGCTCCTGAAGGGCACAGTTAGGGTTTGAACCCTGATCTGAGTGCTGGAAAAGGCTCCCAACCTAGTGCCTGTGTGCTGTGGATGTTACAATGTATCTTCTCTTATGAATCCGGCAGCACCCTCATTTGCAGCCCTGCAGGGAGAAGGCTGATTGAGGACGGTCACAGATGGAATGGCTGTGTCCCCTCAAATTCATATGTTGGAACCCTAACCCCAAGATAATGGTGTTAGGAGGTGGGGCCTTTGGGAGGTCATGAGGTCATGAGGGTGGAGCCCCCATGAATGGGATTAGTGCCCTTAGAAGAAGGGCCTACAAAAGCTCCCTTGCCCCTTCCCCCATGTGAGGACACAACAGGAAGTCGCCACCTGTGAACCAGGCATACGGCCTTCAACAGACACCGAAACTGCTGGCACCTTCATCTTGGACTTCCCAGCTCTAGAACTGTTAGAAATGTTTCTGTTGTTTATGAATCACCCAGTCTATGGTATCTTTGTTATGGCAGCACCAACAGACTAAGATAGACTCTAACAGTATCATAAGCCTCCACCCATGAAACTTACACAGTCATTTTCTTACAGATTGCCTGCTATTTCCCCCGAGAATAAACAGAGTGAACATGTACAGTCATGAAATCACACGCTCTCACACTCACATTCACACACACGCCAATGTGCTCGGACATACATGTGCACACACAGTTGTACATACAAACACACAGTCATGTACTCGCACACACATTGTCATGTACTTACACATATGCATGGACACTTACCTGCACACATATTCACACGATACACACTGACACACTCTCATACTCGTGCATGTGTGCACACACAGCCCATAAGCAGAGGCTGAACTGCCTGTTCCTTCAGCTACTCAGGGTCAAAGCTACTCGGGGTCAGAGCCTCCAGAGGTGAGAACTTGCCCAATTTCATCACTTATGGAGCATACTTAGTGAGCCCAACACAACCCATCTCAGCCGGTAATTAAACCTGCCGGGCAGATGCTGGTGGGTGTGCATCCCAGAGGCTGGGGATGTTTGTCCTGGTGCAGTTATCAGAGCAAGACCCGACCCTGCTGTGAGAGAACACCCTGCCGCCTCTCAGCCTGCACCACAGCACTCACCTGTTCCATTCATGATGAGGGGAAAGCCCACATATCCCCTGAGGGCCAGGGATGACCCCTATTTTCATTCTTGGACACCCCAACAATCCTGGTGGTGGCAGCTGGGGTCACTGAGACTCTGAGAAGTGGAGACTGGCCAAAGGCCACAGCTAGCAGAGGACTGTGCCGGGGCTCCCACTCAGGGCTGGCCAGCTCCACGATGGGGACCCTCCCAACTCTCATGATGCCCCACAGCCCCTGCTCACCCGTGTCTCTCTTTCCCATCAGCGTCTTCGTTATACTCAATCAGAATGAGGCTGCTCCCTGGTGGCTCTGCAGTTGGCTACTGCCATGTTGCCAGTCAATGGCCAAAACCAGATCTATGTGGCCCAAATCTAGAGAATTATGCATGGGACAGTAACATAAGTTTTGCCTGTGTATGTGTGTGTGTGTGTGTGTGTGTGTGTGTGTGTGTGTGTGTGTGTGTACAGGTAAATAAACATTGAAAGAAACAAAATACGGCCTAGTATGCCTTTTTCCTCCTCCTGGCTGGAGCTAGAACTGGCTGGAGCTAGAACTGGCGTGAGCTGGTAAGTTCATCAGAGGCCAGGCAGGCAGTGGATTTATTCGGCAGCACCCTGCATTACTTCCTACATGTACGAAAGGAACCAGTTCCACTGACCTGAGCTAGGCTCGCAAACTCTCTGATCATGTGCACGGTGGGCATTCTGTGGAAACTAACAAAAGAGCTTTCCCATTTGCAGGTGGCTCCAGGGTTCATTGCTGGGGCGAGGGAAGTCACGCAGAAAGCAGGAGGCTGGCGGGAGGAGCATCAGGCAAGCAGCAGTCTCTTTTAGCCTCAAGGATGGCTACAGGCACCAACAACAACTGGTCACTCAGGACAGCACTTTACAGTTGACACAGACAGCCAGTATCTGGATCTCATTTCACCATGTCAAAGAGCCCTACGAGATGGGCAGGGGGTTCCTCCTGGTATATGGATGGGGAAACCGAGGCTCAGAGAAGCAAGGGAGAAGGGAGGGGAACTCTTGTTGGGCTCCTAATGTATCCACGAGGCCCTGGGCTGGATGGAGGGAGGAACAGGGGGTGGGAGAGCCCAATGGGAATCACTACGCCATCACTCCTTCCTGGCTGTGCAACCTCAGGCCAATTGCCTAACCCCTCTGAGCTTCAGGGGCCTCATCTGAAAGCCCGGATGAAAAGCCTTCCATCCCTAGCCGCCTGTGGATGCTCACCACATGTGCTTAGTTTTCCTGAACAGCCTGCTCCCCTTTCTCTGTGAACTCAGGGTCACCCTCCCAGTGACCATAGGAACCCAGGTTCCACAGAAGAGCATCTCGCTCACACGACAGGAAGGGATGGTGTCAGGAACAGGTGCGGATATCTGGGGACACAGGGCCATGGAATGCCAGGACAGTGGACAAAAGGCCCCGTCCTCCCACAGAGCCGCTGCCTCACAGTGCATGCGCCTCGTCCGCATGCTGGAGGACCTGCCAGGGCCTTCTCTCTTGGAGGTGAATATCGGGGGGCTTTCAAAGGGATCAAACTGGCCAGCGCCAGCATGTCCACTGTTACAGCCGGCCTGGGGGCTCAGAGCCCCTCTGAAACTACCAATGGAACATCCCAAGGTCAGACCACCGGCCGTTTCAATCCATTTGCATTTGGCAGACATTTAGCCTCTTATTTCAAAGGCAAATTTATGCTTGCTTCACTGTTTCTGCTTTTTTAAAGCAAAGAAAAAAAGCTTTCCCAGCCTGGGGCTCAAGCATGTCTGGGTCACGGTGACAGTGACACTTTGAAAACCACCTCCAGGTGCCTCCAGTCAGGGCAAGCAGGCTTTCTCAGAACCCACGCTGATCCAGGCCGAGGGGAACCTCAGCTGTGAGGGGGGCACGGTCACTCAGAGGACGGCCCTCACCCATAGCTCATTCCAGATACCAGAGCAGCCACCAGGAAAGGCTTGGCCAAGTCACCGTGCCTCAATCGACAGCATTCCAGCAGACTTCTGACATTCAACCCTGAATCCTGCAGAAGCGGGCAGCAGTGAGGGGCTTTGAAGAGCTGTGGTCACCCAGGAGGGGAACTGAAGGTCATCCAGTCTAACCCTCTCTGGTGTCTGAATCCTTCTACAACAGACCTCCAAGTAGTCCTCCAGCCATGACTCACATACCTCCTACGATGGGGAGCTCACTACCACATTACACAGCTATTAAGATAGCTCTGATGGTGAAAGCATTCTTCTTCTAAACCTTCCTCCTAGAAGTTTCTCTCAACTGGTCCAACTCTGCCAGCTGGACCCAAACAGAGCACCCCAACTCCTTTATCCACAGGATCAGTGACCAGCACCCCAGGACCAATTTTTTATCCCAAGTTCCTAGCAGTCCCTGCTGTCACCCTGGGTCTTTCTATTTGGATTTCTCATGAGCAATTTAAACACAACATGTCTAAGACTAAGTCCACCATTTTCCAAAAACAACCTACTCCTCTACCACCCCTGCCCACCAGCCTAACAAGGATAACAACCTTCCATAACAAGGATATGACAATCGGCTACCCGTGTGCCCAGCCCTGGGGTGGCTTCCTTAGGTGCACACAACCGCCCCCACGATGTGTGGTTTTCCCCATTTTACAACAGAGAAAACTGAGGTTCAGAAAGGTCACATAAAGTCACACTGCTACCAAGAGTAGGAGCCAGGATTCGAACCCAGGTCTGACTCAAGGCCTCTTTCCACCATCCCGTGAAAATACTCAGAGGCAGTCCATCAGCACAACCTGCGGATGTCCCTCCCAGCTCCTCCTGATCCTCACCTGTGCCCCAGCTCAGCACTTGCCACCAGGGTCTCCAGCACTGCCTACCCCATACCTCCAGTGGGAGCTTTCCCAACAGAAAGCAGCTGTGACCCCCGGGGTGAAGCAGAAGCCCTGGCTGCACCCAGCAGCCTGCAGGCTCCTCTTGTCCCTGCTCCCCTCCCCCATCCTCTGCTGCAGCCACCCCGATGCGCTGGCCAGGCATGAGCTGCCAACACGCCCTCCAGCCCGGGACCACAGATGCCAAGCAGCAGCACTGGGCTCTGAGTCCAGATCCTTCCACTTCGGGAACCCTGCAGGAGGGCTGGGACCATCTGGCAGGGCTGGAGGAGGAGGGAGACACTTCTTCCAAGCCTGCTGGGCTCCCTGTGTGTGCCCCAGGGGAAGGCTCCTGGCCTCTCTCCCTTCCCCCTGTCGGGGGGAGACTGACTGACGCTGGAGTATTGGGGAGGGAGATGGGAAAGAGTCCAGCCCCGCCTCTCCTCTCTTCCTGGGGGAGAACAGCCAGGGGCCACTGTACTCTGCTCCACTACCCCCTGCTCCCTCCACACCTGCCTGCTGGGGTCCAGCACTGGGGAAGCCCACCGGGCCCCTGAACCTAAGCCAGGTCCTGCAGCACCGGCAGCTGGGCAGTGGCAGTGAGGTTCCGTGTCTCTCTTTGCCGCCCCTTTTGGCTTATGCTCCACGGGTCCAGCCCCTGGGCGGGGAGGGGGATGCCATTTACCAGACCCCCTTGCAGACCCCACGAGGAGGAGGGAGTAAGAGAAAAGGGAAGGGTCCAGGTGGTAATGCTGCTTCTGAGAATATAAGTGTAGCCATCACCAGGCCCCATCCACGGGATTTTCACAGGGACCCACCTCGGGGTTACGTGAATTAAGGACATGACCATTACCCTTGTTCCACTGTCTGCTGACCCAGGCCTTGGGCCTTGGGAATCTTCCAATGAGAAGAATCACCTTTTCTGGGGGTACTGCCTCCCTCTCTGTGACCTCAGTTTGCCCCCCTTGGGTGGCACCCAGCCCCTGCCCTACACACTGAGAACAAGCCTCAGGCTCCCAGGATCCCAAAGACATCACGGGGCATGTTTCCATGCCCAGTCTGCCTGGCACACCCATGCCAGGACCCTCTGGGTGTTGCCCAGGCTTCTGGATAAACATGTTCTCCTGCTGAGGCTTTCGGGGGCCCCCGGGGACCCCAGTCCATGGCCACATCCTTGCAGCAGTGAGTCAGAGGTGCCTCCAGTGAGGGCAGGCAGGCTTTCTCAGAACCCGCACTGAGCCAGGCAGAGGGGAACCTCGGCTGCGTGGGGGGCATGGTCACTCAGAGGACGGCCCTCGTCCACAGCTCATTCCAGACACCCAGAGCAGCCATCAGGAAAGCCTCAGAGAAGTCGCCGAGCCTCAAAAGGCAGCATGCCAGCAGATTTCTGTCATTTGACCCAATGATTTGAGATGACGGAGACTCCCCTTAGCTCTGGCAGATGTGGCCTGACCCTCTGCCGCTGGGACAATGCCTCCAGCAGGCAGGGGCTCTGGAAGGGAAGGAGGGGGTGGGGAGAACTGGGTTGGGGTCCTCATTCTGCCCCTCACCTTGCCTTGCCGCCTTGGGAAGTCACTTGCTTCTTTGGGCATGTGCTTCCTCATCTGTAAAATGGGGTGATCATAGCAACCTACAGACGGTGCTGGGACAGGAAGGATGTGGGCAAGTGGACATGAACTGCTCTGCAAGGAGAGTGGTCTTGACTAAAACGTGGGGCTCAACCATTCAGACCCACCTACCCACAGGGCTGTTGCCCAGGTGCCCTGGGCACCCGGCTGCTCATGCTCTGGTCACCCCATCCTCAGGATGGCCCTAACAGGCAGGACTTGCTATGCCCTCCTGGAGAGGAAGCCAAAGCCCAGCAAGGTTAAGACACTCATCAAGGGCCACACAGCTGCTGCCACGCAGCAAAGCCAGAATTCAAGTCTGGGTCTAGCTCCAACTCCACGCTCCTATCACCAGCTCGCACGCTTAAACATCCTCCTCCTCTTCTCTAAACTCCTGCATCTCCCAGGTGAACCTCGGCCCCAGCATTCTGGCTGCGCTAGGGTAGGGTGGGATCAAATCGCCCCTGGGCCTGGGCACCCTCAACACCCCCCACATAGGCTGAGCTGCTCTTCCCAAGCCATCAGTCCCTGTGCTGGGTTCACCTCACTTCAGAGATGACTCAGCCAGAGTCCTGTGCTCCCAAAGGGACAATGGTGTGTCATGGAAGTCACTGCTAGGATGGAGGGAAGCATAGAGGACTTGGGTCTCAGAGGAAGACCTGCCCCTGCCTGCTGGGTGGTCAGAGAGGCTTCCAGAAACGTTCCTCATTCTTCAAGCAAATCTCCCCCGAGCTCGGCCTGCCCTGTACTAAGTGTCATGCCTGGTTCTGGGGAGTAAAGTGTGAAGCAGACAGTAGGCCTGGGCACAGAGACAGGAGGCGGGCACCAGCCCAGTGCTTCCCCTGGGTCCTCACTCAGGGAAACCATCAATATTCCCGTTGACAGCGGAGGAAACCGTGCCCACTCAGCTTCGCATGCGGTGAGGGTTCCCCTAGGGCAAACTCAGTGACACCCAGCCCAAGAGCTAAGAATGTTTTCTGCATTTTCAAAGGGTTGTGAAACAAACAACAAACAAATGACAACAAAACAAACAAAGAAAAATGTGCAACAGATCCTAGCACTTTGGGAGGCTGAGGCAGGCGGATCACCTGAGGTAGGGAGTTCGAGACCAGCCTGGCCAACGTGGTGAAACCCCATCTCTACTAAAAACACACACACACAAAAATTAGGCAAGCGTGGTGGCATGTGCCTGTAATCCCAGCTACTCGGGAGGCTAAGGCAGGAGAATCGCTTGAACCCGGGAGGCAGTGGTTGCAGTGAGCTGAGATGGTGCCACTGCCACTGCACTCCTAGGCGACAGAGTGAGACTCTGTCTAAAAAAAGAAAGAAAAGAAAAGAAAAGAAGAGAAAAGAAAAGAAAAATATGCAACAGAGATTTACACAGCCTGCAAAGTCTAAAATATCTACTATCAGGCCCTTCACAGAAAATCGAACTTGCTCTGAGCCCACACCTCATTTTGCAAAAGAGGAGTATCAGGGACTCCTCTTCTGGGATGTTAGGGCCTGGGATGTGTCTGGGTATCAGTGTCCTGTGGCTGCTGTAACATATTACTACACACAGACAGCTGGAAAACAATCGAACTTTATCCTCTCCTAGTTCTGGAGGCCAGGAATGTGACATCACAGCGTGGGCAGGCCTGGCTCCCTCTGGAAGCTCTGAGGGAGGAGCCGCTCCCTGACTCCCTCCTGGCTTCTGGTGTGTAGATAAATCACCCCAATCTCTGCCTCTGTCATCACACGGCCTTCCTCTCCCTGTGTCTCTGTGTGTCCTCTCCTTAGAAGGACACCAGCCATTGGACTTGAGGCCCACTCGAATCCAATATGACCTCATCTTAACTAGTGACATACACAAGAACCCTATTTCCAAATAAGGTCACATTCTGAGGTTCCAAGTGGACATTATTCTTGAGAGAAGGACACATTTAAACGCACGACAGTCTGCAATCCCCAATTTTTCTGCATCCTCTGGAGAACTATATTCTCAGAGGTACAGACACTTCTGCGTGTGTGTGCATATGTGTATGTCTCTCTCAGTCACACACACACTCACACACATACAACTACTCCACATGACAGGTGAGCAAGACTTCCCAAGGACAGGCTGTGCAACGACAGGAGGCTGGCACACAGCCATGACAAATGACCTGTTTCTTGCCCAGTCCCACTGCCAATGTCTCCTTCCATCAGAATGTGCCACCAGTGATAAAGGTGAGAATAAGATCATTCACCGTACATGAATCAAAAGCATCCCCCCACCTGTCCCGTTCTATCAACAGCAGGCAGCCAGGATCTCACAGGTCCAGGGACTTGGGGCTGCATGTGCGGCCTCTCGCCCCAAGGACAGATGTACTTTTTCTGCAAAGTGTCTGCCACACCCCCGCCTTGCGAGTCCGGAGGCAGCTCCCCCAGCTATGTCCCTGCCTTGGGAATCCAGAGGCACCCCTTCACCCTTTCTCTATGCTCATCTCTGACTCCCACCTGCTTAGGTCTGGAAAGGGAACCACTGTTGGTTAAGCTCTATCTGCGGGACACGAACTGTCATCCAGGAAATTATGGGCTTGGTCCTCCAACTAACTCAACAACCTCTCACAGAGCAAAAATGGAAAAGCTGATGCCCAGTAAGAGGACTGGTTAAACATGAGACAATGGAGCCATAGAGTTGGAAACCAGACCTCGACGATGACGGCACAGATAAGTATTTGACATGGAATGACGGCTGGGACATGCCAGTGCCCAGGTCTGTGCTGGCACACACACTTGTTGGATGTTACTGATGGGATGTGGTAGATGATGTCCCATCATCTGCTTACCAAGCCTCCTCCTACGCCACCTACCAGGCAGGCCTCAGAAGGGCAGCAGCCAAGAGCTTGGGCAGCTGGTTCTCCTCGATGTGCCTGAGGAGGGCTTCGTGGAGGAAGCGGTGCTTTGTGTGCACCCTTCTTCCTATTTGGGGTGTCCACAGAAGTGGAGAGGCCACACCTTTCTCTCTGTTTCCCCCAAAACACATGCAGGTATGAGCCCTAGGCTCAGCCCATCACACACCACTTCCTGGTTAGCACATGACCAGTGGGGGCCAATCAGATGCTCCCACCTGGACCCAGGAGCCAATGCCACAAAGGAGTCAGGGCTGTGCATTCAATCATGGTCGCACTGGCTGGCCCCTGAAGGCCGTGCGGGTCAGCAGCTGGCCTGGCCTGCCAAAGACAAGCTTGTGCTTCCTACTTCTGGGATTCCCAGGCTGCCATTTTAAAAAGCTGGTTTTTCCACTCTTGCTGAATCTGCAGGCCCCAAATGGAGTGAGGGTTTGTCCTCATGTTTGCAATTCCGAGCACCCCAAGTGACACCTAAGTGTTTGATAAGTGTTTGTGGATTACCCGGAAGTGCCGCTCTAGATACTGAGTGTCATCCGCTTTGCACCAGGCACTCTGCGGGCAGCCAAAATGGCGGCCGTGAAAACGAAGCCCACAGACCTGGCTGGAATGCTCACGGGCAGATGGACCACAAGACGATAAACCAGCGAGGTGACTCCAGACGCGAGGGGGCTGAGAATGACGAGGAGAGGGCACGTGGCATAGGACGGCCGAGGGGGAGCCACCTGCACTGGCACTCGGAGGCCCAGCCTCCCTGGGGGACTGACATCTTCTGAGACTTGAAAAGAAGTCACAGTTCCTGCCCACCCACTTCACAGTTACCCTGTTGGTAACAGAATGAAATAAGATGTAAAAAGGGCTTTGTGAACAGGCCAGGTCTGCTTACCTTCAATAATAGGGTTGTCATCTTACTCTGCCTCCCGATAACCAAATGCTTTGCATGTGCTGAGCAGAATGTAAGTGAAGTCAACTTAGGAAAGAAATCCCATAATGTTTCAAGAAGAGCTACTCCCTGTTGCAAAAACCGAATCATGCCCCTGAGACGCTGCAGCCGGATGGCACATTGGTGCAATTTTTTTTTTTTTTAACTAGAGTCTTGAGTAGTCAAAACTTTGTTTCTCACAAATGCTCAACCAGTCTTCAGAGGCTCACACCAAAAGGGGGAATTGAGACCCAAGACTTGGGAGGTTGATGAGGCTCCATAAAATATTGACTTTCTAACCAGCCAATAGCAGGGCACTGAAATGGAGACAAGTGCCTCTGGGCTTAGCCGCCACTTGCGTGAGACCAAGGCAGACGGCGTGGCCTGCACCATCTCTGGAGGCACACTAGTGGACCAGGGTTCAACTATCAGTGCCAACGCCCGCCAGCAAGCCCTGTGGCTCCGGCAAACGAGTTCACCTCTCTGAGCCTCAGCGTCCTCATTTTTTTATATGGGGGAAATACTTTGCTGCTAGAGAGAGCTTGAAAAATTAAATTTGGTAACTGTATTCATTTCTAGTGCCACCATAACAAAGTGCCCCAGACTGTGCCACTTAAACAAAAGAAATCTATTTCCTCACAGTTCTGGAGCTGGAAGTCCAAGATCAAGGTGTCAGCAGGATGGTTTCTTCTGAAGCCTCTCTCCTGGCTTGCAGATGGCTGTCTTCTCCCTGTGTCTTCACACAGTTGTCCTTCTGTGTGTGTCTCTGTCCTAATCTCCTCTTCTTATAAGGACACAGTCATATTGGATCAGGGCCCACCTTAATGATCCAGTTTAACCTTAGGTACCTCTGTGAAAACCCTGTCTCAAAACACAGTCACATTCTGAGGTGCTGGGGGTTAGGACTTCAACATGTGAGTTTTGGAGCAGACACAATTCAGCCCATAACAGTAACACAGTAGGACCTCAGTATATGTCATGCTTACTTGATTAGAGTTTTTAAGTAACAACAACTAACCTTGACAGAGCACCTGCCAAGTGCCAGCAGCATGCCATATATTCTACATGCACCAACCCAATCCAGGGTACACCCCAGTGAGAAGGGGTTGTCATCGCATCCCAGGGCCACAGCACTCACATCTGTCACGCTGGCTCCCCGATGGCTGTGCCCTACCTGGAAGGGGCTGCAATACACTCATCCAGGCACTGTTTCATTCCTTCAACAAATATTCATGCAGACCTACTGTGTGTCAGGCTCTGTGCTACCCACTGGAGATATTTTGGGGGTTTTCTTGTTTTAGTTTTTTGTTTGTTTGTTTCAAGACAGTCTCACTCTGTCACCCAGGCTGGAGTGCAGTGGTGCAATCTCGGCTCACTGCAACCTCTGCCTCCCGGATTCAAGCAATTCTCCTGCCTCAGCCTCCCAAGTAGCTGGGACTACAGGTGCACACCACCACGCCCAGCTAATTTTTGTGTTTTTAGTAGAGACGAGGTTTCACCACATTGGCCAGGCTGGTCTCGAACCCCTGACCTCAAGTGATCCACCCACCTCAGCCTCCCAAAGTGCTGGGATTATAGGCATTAGCCACCACACCCGGCCCCCACTAGGGATATTTTGGAAACCAAGAAACACACATGCACCCTGCCCTTAAAGATCTTACATACCACTGGGGAGGCGAAGCCCAAACAGGTAAACAGACCCAAAAAATAATCATTAACTGTAATACAGTACTTTGGAGGAAATGAACAAAGGGTTGAAGTGAGAAAATGGGGGAATCTTTTTTTGATAAGCTGAGGAGGATCTCAGGGTGAGGAGGAGTCAGTGGGAGGGAGCTAGAGGGTAGGAACCAGCTTGGTGTGTTTGAGGAACTGAAAGATCAGGGAGGTAGTGGTATGAGCAGAGGCCAGAAAGGCAGGTCAGGCCAGATCATGTAGTAGGGCCATGGAAAGGAGTGCCCTTGTGTGTTTTAAGTTAGAATCAAATGTTTTGAGAGTGTGTTAGGGTTAGGGTTAGGGTTAGGGTTAGTGTTAGTGTTTCCCTCCTGCACAGACTGATTTCGTCCATTCACTGCCCACCTGGCTGTCCTGGGGCCAAGGCACCTCCTCCTGCCCATGCATTCTGCCAGGGTCCCCGGCTGGAGGAAGGGCCACGGCAGAAGCTGCTAAGGATGTGGCTTAAGGCCAGGAGGCTCTTCCTCACAGGGAAAGCCGGATTAGGAGGAAGGGGCTGCCCAGGGAAGGGGAACCTCAGCCCCTGGAGCTCCAGCTCTGGAGAGGAAGTCACAGCAGCAGGTCACCAGGCTCCTAAGCACTCTAGAGCCATGTGCTTTCAGGGCCACTGTCCCATCATCACCCTCATCAAAAGATGAACTGGAGACCTCACTGTGGAGCCCTGGAAAACCACCTGCCATCCTGCGTGAGCTGACGGTTCCTCCAGGTGAAAACAGAATGGTCTTTAAATCTTATAGGCGGTGCTAAGTCAGCAGATATGACCTGGGGCCCCTCTGCAGAGAGAGGACACTTTGTGGTCCTCCATTCAAGCCACCGGACACTGCTGAGCCATGTCGGGGCACTGAGGGGTGACCATAGCATGACTGACCTGAGCCTGCCCTAAAGGGATTGCAGAGCTGGGGAGACCTGTGGATACACAGGGAGGCCGGAGAGCCAGACCTCGCCAGGCAGTGTCGATACATTGACACAGGAGACCAGCCAATGCCTCCTCCAGAGGCGGCTGTGGTGTGCCTGCTGAACAGCTGCTGGGGTTTGACAAAGTGAGGGGAAGGGCATGGAGGCAGAGGGGCCGTGTGTGCAAGGGTTCAGGGATGGGACCGTGTGGGAGATGCAGGGGTGGGGGCAAATCACCCTTCCCAGATCCCTCAGCCCCCATGAGACCTGGGACACGTCACCTCACTGCTCAGAGTCTATTTCTTGGAGGTGAGAGTGAGCCAAGGCTAAGACCGTACAGCCAGAGTTTCTGGGTTCAAATCCCAATGCCGCCACTGCCCAGCTGTGTGGCCACAGAACAGCAGGCAGCCTCTTTAGGGTTCACTTTCCTACTCTGTAAAATGGGGACACAAGAGTCTCTACTTTTAGGGCCATCATGAAGAATGCCTGAGTGGTGTGGGCAAAGAGCTTAGCACGTGCCTGGCAGCCAGAGGAGTCTTTACAGAGCACTTACTCCTATTCCCATTCATATAGGGTTGCCGAGAGGATGACAGGAAGTGGCAATGCTGGAACATGAGAGTCAGGGGGCCTTCCCTGTGGTGTCCCCACAACAGCCAGCACAGCTCCCTGTCCCCCCACCCTATAATTCCCTATCCACCTGTCGGCCCCTCCCACAAGGCTGTGCACGCCCAGGAGCAGGCACTCTGACACGTCCAGTGTGAGCATCATTAAGAGCCCAATTGCTAGCCAAGCCTGGCTGTGCACCTCACCTGCTGTGTGTCCTGGGCACCTGCACAGTCTCTCTGATCCAAATCGCCTCACTGCAGAGTCAACACCTGAAGTTCAGGAACATGCCAGCCCCTCCTCATGAGTCATGTGAGGATCCAGGGACATCCAGTGCTGCTGGAAGTCTGGGGGTGTCCCCACCAGCACGAGCTCAGAATCAGCCCGAGAGCACAGCTCAGAGGCTGTGTGTTCCCCTCAGCCTCCCCCATGACGTGTGAACCTGAGGCTTTTGGTTTATGACCACACTTGAAACCCACTGCCTTTTTGCACAGGCTGCCTGGGCAGTTGCAATTTCCCCTTCATCACGTGCAGGAACTCACAAAAATGCAGGTCCCTGCCATCCCCATCACCACAGGGCAGCCAGGACACTTCTGAATCCTCCCGGGTGCTAGAAGACAAGGAGAGTCTGTTCAGGAAAATTGGTGTGCATACAGAACAGGGCCCAGAATCGATGCTTGGCTGTGTGTGTGTGTGTGTGTGTGTGGTGTGTGTGTTATGTGTGTATGTGTGGGGTGTGTGTGTGTGGTGTGTATGTGGTGTATGTGTGTGCATGCACACGTGCATGCATGTGCATGTGTGTTGCGGGGAGAGGCACTCTATGGCTCCAGGTCCATCAGTACCGGGCCAGGGCAGGGGCGGGATGAGCCTGTTCCTGGGTACAGGCCTGCTTCCCTCATGGCTCTGATCCCCCATCTAATCCAAGGAGCAGGTGGGCTGCCTGGCATTGCTATGGCACCTGCAAGGCAGCGGCTAACAGCCTTCCTTCCCAGCAGGCTCCGCCCTGGGACCAACTCAGTCCCTCTGCCCAGCCTTGGGGTGTCAGGAAAAGGCTACTTGGATGAGACAGCAGCCACAGCCTGCCTCCATCCTCGTCCATACTCATCACCCTAGCCAGCTGGGCAGTGAGAGGGAGGCGGTCGGAGACGGCCTTGCAGTCCAGCTCCCTTCTACGATCAGCTGCTGAAAATCCCAGTGGTGGGGATTCTTCCATTGCTGCCTGTGTTTGTTCCACGAGCACTTCCTGCAGCCTACTGTGTGCTGGCTCCAGGGTGGGACTAGGGATGGAGAGAAACTTGCCCTCCTGTGTTCCTGGCTTCAGGAAGAACAGACTGACCAGGAGAGACAGAGCCCCAGACTGGGTGCAGCCACTCGGTCGGTGCAGGGAAATGTGTAATCACTGGAGATATTTACACCTGCATGGCAATTGTGGTCCTTGTATTTCAGACACAAGCATCACCTCCTGAAGCTACAATATGCCCACCTTATTCCTCACCCCCTGCAGTGTTCAGAAACACACTCAGTGTCAGTATCAGGGGACGGCAGAGTAGACTTGGGTGGAGCAGAGCTGGGACAGCAGCCTGGGAAACGCAGGCTGGATGGGGCCCTGGAGAAACCAGTTCAGCTGCCTCCATCCACTTCAGACACCAAGCCCTGAGCCACAGGGGCAGGTGAGGCTCTGCAGGCCCAACAGCTTGGGCCAGGCCAAACACTGGCTCAAGCAAGTCTTGCTCCCCAAGTTTTGCACACAGAGCTCAAGGAGGCAGCTGTCTCACTGGGGAGTCTTTGAGCACCAACATGGGGAGGAACCAATTCCAAAAGCTAAGTTAATTTTGAAAATATCTTCCATCGGCCTGAGACTGAGATGGAAGCGGCCACATACCACGGAGGGCACATCCAAGGGGGATGCTGGTGAACCCCAAGAAGAGAATATCTGACCTGGCAACGCCATGTGCCAATGTGTACCAAGGGGAGCAAGTGTGACACTCGAGGTCCTCCTGCTCACTGCTCCACACCCACTGGGCTGGGAGGCCAGGACGAGCTGGGGGCCCCACTGTATGCCCAGTGCCTAGAATAGTATCTGGTACACAGTAGCTACTCTGTGTTTGTTGGATGAATAAAAGAACTGAGCTGGAGAATGAAGGACAGTTTAACGTTCAGCATCTCAATGCTCAAACGAGGACGTGGGAAATCCTGGCAGGACAGTGCCTTCCAACTAACTCAACAACGACCTCCTTGGTCCTGCCATTTGCAACCAGGCCAGAGGCTCCCACGTGGGGGCCCTTCCCAGGAAGCCACTGCTACTAACATCCTACTCTCAGCTCCCATTTCACACCCTTGGCTCCAGCAAGGCCAAAGGATGGGCAAGCCCCTCACTGGGTCTCTGGGCTTCACATAGGCTGGACCTGCCAGGAATGAGCCCTACCCCATCTTCCTGGCCAAGCCTTCTTCTTGCCCTCCTCAGTGGCTCCTTCCCCTGTGAGCCCTTTCCAGACACCTCACTTGTGGCCATGCTTGTCCCTAGGCCAGGACTCATCAGTATGCTCGGTGATGGATCTGTTTACACATCTAACAGACACGGAGCCCCTGGAGGCAAGGAGAGGCCTTGGCTTTAGGAAGCTTTTAGCAGCCAGTGACTGAACCCCCAGTCTGAGAGGCTGAAATCAGAGTGGTGTTCTCTAACACACATGAGGTGTAGAGGTAGATGGCTGCGGGTATCAGGTCTGCACAGCCACCGGGCACAGGCAGGACTCTGGGAAAGAGGCTCCCCCTCCTGGATGACTTAGCATCTCAGTTGATCCCCTAACAGCCCAAGGAGGTGGGCACTGTTATTCCTGTTTTGTCAATGAGGGAACGAGCTAGACAGCAGAACAGCTGGGGTGCCAGGATTTGAAAGAACAAGCTGTGCCCACACCTGTGCCTCTGAGGAGGGTCACTCAGCACTGTAGGAGGAGCATCCCTAAGAGCCGCATGTCACAATCCATACCTTCCTCTTTATGCATGTCCTACAAGTTCATCCTATTGCTTTGCACAAAGTTTTAAGATCAAGACTGTTTGGTGGGTATCCAATAAGAAGGCCAGAAAGGTTTCAGGAGAGGAGGGTCTCATGCCCTCTATTTGCCTCCAGGTTCCCGTCAACATGGCTGTGTTTGGATCCTCTAACCCCGGCCTGGATGGACAGTGGTTAGAGCAACTCCATAAGACCTGCTCACCGCAAGAAGCCAGGGCAGGGCAAGCCTTAAGTTTCCAAGGTCCAGCCAAGTCGATGAAAGCTGATTGCTGGTGACTGTGTCCTGGTCCACCAGCCTTTAGGCCTGGATATAGCACAGTCCGGGAGCTCAGGTGGTTCTTTTTAGAGGGACAGGAGACAGGGAAGAAACCAATTGCACAGAGTCACCCGTGACTTAAGCATTAGGGGCCAGGGCCTCCTCCATTTTTCTGGTTCGGAAATCACATCGTATCAAGGCAGCAGAAGTTTCACAGCCCTGGAGGGTTGACTCGTTTGGGGCAAACTCAAGAGGGCCTGATGAATAAGCCAGACATCACTGACACTGCAAATGCCAACAGTGACATTGGGATACCACCCACCAGGGGCTGGACCCCTTGCTGAGTGTCTCTGTCTCCAAAAACAGCTGTGCAAACTGGGCAGTATTTGGCTGCATTTGACAGAGACAGAAACAGAACCCTGAGAGGAAAAGGCAAGCAGCTTGAAGTCACAACCAGGAAGTGGCAGAGCGGGTTTCGAACCCAGGTCTGCCTGACTCCTGGTCCTGCAAGGTCTTTCACTATAGGCGATCTAAACTTGTGCCACTAACTTTCCTCTATACCAAGGGTCAGCAAATTCTTTCTGCAAAGGGCCAGATAGCCAATATTTTAGGCTTCGTGGGACATATGTCCTCTTTGGCAACTCTGCACCTCTGCCATTATAGCAGAAAGGCATCCACAGACAATGTGTAGATACATGCCATGTGTAGATACATGGGCATGACTCTGTTCCAATCAAACTTTATTTACAAAGACAGGCACTGGGCCAAGTTTTGCCCATGGGCTGTAGCTACCACCCCCTGTGGTATACCATGTGACAGAGAAGCAGCAGCTTTAATTCCTGACCGTGACGCTGCCATTTCTAACTTCAACACCGCACTTTTGATTTCATTTCTAGGCTTATTTTTCACATTTCCTTAAAAAGTAAATGTACGGTTCTAATCAGATAATCAATAATCAATTAACAGTGACTTTCAGGCCCTCGTACCTGGTAGGAAGACAGTAACAAAGACCAAAACTTTCACTGACTTGTGTTTTTTAAGACTTTGAAAAATAAAAACTATTAAACAAATGAAAAAATTGTAAGGAAACCCAAAACAGGTAGCCAGGTATCCCAGTGAATGTCAACAGTATGGGTTGGGGATGATCTCAGAGAGGCGGTGGTGACAAACAGCACGAGACCCCCTCAGTCTCGCCTGCTGCTGGGTTAAGCAGCATCTACCGTGCTGCTCCCTGACACTGCTTGTTGTCTGTAATAAGAAAGCTCCGACAGGGATGAAAAGCCAATTTTATGACCGTCTCAGAGTGTTTCACCAGCTCCTTGAAGCTTTATTGTATGCTAACACCATGGCATCAATTCTTGGTCCAAAGGAGTTTGCTGGCAGGGGAGAAACAAATGCCCATCGTTGCCAGAAAGAACGGGTGTGAGAATGCAGGCCAGTCCCCGAGAAGCCAGGTGTGGCATGGGGGCCAGCTGGATGCCCACAGCATCCGAGAGGGTCTGGGAAGGAGGTCTATTGAAAGATGACCTGCTTCTACTGAACACAAGGCCCAGAGAAGTCACACACCTTGCCCAACGTCACACAGCACATCAGCAGAGGTCTGACTCCCAACTGAATGCTCCAGTTTTCTAATCTTAGGACACCACCTGAAGCCTCACTAGTCCCCACCTCATAAGTGGGCCACGATCAAGGCCTTGAATTTCCATTTAAGAAGTGGGCACATGAATCCATTTCCTCTTCCATGAGAATCAGCCCCATTTTCCCCAGCACCAAGATCACTGAAAGCAGCCAGGACTATGTCCTTGATGGGATGGTGCTCATACCTGCACCTGCACTGTCCTGCCTGACCCCCATGAAACCCTAGGTATGAGCATCATGATTTTCCAGGAGGAAGCTGAGGCCCAGAGAGGCAAAGCAAGTTGCCTGAAGCCACACTGCCTGCACCAGACATCCAGCTCCAGAGTCCATGTCTTCTCTGATCCACCTGACTGCCTGGTATCAGCGAGAAGCCAAAGGGGACTGAGAGGTCCAAGAGGAGAGAAATGACTTCCCTACGTGACTCCCCCACTCCAGAGTGCTGGGGAGAAGTGGTTTACAAAGTCTCCGTGAAGAAAGCCTCAGACCCTCAGAGGAGAGTGCACGCCTCCTCGGTGCACGAGGGGAAACATGTTGAAATGTTCATTTAGCAGAATCAGGCCAACTTTGTAATCCTATCCACTCCTCCTTTCAACAGCTTTGCAGATCCAGCCGGGCACGGTGGCTCACACCTGTAATCCTAGCACTTTGGGGGGCCAAGGCGGGTGGATCACATGAGGTCAGGAGTTCCAGACCAGCCTGGCCAACATGGTGAAACACCGCCTCCACTAAAAACACAAAAATTAGCCAGTTGTGGTGGTAGGCACCTGTAATCCCAGCTACTTGTGAGGCTGAGGCAGGAGAATCACTTGAACCCAGGAGGCGGAGGTTGCAGTGAGCCAAGATCGCACCACTGCACTCCAGCCTGGGCGACAGAGCAAGACTCTGTCTCAAAAAAACAACAACAACAACAAAAAAAAAACTTTGCAGATCCCTGATCCTGTTTGTTGGAAGATGTTTATCAGTGGCTTCCATAGCCCTGGGACACTGCCATCTGCCTCTTCCGGCAGCCCACTTTTGGGGTTGGGGTTACTAGGGAGATTCTGGATGACAGAGATGGTTCTGCCTGCAAGCCCAAGGATCAGTATAACTGAGCAAGGGGACGAGCCGCCTGAGGAGGGGAAGGTGTGAAAGCCACCAGGGTGTGCAGGTCCGTGTTTCCCTGCACCTGGAGGGAGAGAGGTTCTGGAAGGCAGCCCCTGCCAGCTTCCATGGTATAAATACCCCTGCCCTGGCCAATTTCAAACTACCAACAAGATGTCTGCTGGCTCTCCAAACTGAAAATTAAGCAATCAACCTCAAAAGCTAATATGAGGGGCTCCAGAACACCATGGAGGGGCCCTGCTCCCAGGACAAAATCAGGGGCAGGCCCCAGGTTTCCAGGACCCTCCTTGGAGAAAGCTGCTCAGGCTGAGACTACGGTCCCCAGAAGTCTGGAGAGCCCAGAGTTCAGGCTGGCAGTCACCCTGGTTACTTTGTGACCCATCCCCAGCCACGTCTGTGTCCCCAAGGGGCTAAGTCCAAAGCTGTGGAGGGGACATGGTTTCGGTCCAGAGCCCCCCCTTCCCTGGCTCCTCTGTGCTTGAGCCCCTCCTACTTGTATCTGGACCTCCCCTGGGTACACTTCCTTGATAAACCACTTATACTCTAGTCCACACCTCGGGGCCTGCCTCTGGGGAGCCTGGACAAGAGACCCTGGACCTCTAAGACCCCAACCCTGCCTCTGATACCCTTCCCAGTGGTATGGCCTCAGTGGGTGGAGGATGGGCCGTGGACTTAGTCATTTGGGGCTGCTCCCACAGAATACTACAGACTCGGGGGGCTTATAACAACAGCCATTTACATCTCACAGTTCTAGAGGCTGGGAAGTCCAAGATCGAGGTGTAGAAGCTTCAGTGTCTGGGGAGGGCCTCTTCATAGTTCATAGATGGCCATCTTCTCACTGTGGGGTCCCTTTATAAAGCCACTGATCCCATAAATGAGGGCTCCATCTTCATGACCTGACCACCTCCCAAAGGCCCCACCTCTTAACGCATCACCTTAAGGCTTAATTTCAATATACGAATTTGGGAGAAACCAGACCTTCAGATGACAGCAGTAGGCTTTGATGAGCGCCTCTCTGGCTACTCAGTCCCTCCCCATCCTCATGGCTATGGTCTTTGCCCAGTAAGTGGCTTCTGCTTCCTACCTGTCCCCACCCTCCCTTGCCTCTCCTGAGCCATGTTCACCTGCTGCCCAAGTGACCTTTCTGAGAAACAAGTCGGAGGAGGCCACAGCTCTGCCTTCTGGGGCTCACAGTGGACTGAAGGCCCCTCGACTGATTCAGCAGACATCTCTGAGCCCCAGGGATGAAACAAGTGTTGTACCCACATCCTCAGTAGGTGTCCAAGGACCGTCGGGACCCAGCGCCTGCTGCCTCGTTTCCCCCTCTCCCCTCTACTCCAGCACCTTCAACAACCTGGAATTCCCTGAACACACACCAGCTTCACTGTCATCTCCCAAATCCCAAAGGGTGGGCCCAGTATTTCAGGATAGAGGATTTGGACTGTACAGTAATATGGTGCACAGGTCACCTAGGACATCTGTCACCCCCAAGGGCTTCTGGGACAACACGCATACGCATTTCTATTTCTGTACATAACATATGAAACTTCACACTACAGGGATAGAGAAGGGCTATAAATGGTTTCACATCAATTTAGGTTGGGTTTCACTGCCAAATAAGTTAGGAAAAAATCTTTAGGCTTTCAGAGCCTCTTGGATTTTAGAATACAGTTGACCCTCAAACATGAGCTGAGCTGTGAGGGTCACTTATACATGATTTTCTTTCGCCTCTGCTACCCCTGAGACTGCAAGACCAACCCGTCCTCTTCCTTCTCCTCAGCCTACTCAACATGAAGACAACGAGGATAAAGATTATAGTGATCCCCTTCCACTTAATGAACAGAAAATATATTTCCTCTTCCTTATGATTTTCTTAATGATGTTTTCTTTCCTCTAGCTTACTTTATTAGAATACAGTATATAATACATATAACATACAAAATGTATGTTTATCAACTGTTCATGTTTTTGGAAGTCCAATCAAGAGGAGGCTATTAGTTAAGTTTTTGGGGAGTCAAAAGTTGTATGTGGGTTTTTGACTGTGCAGGGGGTTGGCTCCCCCAACCCCGTGTTGTTCGAGGGTCTGCTCTGTTGCTGAATGGCTCTCTGTGCACAGCTGAAGGCTTCCCTGCTATTTACCTAGAAGGGGAACAGAGGGGCTGCTTGGACATATCTGGATATTGGCAAATGACTTTGCAAATGGTTTGCTTTCATATCCATTTCCAGTGGTGGCATGAGTTTCCATTTCTCCAGCCCCGCCCTACACTTGGTATTGTAAGACATCAACAGTTTTGCAGATCTAAGTAGCGTCGCCTGAAACGGTGCCGCCAAGTTTTCCCATCATTCTGTAAGACCCAGCAGCATCACTTCCCCTGGGCAGCTTCCCTGAAGCCCCAGGCTAAGGCCCCCTCCCTGTGCCCTTTACTGCCTGGCTGTGGCTGTTCTGTGGCCAAGTCATCCCCCCCATTGGGCCAATAGGCATACGGGTTCCAAATCCAGACCCTGGGTTCAACTATACATGCAGTCACTATAATAGCTAATTTGACTGTATTTTTTTGTGCCAGGTTCTGTCCTCATTCTTTCCCTTGAATTGACTCAGTTCATCCTCAACAACTTATGAAACAGGCACCATTGTTACATCCATCTGACAACTCTGAGACCCACAGAGGTGAAGTAACTTGTCCAAGGTCACACAGCGAGTAGGCAGCCCAGTCAGGGTTCGAACTCGAACAGCTGACTCTAGAGCTTATGGTCACAACCTAAGCTGTGCAGCCTTTGGTTAAGAAATGAGTATAAAATGCAAAGGGCACAAAAAAGCTAACAGTGAAAATAAGTCTCCCTTAGGCCCTTCTCCCACTCACTCAGCTCTCCTGTCTAGTGGCAACCACTATGAGCACTTTCAGGTGCATCATCCTACCAGAAGGAGTCTACACACAAGCAGTCATAAGATACCATGTTTTAATCATAAAGCATGTCATGGATCATCCACTATTTTGCACCTTGCTCATTTCACCTAAAGAATCTTAAACATCATTCTACATCAGCGCACCCTGAGCTGTCACGTTCTTTTCATTGCTATCCACTATCACGCTCTGGAATAATTTATGTAAACAGTCCCCTGTGATGGCCATTACAGATATTTCCATTCTTTCCCATTACCAACAATGCTATGACAAATGTGGATAAATGTCATTTCTCACCTGCGTATTTCTTTTTTCTTTTCTTTTTTTTTTTTTTTTGGAGACAGAGTCTCACACTGTCACCCAGGCTAGAGTGCAGTGGCGTGATCTCGGCTCACTGCAACTTCCACCTCCTGGGTTCAAGCGATTCTCGTGCCTCAGCCTCCCAAGTACCTAAAATTACAGGCATGCACCACCACGCCTGGCTAATTTTTGTAGTTTTAGTAGAGATGGGGTTTCGTGATGCTGGCCAGTCTGGTGTCAAACTCCTCACCTCAAGTGATCTGCCAATCTCGGCCTCCCAAAGTGCTGGGATTACAGGCATGAGCCACCACACCTGGCCTCTTACTTGTGTACTTCCATCAGACAAGGATTAGAAGTGAAATCCATAGCCATGTTTCTGAGAGTTCTTGTTTCCCTCATACCTGCACCATCATGGTAATATCAGCTATTTTAGTCCTTGCCTATACGATAGATAAAAAAACAGTATCTTAACTTGGAGTTTTCTTATTATGAGTGAGGTTGAGTTTTTATGTGTTTAAAAGATATTTCTATTTCCTTTTATGTAAACCATCTCCTCATCACATCCTTTATCCATTCTTCTATTGAATTTTTTTGGGGGTTCTTGATTTATGAGGAAATTAGTACTTCTCTATGTCTTTCTGTTGACCTCACCATATCAATATTTTCTCAGCCACTCACTGTATTTCCTTTCAGTCCATAAATTCAAATCTTATTTTTAGAAAGTTCTGGAATTGTGCCTTAAATTTTTTTTATTTAATTATTTTCATTCTTATCTCCAGGGACACCAATTATGTGTATGTTGGATCCCCTTATCTGTCCTCTGCATCATGTTCTAATATTTCTCTCTCTCTCTTTACATTAATTTATCTTGCTTTTCCCAATCTCATCTTCCATATCTCTTACTGTGTTTTCTGTGTTCCCTGTCATAATCATTCCATTGCATACTTCACTTTTTAGATGGGTTTATTTGTTAATCTATCTACTTTGTGGAGCTCATCATATCAGGTTTCACTCTCTTCTGTCATGTTACCACCTCTCCTGAGTTCTTGTATCTCAACTTTATACTCTTGTTTAGAGGTGTGATTGCTCAATTATTTTTTTCCTTAGTCCAAGGCATTATGTACAGTTGATATTTTCATCTGATTTATGGCAAATGTTTTCTTGCGCATATTTTTCATCTGTTACTTTCTTCATTTTTGGAGGATCTTGAGATAGAGCTTGCACTGGTCCTTACTAATTATTACTCATCTCTGAATGTGATGAGTTCTTCCTGAACCATCTATTTATACAAGATTCGTGCACCAGAGTGTCCAAAAGAGTAATCTAGTTCTTAGAAAACAGGCTTGTGAGTGAGAGTCAGTTCTTTTGGCCTTTACTTCTTTCTTGTTAAGATCAGATGCCACAGGCTGGCACATAACACAGCCCCTTTTCTCCACTTTGCCTCTCTAGTAGACTGCTTTTTGAAAATATAGCTTGTCCATGTGAGACCTTGTTCACCCCAGACTTCCCTGATTTCACTTTGTGCAAAACTAGATCTGGGAAGGCTCCCACACCAGTTGTTATGGTCTGAATGTGTGTCCCCCCGAAATTCATATATAGAAATCTTAGCCCCCAATGTGATGGTCTTAGGAAGTAACGTCTTTCAGAACTGATTAGGTCTTAGAGGGTGGAGTGCTCATGAATGGGATTAGTACCCTTATAAAAGAGATCTCAGAGAGCTCCCTAGCCCCTTCTGCCACGCAAGCACACAGCAAGAAGGCACCATCTATGAACAAGAAAACAGGTCCTCAGCAGACACCAAATCTGTTACACCTGGGTATCAGACTTCCCAGCCTCCAGAACTGTGAGAGATAAAAGTATGCTGCTTACAAGCCACCCAATCTATGGTATTCTGCTATAGCAGCATGAACAGACTAAGACACCAGCCAATGCACTTGTTCTTATTGCTCCATGAGAGGAACTATAGGTCTTGCCATCTGAGCCCACCACAGAAGGTGTAGAAAATTCTGCTTTGTTTGCTCTGTCTGAGCTTTACAGCCATGGGCATTTTATTTCCCTTTGGAGACATCCTGCACCCATTTTTGACCTTTACTGCACTTCCCCACATATGAGGTTCCAGAAGCTATGGTTCCATCAAAGATGGCATTTGCATTTCCATTTGTTCCATTTGTTGCTTCAGGATCATTTCCAAAAGGAGAAAAGAGAAACACTCTCTACTCTGTTACTAGAGTTCCCTGAGCCAGGCGTCAAACCCTGGTCATTCAGCTCCAAATTCAGAATGTTTCCTGCTGCTCCATATGAGTCATTGACATGAACCAAGGGTCAGCAACCTTTTTCCATAAAGGTCCAGAGAATAAATACAGGGCCACACTGTCTCAACTACCGTCACAACTACTCAACCCTGCTGTTGTAGTGTGAAAGTAGCCACAGGCAATACCTAAACACATAGGTGTGACTGCATCTTCATTTAAACTTTATTCACAAAAACAGGAGGTGGGTCAGATTAGCATGTGGGCCATAGTTTACCAACCCTTATATAGACTATAAAGCTGAGGTCCAAATGCCCAGTTGTCTTTGACTAACTTGGTTCACAGATGGGCTTTGACCCAAATGATGTTTACACATTGCCAAGTGAACATTTCAATATTAAAAGATTCAACATGTAGACCTGAATTTCTGATTTCTCTCCAGAAATTGTAAGAGCTGTCCAATGCAGAATCCCACAAGGCTATGCTTGCCAGCACGCCACAGTCCCCACCACTCCCTGATGCATGGTTGGACTGTTACTTTGCCACTCTCAGCGTCATGGTGCACTGTGTCTTGCTTATACATTTTGTACTTTGCTCACTGATATGACCTTCCTGGTTTCTTTAGGCATCCAAGTTTTAAAAACCACCGAAGCAAAGGACAAGGATCTTGCTCCATTTCTTCAACAAAGCTTGGTAAAGGGCTAGGCTGAACACAAGAAATACAACTGTAATTGCTCAGAAGTAAACTGCATCTCTGGCCTCAGACATCCCTTCAACAACACAGGATCTGAGACAGAAGGCCTGGCAAGTCCTTTTGTAGTTGTCTGATTCAACTGTTTCATTTTAAAGATGGGGGAACTACAGCCAGAGCGGGGAGTGGCTTGTCCAGAATTAAGAGGAAGTTAGGGACAGAGCTCTTATCAAATGTCACCTAATCCAGGACTCTGTCACTTCTAAATCCTCTAGGCCCTGCTTCAAAACTGAGCTTAATCTAGGTAGAGTCATGTCCCTTACTATCTGTTTTCTACATTGACTAGAATGTACTTTTAAAGACTCACGAATATGCTCAGGGACTCAGTGCACAGGAAAGGTACAGCGGCCAACAGTATGCAGTTATTGTCTCTTAACTGCCTATAGAAATGACAAGTGTCACTCAAATTGTGAAAAGAAATCTTTGTCCCCACAATGACAACACTGTCTCCACTGTGTGTTCTTTCAGACCTAATCTCATTCAATCCTCAACACCCCTGTGTAGATGCATGGCCTCTGTTTTTACGTGCATCGGCTGCTGTCTCATCATAATGGAACCAACTACAGGCCTTAGAAGGGAGGGGATAGAAATATATTAGCTTGTTTTTATTCCTTCAGTCTTCTGGATCAATCCCAAACCCGTGGGGCTGCTGGCTTACTTTCAGTTTTACCAGGTTTTCTGGAGGGCAAAGAAGAGTGGTTTCATGGGTCTTTGCCAGAGTTCTCATAAAACCTTCTCCTTCATGTCCTTTTTCATATCAGGCAACTGGAATGATAGTCCTGAGTCACAGCCCTATTACAGCAGTATCTGGTCTGCATTTAACAACCCCACTCACCAT
Organism: Homo sapiens; assembly: GCF_000001405.40. Taxonomy (NCBI): domain Eukaryota; kingdom Metazoa; phylum Chordata; class Mammalia; order Primates; family Hominidae; genus Homo; species Homo sapiens. The sequence continues at coordinate 6,438,178 of NC_000004.12, forward strand.
CGTACAGTTACTATGACCATTGCCTTTGCAAAGTAGGTCGTATGCAATTTGTACATAGGGGAATGATGTCAGTATAATGTAAAAGTTAGGTTGGTTCAAACGCAGCCTTTCTCAGTGTGTTAATGTTTTGTGCCAGCCAGAGGAAGCAACTGAATGCAAAATACACTAATGGCTGAACATCAAGCCTCAAAGGAATGTGGCCCAAGAGAATAGACTCATTCCCTGCGCACCTACCTCTTAGCTCAGTTTGGAAGAGTTTGGTGGACGGGTCTCCCTCTGTACCCAGGCCATGTCCCAGCCATAATTCAGCTCCCTCCCTTTCAGCCCCTTCCATTAAATGACCTTCACTTTTTCCTTCAAGATAAGATTGTATAATGGTTGGAATGTTTCTTTAACAGGAATTAATATGTTTTTCTTTCATTGTGCCAGATTTTTCTAAAACTTAATATTTTTATGAGTGTCTGGTGACACACTGCATAGACTTCCAGTCATCTGTCCCAACCCCATTCTGTCCATCAGCTCTGATGTCATTTGTTTGGGATTTTGCAGAATGAGAAGTTTCTCAGGATGTCTCTATTTCATTAGAGCAGAAACACCTGCGCTTGTCTTTGGTTACTTCTATTTTTGGCCTGATTTGCTGGTTTTCCATTTATGGTAGAGGGCCAACATTTAAAGAAACCTATTAGGTGAATAATACATGAGTGGTATCCAGGTGTTCCCTGACACAGTGCGGGCACAGAGCAGGAGACAGAGCATGATCAGATTGACCCAAGGACCTCAACACACACACGGCAGCTTCCATTTGGACAAAGGATCCTTTCTTATTGAATCTCTGAACAGTGCCAGAGATGTGGAAGAAACCCAGTAAGTGTTACCTGATACTATTACCACACCTATTCCTAGAATAGGCAAGAATGAAATATATAGGATGTTTCCCCTCTAGAAACAGGTAGAAGAGATACACAGCAATGCTCACAAGCAATTGCAAAAGCAGTTCAAATACATTTGCTCTCCATTAACACTGCACATGCAATGGTTTGCCAGTATCAGCAGAAATGACTAATTACTCTAGTCTGAAGCCCAAAAAGATAAAGCATTAGATTTATCATAAATGCAAGGCTGCACACTCTTGTAGAAATGACTCCTTCTGCAGTTTGTGACGTGCACTGATTTATGACACTACATTCATACGGGGGTGCTTTTCCAGTTTCTAATGCTCTAAATGAGACACGGATTAAAAGGAAAACTAGAAATCTAACTTTAGCGTGATTCAAAATAGCTCATTTCCATCCCAGAAGAGGCAGAGATGAAAAGGCTCTTTCCTCTCATTTTCTTCTAAATTAGGGAGACATGATCTGGGCTGATGGATGGCTCTGGTCAGTACCACTCACAGCCAGGCCCTGGGAGCAGCCCCTCCCGCTTCGTCTCCTAGAAAGTCTGCTCTTCTCCTCTGCTCTTCTGCCTCCAGTCCACCCCCATCTCATCCACTCTCCCCACCATGAACAGAGAGGTCTTCCTAAACTAAAGATCTAACCACATCACACTCAGACATACATACTTCTCTGTTGAATGGCTGTATTTTCAGCATCAAGTCCAAGTGCCTGGACATGACACTCTCAGGAGTCCTTACCAACCAAGTCCACACTTCTGACCCAAACTCAACCAGCTGGAGCTTAGCCCACCCCATGCTATTTGCTGCCTCTTGCAACACCATTCCTTTTCAGGACCTTTAGGTGCCAACCCTCCACTCCACCTGCCCTACGTCTTCACTTCACTGCGTAGAAAACTCTTGCTAAGCTCTTAAAACCACCTCAAGGAACAGCTCCCCTGGGGAGCTTCCCTGACACCTCCACCGTTCCCCATCCCTCCATCACTACATACAGGTCTCACAGGCTGGGTGGCCCATCTTTTCCCAGAATTTGTCAAAATGACATTATGGTTGTCTTTCTGTCCACCTCTATCTCCCTTCACATGGGTATGACCATAGGGACCAAGCCATCTCTAGATCCCCAAGGCCTGGCATGGAATCAGCAATCAACTGAGATACATACATGTTGGATGCGTGCGCAGATGGACAGATGAGTACATGTTGCATGAATTCATTTTCTATTTAAGTTATCAGAAAAGAGTTCTAACCTTTAGAGTTTTGTATCTGAATGATCAGTTATCTGTCTCAGCAAGCTCAGGTCAGACTCCCAATCCCATGAGCAGGAAAACCAGAAACAGGGAAACTCAGAGTCCCCTGGGGCCAACAACTCACAGGGCAGGTGTTGGGGGCTCTTAGCAACCTCTAAGGGAGGCCCAAGCTCCCTCAGCACCATGGCACTGACCAGAGGCTTTCAGCAGTGGGGACACAGAGAGATGTAACATGCTGGCTCCGTAAACGCCAGCAGGCTGGTCTCTGGACCCAACCAATTGGGAGACCCAAGATGATGGACCCTGGCAGCCTTGGTGCTGTCTGTGGTGCTTACTTCTGGCCCCCGGTTTGCTGTGGCCTCAGCACCTCCCTCCCTGACTGGCACGTCTCAGAGCCTCCTGGCATAGCTGATGGACGCCGCCTGAGTCTGTATCTCACCATGTTTCTCCTAGTGCCTCAACACCTTTGCTGCCCTCTGCTAGGCTGGGTTCTCCAGAAGCAGACCCTGAGGCCAACATTTTTCTGGAAGTGATTAGGAAGTGTTGCTGGGAAAGCCAGGAAGGGTGTAGGGAAGTGGGGCCAGGACATGAAGGAGGCCAAGTGGGGTGTGATAACAGGAAAAATCTCAAGGAGTGCGACTTGAGCTCAGTCCCATGGGAGCTCTGGGGACAGTGTAGGTCCCATCTCAAAGTGTCCTGATCAGGAGGGAGGGAGCTGGGGTATTTATACCACTGCACCTGTCAGTGACTGGGTGAGGGCTGACTCTGGCAGAGGACATGAGTTTCCAGTAACCTCCAGCTCTGCAGGTGCACAGGAAAAGGGGGTTCCAGCAGCCTGAGGGAAGCCGCCAACAGGGAACCTCAGTGCAGGCTCTGGAAAAAAGCACCTCAGGGCCCTCATGCATGAAAACACTAAAGTGATTAGGGAATCTCAACATTGCTACAGCCCCTCCCTCCAAACTCCTCCCTTCAAGCCCCTCCACACCGACACCACAGTGACCCTTCTAAACCCAACTCTGGTCCCTCACTCCATGGCTTAAAGCCCTTCCTGGCCCCTCCAGCTGCAGGGGAGGAGCCACGCTCCTCAGCCCGCCCCATGAGCCCCATGGGGCCTCCATCACCTGCAGCCTCCCTGGTTCCCAGCCTGCAAGTCACAGTCTTGCCCTCCTGAGCTGCCACCAGTCCCCACACACGAGCACTCTCTCTCCACCTCGCCTCTGTTCAGGCTGTGACCTCTTCCTGGACAGCCCTTCCCTGGCGGATGGTTCCAGCATCACCTTCTGCTCTGTACGTGTCACCTGCAGGACACAGCCAGGGCTCTACCCTCATCCATGCCCAGATCCGAGGCCTCTGCTCCTCTCATGACTGCCCCAGTGAGGGGCAAAGGAGCCTTAAAGGTGAACTTGATAAGGAATAGAGGGGTGGTGCTGTAGAAAGGAGGGGATGGGGCCCAGCCACACACATGCAACACGATGGCCCCACTCTTCACTGTGGGTCTCTGAGCAAGCACTGACCCTTGAGTCTCAGTCCTTCATCTGTATTACTGGGTATGGCCCCCCAGCACTGCGGTCAAAATTAAATGCCTGGGGCATGGCAGCTGTTCACCACCGGCCATTCCCTTCCTTCTCCGCCCTACTCCTGCAGCATATCCCACTGCATAGTGGAAGGCTCCTGACCACCTGGGTCAAGCCTAGGACACAGCCCCATCAAAGCCAAACGGTGTCCGTGGGTGGGGGAAGGCAGCCAGCAGAGAGGACCGTCTCACCCTGGAATCCACCTGCTCTTTGATCTGGAAATGGCCAGTGCCTTGGGTGGACCCAGGATGAGGACTCTGTGGCCTGATCTATGGGAAGGCCACCAGACTGTGTCCAATGTGCTGTCTCAGCACACAGGCCAGGTTTCCAGTGGCTGGCCTGCAGCTCCCCACTATCTGCACCCCCAGCAGCAGGCCTGGCCTCCCCTCCCAGCCGTGGGCTGATTCTGCCCAGAGAGGGGCATCAGCTCTGCCCGCTCTCAGCAGGAGGTGGGTGAGTGGCCAGAGGCCTGGGCTTAGGAACAATGTACTTGGACCCAGTGGAACCCACACAGAGAAGGGAAAACTGCCCTTGGCCACGTGCTTCAGTCCGTGGGGCCACCAAGCCGTGACTGTGGTGGTCGGTGGACTGATCATTCAGTCCAGTTTAGTTTGATGGTTTCAGGCCCCATTTCCTACCACAAATAGCATGGCCCCAAGGGCTGGGAGAGGCGACAAGGTGACACCAGTGATGATTATGGGAATAATCACAGGCACCAAGAGGAACTGAGCACTTCCTGCGTACCAGGCACTCACTCCGTGTTTTATATGAATTAACTCACTTAAGTTCCAACACCCCTAGGGTGTGGGGTACAGTTTCAGTCTCCCCATTTCATAGATGAAGGAACTGAGGCATGGAGAGGTTACGCAACTCACCCCAGGCCACACAGCTAGCAAGGTGAGGAGTGGGGCTTTGAAGGCAGGAATTCTGACTCCAGAGTCCATGCTCATACCACAGCCCCAGCACCGAGCAGCTAGTGGCTGCACAGCAGTGGGACGCTCTGCGTGATGAGTTCTGGGTCCCACAAGTCGCCCAAGGGGGGCACCCATTCCCCCCATCACAGCTAAGGAGACTGAAGCTTGGAGATCTTGCGTGACTTTCCCGACCTAAATGACTACTTCACAGCCTCCCTGCTCGGTGACTACTGCCCACCTCCCATTTCCGTCTGCTGTGGGAAGCCCTGTTTTCCACCCCAGGAACCTGGGAGAACCAAGCTCTACAGTGGCCTCAGTTTTTTTAAACCTCTGGGAGAGATGAGGCCCCTTCCCTCTCTCTCCTCGGCACCACTCTTGTTAGGATCCCCTCCAGCCTTCCAGGCAGGTGCCCGGCCGCCGCCTGGCAGGACTAATTCCACACATGCTCTGGCCCCATCAACCTTAATAGGATTAGTGTCATCTCTGAAAACTGAATTTGGCTTCTCCATCTTCCACCAGTTTCATTAGAAAGGTTTTCTAGGCAAAGCGCACTTTAGGATACACACAGGGTGCGCTCCAGAGGCAGGGTGCTGCGGGATGCCATGCAGACGCTGGGTAAAGCCCCAAGGCCGCAGAGGGACCTGGGTGTCCTCAGGCACTGGGCAGAGAAGCCAGACCACCCCGGCGTGAGTCACCCCCTTCCGTGGTACTTCTCAGAAGTCACTCTGCCGCAACATTCAGCTGGAACCTCAGCAGCCTGAGGCAAAGAACACTAGCCTGGGACTCAGGAAGCCCTGGGTTCAAGCCCCACCTATGCCACTTCCTGGCTGGGTGACTGTCACCAGTGACTCAGTCACTCTGAGCCTCGTGTTCCTGGTCCGTATAAACATGATGGCAATGCCCAGCTTGTAGGGCTGTGCTGAGGCTCTGAAAGATGCTGGGTGCTCAGCAAATGTATTCCCTCCCCACCCCACCGCCCCCCCGGAGTCCTTGCAGAGCATCTGGTCCAAGGGCTGCAAACAGATGGCTCCCGGTGCATCTTTTCTGGCTGTCTCAGCCCACACAGCCTCTCAGGTGCAGCAACGAAGCAAGTGCTAGGCAGCTCCAACACAGCAGCAGCCCAGCAGCCCAGCAGCCCAACCCTGGCCCATGTGTAGCCTCTTGCAGCCCCCTGACTGCGAGAGAGCTTGGAAACCCAACCAGGTCCAAACAACCCTGGCCCGTGAGTAGCCTCCTGCAGCCCTCTGCCCGTGACAGAGTTTGGGAACCCAAACAGGTCCAAATGCCTGATTAGGAGAGAGTGGACAGGTTAGAAACGCTATGGCCCACCCAGGACCACAGAATCGACAAGGATTGATGGGACAGACACTCACCATGTGCCTAACATGGCTAGAGGCAGTGGCCCCGAAAATGGAAATCAGATGGATAAATAGAACAAGGGTCCTTTGACACCATTACAGGAGGTCTGCTCCCGCGGAGATCAGGGAGGCCTGGGCCAGACAGGTAGGCCTGGTGGAGACAGGGATGGAGGGCCAGGCACCGTGACCACTGTTTTCATACCCATTTTCTTATTCAGTCTTCCTGACAACCCCAAAGCCTAGTCGTTACTTGTCCCATTTAACAGATAAGAAGACTGAGGCCCCAGATCCCCTGGATATTAAGGGAGGAATGAGGACTACTGGAAATTCCAAATACACTCTGCCACTCTCCGGGGTCCTCGCACAGCCCAGGTGTAAATCTCCCTGAGGTTTCTCAAAATGATCAGACCCCTTATTTCCTATTTTTCCCTACCCCACCACTTCAAAGACAGTAACTCTGCACTTCAGCAGGTCCTAAGCGGGGGCCCAGTTTCTTAATTTCTTTTAAGCCAACGAAGCTGCACATGGAGAGAGAATCATGAGACAAAAAGGCAAAGTGTCTTCACGCTTCCAAGCGATGCCTGGCCAGGCAGATGGCTCTACTCTCAGCAGTTTTCACTTTGACAGTGTAACAATCTGGATAGATCAGAGACATGTCCACTGGACACACAAGCAGGTGGCAGGGATCGTTTCCATGTGTTCACCTTCACATCCATGGCCCAGTGCATCCAAAAACCTCTCCAGCCTGGGCACAGTGGCTCACGCCTATAATCCCAGCACTTTGAGAGGCCAAGGCAGGTGGATCCCTTCAGCCTAGGGGTTCCAGATCAGTCTGGGCAACATGGTGAGACCCCAACTCTACAAAAAAAAAATACAAAAATTAGCCGGGTATGTTGGTGCCTGCCTGTAGTCCCAGCTACTCGGGAGGCTGAGGCAGGAGGACCGCTTGAGCCTGGGAGGCAGAGGTTACAGTGAGCTGAGATCACATCACTGCACTCCAGCCTAGGTGACAGAGTGAGACCCTGTCTCAACAAAAGCAAAATAAAAACAAAAAAAAAAACCCTCTCCCAAACTTTTTCAAGGTCATTCCTGGCAGTCTCTGCAACAGCTGAGAATATTCTAGACGCTTATGTTCACTATCTAGCTAAGACATGACCTGCCAGAATCATTTCCACACACATGTATAAGCAACCATGCATTTAATTAATCCAACTGGAACCAATTTAAGAGAATTTAGCCAAGTTTGCAAAAGGATAAGATGTCAAATGGATTTCAGGCTGTTTACCTGTTAATCAAATATTCAAAGAGCAAGTGACAGTGACTGCTCTCATCTCACACAAAGGCACAGCCTCATAGACAGACAGATGAGATTGCAAAGTTGAAGCTGTTTCTTTTCATGAAAAGGGAGTTTCAGCCAGGTGCTGTGGCCCATGCCTGTAATGCCAGCACTCTGGGAGGCCCCGGCAGGGGGATCACTTGAGTCTAGGAGTTTGAGGCTGCAGTGAGCTATGATGGCACCACGGTACTCTAGTCTGGGTGACAAGGAGAGACCCTGTCTCTAAATAAATAAATAAATAAATGGAGTTTCAAATGTATAACTTCACTAATGCAAGTGACCCAAGAGGTGCTTTCTAAGCAGGGAGGCCTGGCTCTAAATGTCTCACACCAACATGATGTTCTAAGGGAGGGCTGGGGTCCTCAGCCCTCTGCCCACAGTGTCGCAGAACATAACACAGGAGGACTCCTATCTCACATGGCCACATGGCCTGGAGACAAGCCCAAGGTTTCCCAGCTTAGGCGACTGCCCGGCACACCCTCCAAGGACCCTGAAAGCCAAGGCTTCCTGGTGCACATGGGTGTGGGCTGTGATTCACATCCTGGCTGAGTGACTCCAGTCACTTTACCTAATCCCTCTGTGCCTCAGTTTCCTCATCTGTGAAAAAGCCAGTAACAGTGGCACTTATCCTTATGGTCACGCTGGATATTAAAGTGCTCAGAACAGCACTTGATCCACATGAACCGCCTAGAACCACGTTCTGAGACTCTAGAACTCGGAGCTGCCCCTGCAGCGTCGTCAAACCACCCCCCACTTTTCAAAAGGGCTGAGCTTCCCTCCCCCACACCGACACACCCACAGACACCAAGCACAATTTGACTTGGGAGAGCATCGGACGTTTTCCAGTCGTAGCTTCCCACCCCCATCGAGGCTCATTTTAACTCCTGTATGGTTTTAACTCCACCTGCACTGCCAGGAGGGGCAGCCAGGCCACGGGGGGAACAGACGGATCCTTGCAAAGATCACGTTGCCTCCCTGAGCCTCAGTTTCCTCATCTGTACAACGGAGATGAATATCACTCTTCTCAAGGTGGCATAAAAATCAGGTAAGATTTCACACGGGAAAGCCCAGGACACACTGAAAAGCATGAGGCCCAGGCAGGGCTTGTAGGAACTGATGAATCTTGTCATCCTGGGGCACGTCTGCAGGCCTCCGAGTTCCCTGCCTCCAAGAACATGTCCATCAGCCATCAGCTGACTGGAAATACTGGTACACCTGCTCAGACTCCCCGCCAACGGCCCACTGTCTCCCTGCTTGATGGAATCCTCACCAAGCAGGCATGGCAGGCGCTGCTGTTACCATTCAGCAGATGACAAAAGGGAGGCTCAGAGAGGATACGGCAGCTCACAGCAGAATTCTTTTATAAAGCAAAGTGTCTGCTTGTAAAAAAAAAAAAACAAAACATGCTGGATGGAGGAGTGAGGGATAAATGTGAGCACTGCAACAGAGGCGAAGGGGTGCTGGGCTGATTCAGACCACGGTGCGGGGCAAGGTCTTGGCAGAGCAACAGCGGCTCAAAGCACAGAGGTCCTGCCAGGAGGTCCTGCCAGGAAGCTGTGGCTGGCAGCAGCCCAAGACAAAGACCTGCTAGAGAAAAGAGACCATGGGAAGGACCAGGCCTTGGGGGTCCCTGGGGAGCTGGCCTGGCTCTCACTCTCACCAAGGAGCCCCGGGGTCTTGAGCTGGGTAGAGAGGGTGGGAGCATGAAAGGGGAGCCAGCCACTCTCGGGTCGGTGCCTCCCACTCTGAGGAGGCCTGCGGTGCAGAGAAGGTCCCTCGCACCCTTCCGTGGGGACACGCTGCCACCTCAGCCAACTCCCATTATACAAGTGCTGGGAGGAACCTCCCACCCTCCCGTTTCCATGGAAATCCCCTTGAAATAACCCCATCTCGGGCTGTTGTTCTTCCCTGCGGAGGAAGAGCTCCGGATAAATGTGAGGGAGGAAGGCAGGGGCTCACTGACACCCAGAATGTTGTGGAAATGTGGATATTTCAAGGGCCCAGCGCCAGGTCTCCTAGCTCCCCACCCCCACCCCCACCCCACTCACATGCCAGCAAAGATGGTGACCTGACCTTTGTCCTCCTCCTTCCCCCTGCTTTAGGGGGGTTGCAAGAGACCATTTCCCTGGTGATTTAATGAAAAGGAGGAAACTGGCAACCACATCTGTAACAACATCCTTCCGTCGCCCTTTTGAGAAAGAGGCTCCAAGCTTGGCAGGGACACAGCCTGGGGTCAAAGTCAGGGTCTACCTCGTAGGAACAGCGTGACCTGCACAAGCCTCTGAACTTCTCGGGGTCTCCGTTTTCTCCCGTGCCTCAGCTACGGCTGGAGTAACAGCAGCGCAAGCACATCCCTGCGGGAACCACAACCCATCGAGGTCGCCAGCTCCTTTCCCACAGTGAGAATCGTATGCATCTGCCTAATCACCCTAAATGTGATAGGAAGTTTCTGGGATTCACTCAGTTATTCCTGATGGAAATATTCTCTGGGCCCTTTTTCAGGAAGCATAGGAGGAGCAGAGGCTCCTGGTACACCCCCGTGGGAGCCGCACTACGACCGGGGGATGCACAGCTGGCAAATGAGAAAACCCCGCACAGAGGAGCTTCCAGAGACCACCTGAGGGCGAGAAGAAAGATCGTCACGGCAGTCATTTATTGGGTGCGTTCTCTGTGCCAGACTCCGTCAAAGCCCTTTGCATCGTTTCCTCAGGTGGCTCTCACCACCGCTGCAGGATTTAAGAACTGTTTGATCCCTGCTTTACTGATGGGTACACTGGGCACAGGCTGGGCACAGTGGCTCACACCTGTAATCCCAGCACTTTGAGAGGCCAAGGCAGGTGGATCCCTTGGAGGTCACACGGAGAGGGGTATTGGAGCGGGATCCAGACCCAGGTCTCCTGACACTTGTCCTCAGCCCACTTAACAAGCTGCTCTGGGACCTTCCTGCCCCCACCAGGGCCGGCCCCACCTCCAGAGAGTTCCAAGCGGCTCCCAGGCAGACCCTCGAGGTCAGCCCGTCAAAACCACTACCATGCATCACTGGCCGAGGGGTGAGGAGGCCACCGCCATCTGGATCGCCCTTCTCTCCCTCCGTCTCAGGGCTGTTTCCTCACTCCCACTGCTGCCACACCCTGGAGTCCCCAGGGCCAGGCCCCACCCTCGTAACCCTCCTGACTACCCAGGGAGGTGAGGCCTCAGAAGCCCAGGGACATTCCCCGGGCCAAGGACTAGAATCGTCACCCGCAAGCCCCTTTCACCTGTGCCTGGCTGTCCTCCTCCCCCCAGTGAGCAAAGGAACCACAAGCCAATGGCCACCACCCCAAGGGGACGTGCTGCAATGAGCCACCTGCACGAAGGCTCACGGAGGTCCTGCTGAACTCCGGGCGGGGGCTGACCCCAGCAGGTGGGGGCAGTGCCCCTGCTGATGTGGCTTTAGTTCTCAACCAGCCAACCTCCATGCCCCAGAGCAGTGTTCCTTTGGGACCCAGGCCAGGTTCAGGCAAGCCTTGGGTGATGCTCGGCTCAGCGGCTGCATGGCTGGCAGGCACAGAGGAGGCCTCCAGAACCTGTCAGAAGGAAGGGCTAAAAACACATAGCCCCACGCAGGCATCACACACCCAACCACACCAAGTCCACGTAGAAGGCCCCATCCTCTGACTCTCCAAGGCCCACTCGTGGGATTTACCTTCAGATACACTGGCACAGCTGTGAATTCGCAGCACCGTGCGAAACGGGAAAAAAACAAAACTAGACACAACCTGATGTTGATCAACAGCCAATTGCATGAATCAACCGTGTTCTGTCCCAACAAGATGAGACCCCTGCGGCAGCTGCAGAGAACAGGCGCGTCTCTAAGTGCCCATTCCGAGAGAACTGCACTTTCACAGTGCACCTCCACATGCTCTCAATCTTGTTTACCCTATGAATGCATGACTTTAATTTTTAATAATAAAATGAGTTCATTTCCACTAAATATGTGCTGGAGAGGAGTGAAAACACAGAGCCATGCTGACGTGAGACATGCGGACCCCCGCCGCCGCCTGGCCCCTGTCGGGAGGGACTCCCGTGTCCTGTCGGCCATCCTCACCCCCACATCCTCACGTGGTTGCACAAAGCAGGCACGAGAAAGCAATATATTCAGCAGGAAAACAAATCTCTAAGTCCCCAAGCACCAGGTCCCCCAGGCAGTCCACGGGCCCCTGCCTGCCACCCTGGTCCCTGTCCCAAGAGTTCTGGAAAATGGGTTCCATCCCGCACAAGGGCCTGCTCTGAATGGCCAGAATCTTCTCTTCTCCTTTCACCCAAAGCCAAATGCTGCCAGGGTATGATTTCCAGAGAGACAGCCAGTCCTGGACAGAGGCACACGGTTCCCAGAGGAGGCTTCAAAACACCTCGCCAGAGAGGACTGAAAACAGCCCCACCCCAATCTGCTGGCAGAGGCTTCGGCGCCACCTCCTCTCCAGGCTTCCCCGGGAGCTGCCGAGCCCCATTTTTCTAGGATTCCCTCCTAATTCTCTTTCATCGAGTTGCCTGTCCTAGATAGCTTTGCGGGTTGCAGTTCCAGCCGCAAAATTAGCTCTGGGAGACACTGGGTATGGTGGAAATAGCATTGGCTTTGGAGTCAGACAAGGCTGGGGCCAAATCCCAATTCCAGCATCCCTGCCGGCTGTGCAGCCCTCGGCAAGAAGCCTGGCCTCTCTGGGCTTCAATTGTCTCATCTATGGGGTGGAGTGGGGGGGTTCAGCACCAACTGCAGGTGGTGGTCGAGATACAGGCTGGGGTGCTCTGGCTGGTATCTGGCGTCTCCTCCAGGCTGACAAATACAAGTACTGCCTTCCCCTCGCTGGTCCTCAGTGCCTCCACTTTAACCAGAACATGGGGTCTCTCACTTTATTGAGCAAATGGTTACCCAGCTCTTCATCTGGGTCACAGAAAAATCAAGCAACGGTTCAGCCTCACTCTCAAGATCACCAAGCACTGGAAGGAGAAGGAAGATGAGCCGCATGGTGGGTCAGCTCGGGGGGTTCCAGCCCCGACCATCAAGGCATCCAAGTGAATAATGAAGGACGGTGATAGGGGAGGGGCCTAAGGAACGCCAGGAGAGACCCCAGACACAGCACCCACCCAGGCAGCTGCCTGGAGCCCCAGAGGTGCACGGAGGTCAGTGCAGGCCTGAGCGAGGGATAGATTTGGTGTCTGCAGGCCTGGGTTAAAATCCTGGCCTACCCATTCCTGAGAGGTGAAACCCCCATTTCAGTTTCCTTCTCTGCCAACTGGAGACAACAATTCCATACCTGGGTAGGGGGTGGGGTCTGGAGACAGGTGGAGGCACCTCCGCCTGGCCCTGCCACCTGCCACATTGCATAGCTCCTTGCTCACGTGGGAAGCCGCTGTGCCCTTCCCACACCTCCATCGGCGGACACTTCAGCCCCACAGTCTGGAATGACTCAGGGACTCTCCCATTCTCTCCTGTATCCCTGGCAACACTCTCAGTGCCTAAGCATCACTGGCTCTAGTGAACATGTGTTGAATAAATTCACTTCTTCCAGGAAGCCCTCCTGGACGTGCCACCACCCAAGCTGGTCAGGCGATGCTCTGGGCAGCTCAGCCTATTGTCTCTTCCACCCGACACGGTACCATCACTGACCACATGTCCATCTCATCTGCTCTGCGGGCTCCTCAGGACACAGACCTTGTCAATCGTACCCACAGCCACATCCCCCAGTCCCAGCAAAGTGCCTGACACAGTGTGGGCTGGATCCGCTGTGGACTGTCCAGATGAGCCACTGTGCGACCCTGCCAACACTCCAGCCCCTGCCCTCCTGTAGCCCAGGCTTCTCGGCACGGCCCACAGCTTGCACCACTCTCTGGCTCTTTCCTAAACATCCCATGAGCCCCAACAAAATCCAGTTTCTTATTGTGACAAATTCCATCGAAAACATATTACAACTCAATGTGCTTTCCCTTCTGTTTCTTGCATGAGGTGGGGCAGGGGCAGGGAGGGTGATGGCAGCCAGCGCGGGCTGGGGTCTGCTTTGCCAGCTTCTCTCGGGGAGGGGACCTGGGTTATAAATCCATCCAGCCTGTGTTATGGAGAAGGTGCTGCAAGCTGATAGGTTTTTATAGCTGCCTATTTACAAAGACAAAGCATAATGAATGCTCAGCCACCCCAGGTTTGTGTGGAGGTTTGGGGATGGCCAGGGAGAGAGGACAAAGGAAACTCTTCCCATCTCCTTCCACCCTCCTCCTCCCGGCCTCAGTGCTCTGAGGGACCTGGTCAGGTTGTCTGGGGCCCAATAAATGACACCCCTATTCCTGTCTAAGTTTGAAACCCCCAAGAGAGAGAAAAGAGTTGGATCGGCAGAGCCAGGCAGATGGAGGGCTCCACGGAACCCTCACCCCCAAGAAGGGCCTGGCTATAGGACAAAGTGTGAACAGTGACACCACCCCAGAGCCAGGGATGCCCTCACCTGCTCCACCTGGCACAGGCAGTGTGGACCGAGCTGCAGGCCTGACCCATTATGCTTCCAACTTCTCCCAAACCCACAAATCACAGCACCCCTCCTCTGCCCCAGAGTGGCCTGTGTAAGTGTGGGGAGGTTGGGGAGGACAGGGCTGGGAGTGGGGTCCCAGCCCCAAGAGCCTGGACAGGAAGCAGGAGGGACCAACTGCCTTCTGCTTGTCAAATGTTGCTGCCAAACGGACACTGCCACCTCCTGCTAGCCTGGGGGCCATCTGTCCCTTCAGGGTGACACCGCAGGTTCCCATCAGCTCCAGATCCTGTGAACATTGGCAGTGGAGTCTAACCCTCAGGACACAGCTGGATTTTCCTCACTTCCCAGCTCCTGGGGCCCACCCCAGTCCACCCTCGTCCCCTCTCTCCACTCTTGGCTCACTGTCCTAGGTCTTTGTGGGATCCCGTCTGGGGCCTGGACCCTCACACCTGTGTGCTGCTTCCCTCAGCAGTCGCCCTTTCTTCCAGAGAAGACACTGGCATTTGCGGCCCCAAGATAGAGTCCCCATTTCACAGAAGAGGAAACTGAGGCCCAGAGGGCTGTGCGCCCTGCACCACCTTAGAAGGACACAGTAGCCCTAACCCCTAGGCTTTCAGCCGCTGCCCCAAATTATCACATGTCCTCCCACTGTCCCCATGTGGCCATGCCTATGTAGCCAGAGAAGCATCCCAGTTTGGGGTTTTGATGAGGGGGTCACCTGCTGAGCTGGTGCTATCCACAGGCTTATGTGGGGCTCACAGGGTGAGACCAGGGGACTCCCAGCCTACCCTGAGTGTTCCCAAGCCTGGAAGCAAAGTAGCCGACTGAGTTCTTGGCCCAAAGGCCACAGGGATGCTGGGGACCAGCTCTGTCCCACAGAGAATCTCGGCTCCGTGATCAGCAGGCTTACCTACTGCCTACTGTCTAGAAGGGCTGCCACCATGCCTGACTCCAGCTCCCCACGGCCACACTGCAGGCAGCCTGTGGTTGGTTAAAGGGCGAGGCTGATCAGGATAGAGCAGAACATCTTTCCCTGGGATGCTGAGAGCCAGGATGGATGCGTGTGGCTCCCTCTGCCCGCAGTCCCACTGCTCATCATAAAGATGAGCAGGTGCGGGGCCGTTCCTGAGCATCGGATACACCTAACGCCTCATCTCCATCCACCCTTGAAGGGACCCCCCCACAGAGGATATTCTTGTCTCTGGCTTAGAGCTGGAGATACGGAGTTGAGGGAGGGCCCACCGCAGGTCACAAACACCAGCAGTGACACAGGATGGTTGGCCCCAGGATGGCCAGAGTCCCTCTCCACCCTGAAGATGTAAAGGCAGCAGGGACAGTATGGGAGACAGATCCCCAAAGAGGAAGGAGCGGCGTCAGGACTTGCAGGAAGTATCCATGGCAACCCCCAGCCCCAGCCACCCCAGCTCTGCCTCCTCAGCTCGGGGAGACTTCCAGCAGCTCTATCCCATGGGCAAAGGCTGGAAACTGCCCACCCCACCCCACCCCAGGGGCAGACACATGGTGAGCTCTCACTGAATGGCAGGGCGGCTTCCTGTGCATCCATCATATTCACCGAGAATGGTCCCCCCGCACCAGTGCGGGCACGTGGTGTGCACCGGGTCTGGGCCCAGACCACCGGGGCTGTAATGGTTTCTCATAAAACTGCTTCTGCAAGGCTGAACAAACAAGATGATGGGGAGGTCGGTGTGTCCTTCTTGGAGTCAAGCCACACTGAATTAGCCAAGCAGAAAATTCAGCCCAGCTCACCTGTTTCTGCTCTGCACTCCTCCCTACTGCAGTGGCCCTGGCAAGAAGGCAAGCACAGCCCCACCGAGGGCCACGTTGGCTGATGTGGGCACCTGCAAGCCTCCTGTGGAGGCAGACGGCCAGAGGGGCGGTGGCAGGCTGCACCCCCACCCGGCCCTGTTTGTAAGAATAATTTCCACCCGGTGCACACCCAGGGCCACCGGTCTGCCTCACATCTAATCTACCCCTAAAGAAAGCTTTCACTCACCTCCTTTCCTCTGTGTTTAAATGAGCAAAAGTATGGGATGTTTTTGCATTTTTTAACAGGAAAATGGCATGGAGAGAGGGACCCGTTCTTCCTGTGACTGTTCAGGGGGACAAGAGGGTGTTGCTCAGGAGCGGGGCAGTGGCTCCAAGGTCAGACAGAGCCCAGTGGGGGTCTTGGCTCTGCCCAGGGCGTCTGTGGCACACCGTGTTTCCCAGGGAGGGCCAGAGCACAGTCTCCTATCCCATCTGCTTTTCTACCATGTAACCTGGCCCTTCCCACATGCAAAGGTTGAGTCCAACTGCCCTTCAACCTGGGCCGGCCTGTGACTTGCTTGAACTAAATGAAGGTGACACAATTGACACTGAGATGTCCCAGGGGTCAGGAAGGGCCAAGCAGCTTCCACCTGGGTATCTGGGGATACTTGATTCGGGAAAGCCAGCTGCCATCGAAGGAGTCCAACTGCCCTGAGACTGCACGCTGGAGAGGGGAGCCCCGCCTTCCAACTCTCCCCACCCCGCAGAAAATGTGTGAGTGAGACCATCTCAGTCCCCCCAGATCAGTCCACCCACCAGCTTGGAAGACTCATGGGTGGCCATTTAGAGCAGAAGGTTTGCCCAGCCAAGCTCTGCCCAAATTCCTGACTCACAGAATCCAGGAGACAGAATAAAATGGTTCTCATCACATCACTGAGCTCCAGAGTCATTTGTTAGGTGGTAATGGTACCTGTGGCACTCACTGTGTGGCCTTCGTCCTGGGACTCAACCTCTCTGAGGCTCAGCGTCCTGATGTGCAAACGCGATGTCATTCTCACCACCTCCCAGAGTGGACATAAAGCCCTAATGTGATCACCAACATGTCATTACACAGGAGCAGTCAAGAAATGGTAGCTTCCCTCCTCATCACCATCATCGCTATTATTTTGCCATGAAGACAAAATAGTTATGCCTGCAGAGATAGGTGGTGCACCACACGGCTCCTCCCTGGCACAGCCCAAGCCCCATCTCCTGTCAGACACCTATCAAGGGATAATGAACACAGCACAAGTCACCTAGTGCTGGAGCTGAAATCAATCCTTTGTTGTAAGCAAGAGACATAGAGACTGATGGGCTTGCTGTAATCTACAGATGACTCCAGAGCTGCGTTGCATTCGTGGACTTACTCTTCCAAAAATCACCCAAACAAAAATGTTTTGCCCAATTTGATTTTTACTCTACTAGACAACATCATATTCAAATCTTTATGCAAGCCCTTAAAAACACCTATAGCCCTACATCAAGAAATTGCATCCCTACCTGGACAGACACAAGAATAATCTGGAATACAGGACAATGGGCATTCATAAGAATGCTCATCCCATAAAGTTGGGGCAGTCGTTGTTCAGCAGTGGGAGAAGCTCTCTCTGTCCTCCACCTGCCACCATCTGCACCCCCAGCCTTCTAGTCACACTCCTGTGGTCTTGCATTGACCAAACACCATTCAAGGAGACCCAGCCTTCCTCCAGCACACTGGGCAGCTCCCAGCCTGCCTGAAAACCCTCTCCACCCCACAACGTTCACCTCCACTTCCCTTCCACTGCCCACCCTGGGCAACTGACTGGGGGCTTTCTCACCTCTGCTGGAAGTGCTCACACTCCCTCTGAGCCCCCTACTCTCCTTTCCAAACTCCCAGAGACTTTTGATGACTCTCAGTTCCCTCTCCCTCCCCTGCCTGGACAGATCACCACCACACCTGCCAGGATCTGCAAGACTGTAAGTGAACGCTCCACCAACCCTGAACACACCACGCCGTGCTGTGCCCATAATGTCCCTCCTGCCATGAATGTCGCCCCCTCCCCCTGCTGCCTACTGCTGTGGACCACCAACCACTGCTGCCCACAGCCTTGCATCTCTGACCACCTGCTCCCAGGCTGCAACGGGCCCACTGCATCCCTGCCCCTCACACCGGATCACAGCCATCTGTTATGTCTCCCTCATTCCAGAAATCCTGGGGGGGGGGAGCTGCGCCCTATTCCTTCTTCCTGAATCCCCCTACCCCACCCACACACCTGTTATAGACAATCAACACTAATCGGATCAATGAATCCATAAATAGTTATTGAATGAATAATAATACCTACATCGTGAAGTATTATGCAGCCAATAAAAATTGTTAACTCAGAGTGCAGGATGATCTGGGAAAATGTTGACAGTGCATTTAATATTTTAAAAGACACAAAACATAGTACAATCTGCAGGGGGTAGTTAGAAGGAAATGCAACAAAATGTGAGCAGTGTTTCTGGAGTAGTGAAATGAAGGATGTTATTTCCCCCCCCCCCCTTTATTCTACTGTCTACACGTTCAAACGTTTCTGTAATGAAATAAAATAGAGAAATAAAATTAAGATCTTCTCAAAAAGAGCACCTTAACATACACACAACTTAGCTCGCAGAGTCTGACGATATGGGACACATTATCATGATGGATTATATTTTCACAGCTTCAATAAAGAGCCTTACCTCTCCTTGGGGCCATAAAATATTCAGGGCTGTTTTTATCACCTTTCACATTGAAAGTCGGCGTAGGAACCACATCATTCAGCCCCTCGCTCCTTCGGTCAGTTCATTCCATGATGGATTGCTCCCGAAGCAGACAGGCTGGCTGGAGGGCTGCACACTGAACGCAGTGGAGGGGGAGCTCTGGGTGCCCCTCACGGTGAACCACGGGCTGCCTTCCCACTTCCACAGTGAGGAATTCCCATGATTTAATATTCTTGAGCTGCCGCCTTTAATAAGGGGATATTGAATGCAATCCCCCAGCCAGGGTTTGAAACATCACTGTGGCCTGGCCACGTGGAGGGCCCATGCGGTGACCACTCTGACCACTTGGAATGAGTGCAGGCAGTCCTTGCTGTACGGGTGGTGTGGATCCATAAAAATGAGCATGAGCCAGGTGCGGTGGCTTGCGCCTATAATTCCAGCACTTTGGGAGGCTAAGGCGGGCAGATCACCTGAGGTCAGGAGTTCAAGATCAGCTTGACCAACATGGTTGAAATTCCGTCTCTACTAAAAATACAAAAATTAGCCAGATGCCGTGGCAGGCACCTGTAATCCCAGCTACTCAGGAGGCTGAGGCAGGAGAATTGCTTGAACCAGGAGACAGAAGTTGCAGTGAGCTGACATGACACCACTGTACCCCGACCTGGGCGACAGAGCGAGACTCCATCTCAAAAAAAAAAAAAAAAAAAATAGAGCATGAAAGCTAAAACCATTTAAAGCCATCCTAATAATCAATGAGGAAATTACAATTCTTCTGTGGCCTTTAAAATTTTTTGTCAAGACATTAAAAAGTCTTTTATGGACAGTTACAAATGTCCATAGGGAATGCACTGGGAATTTTTTTTTCTTTTTGAGACAGGGTCTGGCTCTGTCACCCAGGCTGGAGTACAGTGGTGCAATCATAGCTCACTGCAGCCTCAACCTCCTGGGTTCAAGTGATCCTCCAGCCTCAGCCTCCTGAGTAGCTGGGACTGCAGGTACATGCCACCATCCTTGGCTAATTTTTTTTTATTTTTTGAAGAGACAGGGTCTCACTATATTGCCCAGGCTGGTCTCGAACTCCTGGGCTCAAGCGATCCTCCCACCTCAGCCTCCCAAAGTGCTTGGATTACAGGTGTGAGCCACAATGCCCAACCGGGAAAGTTTTTTTAAAATAGTACAACTAATATTTATTTGGTACAATGTAATTTAAAGCATCAGAAACATTGAGATGTCAAGTGCTTTATTTCTTTGTAAAAGACATATGGAGAGAGTTTGCACAGTGCTCGCTACTGTTATTGTATACCTTACGATACCAAAAAAGCACCCTTTCTATGCTTTGCAGAATTATCTTTCTCCAGACCAGCTTCCAAGATTTTATCCTTTGCACTTTCAACACTGTGAAATATCTTCAAGAGTTCCTTTAACGTTTTTCCCAGCCTCGCTTCCTCTGGGACATCTCCATGCTTTGGGGCACAACTCCTTTCCTGGTTTACATCAGTGTGTTCACCTTCACTCAACTCCTCTGGCTGCATATAAGAGCTTCTTGAAGGGTAGCTTCAGCTTCCCAAGATCATGGATTTCTTCTATGACTCCATTTACCTCCAATTTAAATTTCACTTCCAGCATTAACATCTTTCACATCTCTGCTGAGCATCATCTTTGCTGGCCAATTCCTTCTTTCAGTGATCTGTTTGTGTAAAACATCATGCAGGCTCATCACTGGGAGTGGCTTAGTCTGTTCAGGCTGCTATAACAAAATATCATAGACCGGGTGGCTTATAAACAACAAGCATTTATTCCTCACAATTCTGGAGGCTGGAAGTCCAAGATCAAGGCACAGCAGATTTGGTGTCCACTGAGGTCCAACTTCCTGACTCTCAAACAGTGCCTTCTCGCTGCGTCCTCACATGACAGAAGGGCAAGGGAGCTCTCTAAGGTCTTTTATAAGGGCACTAATCCCACCCATGAGGGCTCCACCCTCACAACCTCATCACTCCCAAAGTCCCCACCTTTTAAATACCCTCACATTGGGGGTCTGGATTTCAACCTGTGAATTTGGAGGGGGTACTTAAACATTCAGATCATAGCAGGAAGGCAAGGAGGCAGCACAACTACATGCTTTGCTGTCTGTGCATGAACTAACAGGTGTGTACAAGCAATCAGCAATGGCCTTTGGAAGATAGCAGGTGCTGAGCTGGCAGGGTGCAGCGGAAGCAGGCATGACCCAGCAGGCATGGTGTCTACTGACACGTTGTGGGATGGGACCCTGGGCTATGTTTCAGAAAGGCCTGGATTCCTGTCCTGTCTCATGATCTGAGCTGGGTCACCTCTCATTGCTGGGGCTGGTTTCCCATGTCTGTCAGTTATAAGCAACAGAGATTGACCCAGGCTAACACAAGCAAAGAAGGAAGTTACCGGAAGGCTCTGAGGGATCCACAGAATCATGGAGAGAACAGAACATCTAGACAAGTAGCCTGAGAAGGAGGAGGACCAGGAATTCAATGTCAGGAATCCATGACTCTTCCAGTTACCCACTGCTGTGTAACAAAGCACTTCAAAACTTAATGGCTTCAAGCAGAAACCATTTATTTGGTTCATGAATCTGCAGTTTGGGTAGATCTTGGTGGGAATGGCTCATCTCTGTTCCATATGGATGGCTTGCCTGAGGGCTGGAGGCTCTACCTGTAAGATGGCTCACTCACCTGCTGGCAAGGTGGTGCTGGATATTAGGCAGGCAGCTCAACCAGGACCTTGGTTCCTCTCTGCATGTGCCTCTCCACAAACTGCTTGGGCTTCCTCACAATATGGTGGCTGGCTCCAAGGCAGAAGCACATGACCTATTTTTTACTTAGCCTCCAAAGCTACACGGTGTCACCTCCTCCATATTGTTGGTTCTTCTCATGATTGTGGAATGGGAGATCCATGCTCAGCAGGACAAGAGTCATGACATCTAACCACATAAAATCAATGCTACCAGAAACAACAAACCAAGGGTCAGTGTTTGCAAGAGAGATGACAATTACAGTAGAGAAACAGGCCAAGAACGGTGCACAAAAAAACTTACAATTGAATATATGCCATGGTCAATAAATATAATAAAGGAAGTTCAATCTCACTGAAAAATGCTTTAAAAGAACACAGCCTATAATGCCAGCTTCTTGGGAGACTGAGAGACAAGAATTGCTTGAGCCTGGGAGGCAGAGGTTGCAGTGAGCCAAGATCACGACACTGCACTCCAGCCTGACCAACAGAGCAAGCCTCTGTCACACACACACAAAAAAACAGCAATTTTTACCATAATATTGGCAAATATTAAATATGTTGGATCTAGTCGCCACTAGCAATGCTCTGGGGAAAGGGAGTTGTTAGTACCAAGTTTGGTCATCAGGAAAAGTTGACATTAGATGAAGATACTTCAGAAAGACCAAACTCTCAGAAGCAGCCATTCCACACCCTAGGGAAATAACCAAATATGCACGCAAAAAGGTGCAAAGATGCCCTCACAACACTGCTCATGATCCTAAACCAACCATAACTTCTGATACCCACCAGCATGGAACTCTTTAAAATACATAGAAGAAGCATGTGACTGATATTACCAATGATGACGGGTGCTTTGGGCTGAAATGTGCCCCCTCCCCAAGATTCCTTTGTTGAAGTCCTAACCCCTAGAACCTCAAAATGTGACTGTGTTTGACAAAAAGGACCTTTAACAAGGTGACGAAGGTAAAATGCAGTCATATGGATGAGCCCTAACTCAATATGCCTGGTGTCCCTCTAAGGACACAGACACACACAGGAAAGACCATGTGAAGACACAGTAGGGAGATGTTCATCTATAAGCCAAGGAGAGGGGCCTCAGAAGGAATCAACCCTGCCAACACCTTGATCTTGGACTCCCAAGCTCTAGCACTGTGAGGCGGTAAGTCTCTGTTGTTTCAACTGCCCGGTATGTGGCACTGTGTTATAGAAGTCCCAGCAAGCTAAGAAAATGGGCTGTGTTATTTTCTAAGCTAGAAAGCTCCCATATCATTAAGAGAAAATTTTAAAGATTACAAAATAGGATACGCACACAGTAGATGCTCAAAAACCATCTTTCAGTGAATAAAAAAATGTAGGAATATATATATACCTAGATAGTATGTATACCCATAGGCAAAAACACATATACCAAAATATTTTCAGTGGTAGGATTTTCTTTTCCTCCTTTTCTCTTTCTAAATTTTCTGAACTTTTTGCTATGACTACATATGTTTTTTGTAGTAAGACAGCCAATAGAAATCAAAATACTTTCAAACAAAGGGAAATGCCCCATCTCCATCTGGTTCCACAATGTCAATAGGATACAATCCAAACTCCTTATCTCGGCATTTGAAGCCTTTCACAAACAGTCCTGCCTCCCACTTCCCATCCCGCTCCAGCTCCTCTCCCACTCCACCCCACCCCACACACATCCTCTAAATCTCAGTGGCCCACAGACCCCTCTCTACACAGGATGCCCTCTCCCAAGACACCAGCCTTTACCCCTGCTGCAGCCGAAGCCCGGAATCCCTCTCCTACCTGATCCACCTGGGCATCACCTATTTGGCTTTGCAGACTCAGCTCAGACATCGCCTCTCCCAGGAAGGCGTCCCTGACCTCCTAGCCACCGCATGACTCTGGACTCTGCATCTCACAGCACCGTGCACGTGTGGACACTGAAGCAGGGAGAGGGGAGGGTCAGGGGTTGAGTGAGGGTGTCTCCAGCACAGGATTCTTAGTAGGGTTTTTTGGACTGAGAATGTAAAGGTTTGTTTTGTGGGGTCATGTGGCAAAGATGGCAAGACATCCACCAAGATGCAGGTTCTTCCCACTGCAGAGTAGCCACTGGGCTGCCCAGCCAGGGACTACATTTCCTAGAGCCCCTTGCATTAGGTGGGGCCATGTGACTAGCTCTGGCCAATGGAATGTGAGGGAAGTCACAAGTGCCATGTCTGGGCCAAAGTGTTTAAGGAGGGAGTGCACCTTCCCCATACCCTCTTCCCCGGAGAATGGAGAGGACATGGGAGCTGACAGATGAGAAGGGTCTGGAGCCCCGCATCACTCTGTGGAAGAGACTCCTGGGCCAACTGGGATCATCCACAATGAACTGTTACAAAGGGATAAACTTCTATGACATCAAGCCCCTGGAATGTGGGGATTTCTTTGTAACTGGTATTAATCAGAGTAACAAACTGTCTTCAGCATCCAGACTTCCCAAGAGAACATCCCTCTTCCCTCAGAAAGTGCTGGTCCTGCTGTATGTAGTGACCAGCTGAGGGGTGTCTCCCCTACAGAAAGTGAGCACTGTGTGGGCAGGCGGTGGCTACCCCAGTTCCTGCCACATCCCCATCATGGGGGTAAGACAGGGACCCACAGGCACCAGGCCCACGGAGCACGTGGCATGCACCATCTCATTCAACACCCACCACATCCCAGAGAGGATGGTGCAGCCACGCTCACCCCCAGCTCAGATGTGGTCACCCAGGCACGGCCTGGCTGGACAACTTGCCCAAGATCACTCAGCCAGGGAGTGGCGAGGGCACCACTCTGCAGAAAGGGGTCCTGGAGGAGAGAGGGGCAGCCCCAAGGCCGATGCCCAGGTCCCAGCAACCACCTCTCAGCCTTCCAGACCCACAGGGCAAATGGAATCCAGGCACAAATTAGGGACAGTGGGAGTGACACTGTAATCTCTAAAATAATAATGAAGGCAGATTATCTGAGGTCAGGAGTTCAAGACCAGCCTGACCAACATGGTGAAACCCCGTCTCTACTAAAAATACAAAAATTAGTCGGGCGTGGTGGTGGGCACCTGTATGTAGTCCCAGCTGCTCAGGATGCTGAGGCAGGAGAATCACTTGAACCCGGGAGGCGGGGGTTTCAGTGAGCCAAGATCACGCCATTGTACTCCAGCCTGGGCGACAGAGTGAAACTCCGTCTTAAAAAAAATAAAATAAAATAATAACAAATGTCTTCAACAAGTTGGTAGCCTGAAAAGGGGATGGAGGCTGAGTCTAGGTCAGAAAAGACAAGAGACAGAACAGCCAAACGCAGGTGCAGGACTTTGGATCCTGGGCCAAACCACCCAACCATAAGAGACATTTCTCAGACAACTGGGGACGTTCATAAAATGGACCAGAATTTAGGTAACAAAGAATCAGGATATGTTTTGTGAGGTGGGATAACAGCACTGGGCTACAAGAAATGCCCTCAACACTCAGAGATGCCTGCAGATGGAACGGGGAAATGACAGGAGTCTTGGATTTGCCTAAAAATTCTTCATCCAAAAGCAGGGGAGAGTAAATGAAGGAAGTACAGCAAGATCTTGATAGATTGGAAGCAGTTCAATAGACTATTTTCTCACAAATGCAAAGAAGTTTCTCCTCTTGTAACAGTTGGCCAGCAGTCCCTTCCACAGAGTGATGAGGGGCTCCAGGGAGCGGCATCTCTCCCTTCTCTGGGACAGAGGGAGGGGGGAAGGTGCACTCCCTTCTTAAACACTTTGGCCCAGAAGTGGCACAAATTTGAAAGTTTGCATCAAAACTTTTTTGAAATTGTAAAAAAACATTCAGAAGCTAATCATGATCATGAAAGAGCTCCCTTTTATTGAGATTAACCTACAGAGTGTGCACTATTTCATTCAATTCTGCCTGAAAGCCTTGCTGGTTGGGAGCTCGCTCTCTCTCTGCTTCATAGATGGGGAAATTGCCCAGGGGATGAAGAAGCTGCCAAGGGCACGGCAGCTGTGCCAGACCCAGAGCACAGGCCTGGGAGCCCAAGCCCAGGTCCAGCCTCCAGCAGCAACAGTCCTGGTCCTGAGGAGGGGTGGGGGTGGGGCTGCAGGAGGCCAGGCCAGCCTGGAGGAGGCCCTTGGCCTGCAGTTGGAGATCCCATCCCTGCTTGCGGCAGCCCACACCCCAGCTGGGAACCTCTGAGCAGCCTTTGTTCTGCCTCAATGGGACATTCAGCCCTGGGTTCTGGAGGACAATGGCCCCCACTGTGCAAGGAGGGCAGTGCCTGTCCTGGGCAGCACAGGGGCCCCCAGGTGTGTCCTGCTCCCGGGCCGGCTGGCAACTAACTAACTGCCTCCTGGTCTCAAGCAGAGGAGCTGGACACTGTCAGGGGACAAGTGTTATGCCACTTTGCACACACCGTTCCTCCTGCCCAGAATGCGCTAGAATACCATGTCCCAGCACATCATCACCCCCCAACCTGGAAATGCCACCTGCCCTTCAGTCCCTGGACCACGTGTCCAATTGTGGCCTCTGCCACTGCCATCTACCTGTGCCGTGAAGGGGGTCTCTCCTCCTGCTGAACCCTCTCGATTGCCTTTCATCGCAACACAGATAGCAAGAGCACCAAGCCAGGTAGTCTAGTTCAAATCCCAAAATCTCCTAAGTGTGGTGCATAATCAGAACTGAACAGGCCACCTAACCCTGCCCTGTGGGTCCCAGCCAATTAATGTAGCAGTCAGGAGCGTGGGTTTGGCAGGCTGCATTCAAAACTCAGCTCTGTCCCTTACAAACTATGTGACATTGAACAAGCACCTCAGCCTCAGTTTTCTCCTCTGTAAAATGGGGAAATAATATACACAACATCAGGTCTGGGGCATCTCCAATGAGATGCACGCAGCCTCATGTCCAGCATATAGTATTATAGTACATAGCCAATAAATGGTGAATCATAATAATGGCTATTGTGTTTGTTTTGTAATTATTTCATCCTAAAGTCCACTTGGATCATTCTGCTCAAGGGCTTAATGGTGAGATGCCTGTCTTTGCAAGGCCCTGTGTAACTAACAGGACTCCCCAGGGTGCTGAGGGATGTACAGACTCCTCCAGCAGCTTCAGACTCTCTCCTGAGAAGTAGCTAGGTCCCGCAGTGGCACCCAAGACACTGGGAGAGGAGAGTCCACATTTCAAGGCAGACACAGCCTTGCTCTTCAACTTTGTATGTCTAGAATCTAATGTCACCCTGGCACATAACAGGGATCAGCCAATACCCGCTGAACAAAAGGAAAAAATGTTCAACCTCATTGGTATGCAGACGTGAATTACAATAAATATTTTTCATCTTTGATATTTGCAAAGGTCAAACAAATTAGACTACCTAATGTTGATCAGCATGTGGTTAAAGAGAAAAACTTTCTGGAGAATAATCTGCCAATGTGTGTCAACAACATTAAAAATGCTAGTGATCTTTATATGAAATAGCACGTGTGGAATTCCTTCTGAAGAGCATCATCCCAAGGTTAAGGGGGAACGATGGGAGTAGGGGGTCTTCACACACACAAATGGTGTTCATTCCTGCAGTGTTAGTTATGAAAATAAGAAAGTGTGTGGGGGAGAGACAGAGAGAGAGAGAAGGAAGGAAGGGAGGAAGGGAGGGAGGGAGGGAAGGGAGGGAACTAAATATCCAGCCATAAGGAAATGATTAATTGAACTACTGAATGATGACACATGTATCACAGGAATAGTATGCAGCCAATGAAATGATGGTTGTCAATACGTGTACTGTGTGACTTGGGGGCGGGGCCAAGGTAACCAGTCACCCCTCTTCCTTGCTGGGACTTGGGATTACACAGAAAAGACTGGCCGCAAGACAGGAATAAAAAAATCTGCTTTATTAATGGTAAACCTGTAGGAAAAAAAAGAGCTATGGACCCCTACTTCACCTCCCCACCCCTTGGTCCTGCGGGGAGAGGTAGGTCTAACTTCTAGCTTGTAAAATAAGATAACTGTTGGCCTCTCCCCTGTAGAGCAACCTGGAAGTCAGAGGCCCATGGACCCAATGGGTGAGAGAGGAGCACGGACATTTAATATTGTAACCCCTCCCCATAGGGAAGAGCTGCCCAATGGATGGCAGGCTCTCACCATTTCCACCAATCACGAAAGCCAAGGAGGTAGAAGGCAGGGCCAAGGAGTTCACCCTACCCAGAGTTCCAGCAGAGCAGGGCCAACCCTATAATTCGTGGGGCACAGGGAAAAATGAAAATGCAGAGCCTCTTATTCAAAAAGCAAAGGAAAAGCATCATTAAAGGTGCTAAGATACAAAACCTTTTCATGCCTTCCATATTTTGTCATGGTGTTATTTGCTATTTAATGTCAATTCAAATTTAAAAAAAAAAAAGCTTAAACTCTTAGCGTGCATTTTATCACTCACCATTCTAGTGTGCACCTCCAATTTTAAATGCAAACATAAGAGCACGTAACTGGAATGTAGACTCACCAAAATGCACAAGTTATATTTCGCATATGGATTTTGTTCTTACCAGAGCAGAGGAAACTAACTTAACTGTTCTTATTTCATTTCTGGATATGTGTACATTCTTCCAACACCCTCTACCCTTGGTTCAATAATAAACAAGGAAGGACTAGGAGGAAAAGGAACTATAGGTGCCCTCTTTTTCCCTTCCCTTCTGTGTAATCATTTTCAGTGTCAGCGATTGGCAAATATGGGCACGTAACACACGTTAAGAAAGGACACCATAGGGTTCCTGCGTCATTCATGTTTCTTAGAAGTCACTGCATGAGAACATCAATGCCTTGGAGCATTATTTGAAAGCATGGCCCCTGCCTGTGAAACTACAGACGCACTGAGAAGGTGCATGAGCTGTCCACTGTGCATGGGGCTCAGACGCTCAAGTGAACACAGGGTAGCGTGCTGTGGGAGCCAATATGTGTAACCACAGACTCGCCTGCCACACGTACCCCTCTGCTCATTCCCAGGCTCCCCCGTCCCATCAGATTTCGCTTACAAAACACAGGATCCAAAGTGAAATTCTTAAAAATTTCAAGATAGTAACAGCAGAACATGAACCCAAGCACAGGTCCTTCTGAGTGTGGGGACCTAGATGACCACACAGGTTGCATATCCATGAAGCCAGCCCTGGAGCAAAGCCCTGGAAAATTCCTATAATCTCATGCCAAACTAGAAAAGTAGCCTTCAAAATTGTTGATACAGACAGATTACAGTTTTCATTAAAAACAGACATGGGCATTAAAAAAAGACTGGAAGGAAATACCCCAGTTGCTGAGAGTATGTCCCTCTGCTTGGTGGACTCACAGGAGTTCACTCTCCTTCTCTTACTCCCCATCACACTCTCCATGGAGCCTAGCGCTTCATACAGCGGCTCTTCCAGTCTCAAGGCCTAAACACTTCTTACCAAACATCCCTTAGCTCTGCAAGCTTTAAGGATAAACACTAAAAAGTGTAGCAAATGACAACAGTCAGGAGATGGAGTGGAAAAATTTTATTAGAATTTGATTTTCATCTTCCAGAAAGAAAATGAGAAAAACCGTGCTCTGTGACTGCGCCAAGCTTTAAGTTCGGGTTGATTAAAAAGAAAGGAGCACATTGCTTACAGCAGGGGCGTGGGAGTTGGCCTACACTACAATTTGGGGAAATTGACAGCAGTCGCCTTTTACACGTGTAGAACTTCAGAGTCCACATGCCCTTGGCTCCTTACAGCCTCATGACAACCCAGGGCACCAGGCAGTGCAGGGAAACTGAGGCTCAGAAAGTGATGTGATTTGATGGAGGGCACCCCAGCACTGAAATGGAGCCCACACTCGCTGTGAAGCCCAAGGGAAGCTTATGTAAGTGGCGTTTCCAAACAGAAGCGAAAGGAACACAGAATCTGAACAGTCCACATCTTGATTTTCAAAAGTCAAAGGCTGACTCTCCCTAATCTCCCTCTGTGCCACCACTAATGTCCCCCCTCTTAGCCTCAGTTTCCCCATAGGTTGGGGTGGAAGTTAGGCTAGCCAGTCTGATGACAGTTCTAAGGGCTAGTCTAACTCTGGCCCCTAAAGAATAGACATCATCACTTACTGATCTATTAAGAATAAACTGAGGCTCAGAGAGACCGTGTGACCTGCCCAATATTACAGACCCAGGGTCAGACCCCACCAGGAACCCAGATCTCCCGATGCCAGATCTCAGGCTCTCTTATCTGACCAAAAATACCTCCTCAATAGGACTGAGGAGGGAAAACCAGAAATTGGCAACCTTGACTTGAGTGAAATGAAAGAGGGTTCTCAAAACAGAAAGCAAACAAAAATCCCTCTGGGTTTTATGTATCTCGAGTCTTAGCTGTGGGTTACAGATCAGCCTCCTGGTTTTCTTGATAAGCAGTCAGGGCTGTACGAGTTGGGGTGCTATGGGCTGCAAGTAACGGAGACTTGAAAGTGCACAACGAAAAGGAAAAGTAACAGCTCATGTAACTGGAAGTTCAGAGGCGGCCTGGACATCAGGCCTCTATGTCCTGGATCTCACTCACTCTCTGCCCTGCCATCAACGGTGGTGGCCTAAGACTTGCTCCCCTCATGGTGTCAGATGGCTGCCAGCCACCACAAGGTTTCCCTGTTCCCATCACAAGAGAGGGACCAACTACCTGTGGTTCTCCCTACTTTCCACTCAACCTCCAGAACTGACTCCCACATCCATTCTGGAACCAGTCACTGCAAGGGGAATGAGATCATCCTTGCACTGATCACATCCAGCTATGGCCTGAGATCTCTTACTAGGAACCATATGTGTTCTCCTTGGAAGAAGAGAGACTAACTGTTGTGGAGATCAGCTGCAACGTCCACCATAAGGGTGCAGATTTCACTGAATGCTGAGTCTCCCACAAGCAGCATCCCCTCTTCAGTGTGGTTTCCTGGGCAGAAAGTAGATGGTATCCAGGGCACAACCAGTTCAAAACCTGCAGACAATTCCATGCAGGAAAACCTGCCTGCCTGCTGCGTTCAGACAGCCTCAGGACCCCATGATGACCTTAGCAATTCCCAAGCATCCTTCACTTCCTCAACTATAAAATCAGGACAACTCTGTGGGAATAAACAGACTACTCTGAAATCACACAGGACATCCAGGGATGGGAGTTAGGAAAACATGGGTACATCCTTTATGCAGATGCAAAAAGCATGAGTGTCCAACAGTGTGTGATGGCTGAGATGCTCAAACAAGGGGAAGCTGTGCCTCTGGCCTCAGCTGAAAAGTGTGCTCCGGAAGTGCCTTACCTGTCAGGCACATGAGAGTGACTGTTGCTCCCCAGAAAGACCCAGTCACTGCCAGGATCTACCTGGTCAGCCTGAACCACCTCCCCTTGGCTGAGCTCCTGTGTCTTGGTCATCACTGCTGCCCAGGGCAGGATGTGCTTGGCAAATGGTGCTAAGCAAAGGAAGGATGGATGGGTTTTGTAAGTTCAGTCTAGTCTGGAAGTGCTTATTCAACTCACTCTAAAGCTAAGTACTGAGGCCTGCCGCAAAAAGAGAAAGAACAGAGCCAGGAAGAGTCCTTCCTGGAACCATATCCAGCTCTTGAGAAATGTCTAACTAGATGGAGACTTCCTAGCACCCTCCAGGGTCCAGGGCCCAGGGCCCAGTGCCCTATCAGCTGCACTGCTCTCCCCACACCCTGACCCCATTCATGCAAAGTTCTCTGTGCCCCCAGGTGGCCTGCAGGTACACCTAATCATCACCATAACCCTCAATGCAGTTGAGCCCAGCCAAGAGTAAGCCACCCAGCCCTGCCACCAAAAAAAAAAAAAAAAAAAAAAAAAAAAATCCAACCTGCTCTGACGAATTCACACCAAGATGTGAATGACTAACAAAACCTAAACTCTTCCTAAGATGTTTGAGATTTTACAAGAGACTCAGGAACCCAAGCAGGGCTCCCACGGGCAAAGATGACATTGGACATGGGGCCCAAAGGATGAGAAAGAGTCAGTGGTGAGAAAGGCAGGAGGTGGGTATTCCAGGCAACAGCCATTGCAAACGCCCTGAAGCAAGAAAGAAAATGGCCTGCTCAAGGAACAGGAGGTAGATCAGAGCAGCTGGGGTGTGGTGGGGGAGTGTAGACTCAACCACAGGTAGAACAGGAGTTTGTGCACCTGGTTCTTCCGCAAACTGAATTTTAGCATCCACTGTTTGCCCACAGGCTCTTCCAGTTACAAGGCATATAAATAATAACAATGCCATGTGTTCAATGCCTCCAACAACCCAAGCACTGTGCTGGGCACTTTTGATATTAGCAAAATCACTGATCATCCCAGCAACCCTGTATGAAAGGTCGTTATTATTTCTCCCTTTACAAAGGGAAAGTGAAGCTCAGGAAGGTGTAGTAACTTGTCCAAGGCTGCACAGCAGTCAGGAGTCAGAGGCAGGACTTTAACATGATTCAAGTCTGACATTCTGACATTCAAATCTGTGACCTTCCCTGTGCTCTGAGCATGAAATATAGTCAGGATGCAACAGTGTGAAAGTGTGTTTTTCATTAGGGAGGCCAGAATTCTACCTATTATAATGATTATTATTGTTTCTTGTTCCGATCCTGCTCTCTGCATCCGCAGCACCTGAGCCCTATGCCCTGCACACACTGGCACTCGGTCTGGACCAGGCACAAGGCCAGGCCTTGGTTTGTTCATCTCAAGGTGGGGATAAGGCGTAGGTGAGCCTTCGTATGAGGTCCCAGCACACAGCAGGTGCTCAGCATCCTTTGGCTGCACGTTAGCAATGCATAGCTCTGAACGGCTCCTTCAACACCGTTGCACCTGCTCCTCACAGAAACCTCCAGACCCTGTAGGCAGGATTCACTCCCATTTTACAGATGGGGAGACTGAGCCCTGGTGAGAAGACAGACCTCAAGGTCATATAGCTCCCTGATAGAATTCAGGCCGCACAAGGGCAGGGAGTCTTTGTCCAGTCCCCAGGGATAAAACAGTGCCCGGCATGCAGCAGGTGCTCGGTAAATATCTCGTGTCTGGATGAAGGATTGGATAGCACTGCTCTGACCTCCAGAACTGTGCCGTCCCCGTTCCTGTGCCCTGCTGAGGGCTGGTGAATTTATGAAAGAAAAGGGGACGGGCAGGGTGCAGAGGGAATTAATGTTTGAAAATGTCCACCATGGCGCTTTTTACGCCTGGTCCCACAACGAGCCCTGCGCCCCATCCCACCGTCATCCCCAACGTAGAGATGAGCAAACAGAGGCTTGCTCCAGGAAGCCAGACCACAGCGAGCCTGGGAGCAGCGGGGCAACCTGCCAAGATCCGCTCTCGGCCCGAGCCAGGCCACCGAGGCACGGGCCAGCAACCCGGCGGCTTCCTCCAACCCTCTGTCGCTGCAGGCTGCGAGCAGAAACCACATCCCGGACCCACGCTGATCCCGACTCAGCCTCGCCGAAGCAGGCGACAAAGGACCGCTCTCAGCTCCCCGGGCCTCCCAAAGCCGCGGCCGGGTCAGAGCCCCACCGGCCCGGAGGCCCGGGCAGCCCTGCCCCTCTCTCGCACACACCCGGCGGCGAAGCGTGCGTGACTCAGCGGTTCTCCCGCCGGGAGCGGGCGCGGCCCCCGCAGCCTCCCTCCGCCCAGGTCCCACGCCCAGCCTCTGCCTCCCGGGCCAGGGCGCCCCGAGCCCGCCCGCGCCCGCGCTCGCGCTGCGCTCCCCGGGCCTCCGCGGGGCTCCGGCTCCGCTCGGCCTCATTTCCGGCAGAGCCAGGCTTCGAGGAGGCGGACCCAGCCGCAGGAGCCCGGTCTCCGCCGCCTGGCCCACTCGGTCTCCCTGACACAGGCACCCACGCGCACCTGCCCCGCGGGACCCGTGCCCAGGGCCCCTCCCACTGGGGCACCCACCCGGGGAATCCGCGCACACTTCTGCGGCCGGGCCGCCAGCCCGTGGGTTAGCGGCTGACAGTCCCCGCACTCGGGCAGGGCTCCAGCACAGGCGGCCCCGAGCCCAGACCTCCCGGTCCCCATCCTCCATCGGGGTCACTCCGCGGGCCCTGC
This sequence comes from Homo sapiens, assembly GCF_000001405.40. Taxonomy (NCBI): domain Eukaryota; kingdom Metazoa; phylum Chordata; class Mammalia; order Primates; family Hominidae; genus Homo; species Homo sapiens. The sequence continues at coordinate 6,471,323 of NC_000004.12, forward strand.
CTGCGCACGGAAGCTGTCCCCACTGTTCCCCTAGCGAGGCAGACCAGGGGGCCCCCGGAAGTTCCAGGCCTGTAAGAGAGGGGCGCTGACCCACCAGCCTCGGGGGTAGGGTGGGGGTGGGGGTTGGGCTTGTAGGGCCAACTTAGGGGATTTTAAACAGGGCCTGTTTGGGATGGCATGTCCCACTTTTTTGGAAAATCCCGACAGTTAGCCCAGCTGCTCCTGTCTCAATATAACTCACCAGGAATAAAAAGGCCAGCCCCAAACCAGCCGCCTTCTCCCTCCCACTCAGGGACCCTGCCTCTGGAGGACAGGGAGGGGCCCGGGCAGGCGGGCCTCCCAGGAGGATCTGGCAATGGATTATGTTTTTTTCCCCCCGGGTCCCTCTTCTTCTCCAGGGAGAGGGCAGCCTAGAAAATTCTGCGGGCTTTGGGCAGGGCTGAAATGGCAAATCCAGGATTTAAACCATTAAATTTCCCCGAGATTTCTTCACCAGATTAGCCACAGCCGTGGCCTTTTAAAAAATTATGGTCAGGGCCGAATCAGGATGCCACCTGGCTTGGGAGAGGAAAGCTGCCTCCCGGAGGGCGGCGCGGAGGAGGGCGCTGCCCTGTGCCGGCGCTGGGCAGCGGAGGCCGGTACCCTCGGGCTCCCTCCCTCCTGGGCCCCGGGCAGGGTGGGATGGGATGGGGTGGGGTGGGGTGGGATGGGGTGGGGTGGGGTGGGGCGGGGGGACACGACACACATCGCGCGGTCCAAACCTTCGGAGGGCATTCGGTGCGACGGCATCCCCACGCCGCGGCCGGCCGGAGGGGTCTCAGACAACACGTACGTTACCTTCAGTCACATAGCTGTGGTCCCGCAGGAAGCTGTGGTTAATTTTCCGCGTGTCCGTGTCCTCGCCCATTGAAGGCCGTGCCCGGTGCTCTGGGCATGCCCCGCCGCCACACACCGATGCAATCCGCAGAGGTCGCGCCGGGCGCGCGGGCCATGCCGCCGCAGCCTAGCAGGGGCGCGGGCCGCCGGGGCCCCGAAGGGAGGGCATCGCGGCAGGGGGACGGGCGGGGGCGGCCGGGGGCGGGCGCCGCGGTCAAGCGAGCGCGCGGTGGGCGGGCGGCGGCCGCGGGTTCGGGCGGGCCGGGGCCCAGGCGCGCATCCCGGCCGGCCCGTGCGCGCTGCGTCCGTGCGCCCGGCGGCGGGGCCTGGTGCCGGTGCGCCTGGCTGCGGCGACGGCGGCGAGGGGACGCGCGCGGCGCTGCGCTGCGCCGACCAAGCCGGGGCCGAGCCGGGCTGCGCGGGCTGGGGCCGCCGCCGCCGCCGCTGTCGCAGGCCCCTCCCTCGCGCCGCCCGCTCTCCGCCCCCGCGGCCCTGCAGGTGGAGCCGGCGCCCAAGCCGAGGCTGCACCGCCGTGCTCGGGCCCTCGCGGTGGGCACCTTGGTGCTGGGTGCGCCACGGGGGAGGGAGGAAGGAGACCGCCAGCTTGCGGGGAGAGGGTGATCAGCTGAGCTTGGGGGGAGGGTACCTTGGGTGCCCAGGTGCTCCAGTTATGGGAGAGAAGGCCAAGAGCCGGGGTGCTGGGAAGGGGGCAGGAGGAGAGCAGCCTCGCAGGCAGAAGGCAGAAAGGACTAGGAAGGAAGGAGTGGGGTCGCAGTTGAAGAGGGCGCACCTGGAGAATGGGGACTCGGGGGAGGGGAAGGACACTGTCTCCCTTCATTAGTAGAAGAGGGTGGGTCGCGCAAGTTCTGGGGCCCGTTGGGAGCATTAAGTACATGTGAAGAAGCTGGTGGAGGGGGTCCAGCAGCCGACAAGGCAAAACTGGATGAAATGGCTGGAGGGGTGATTGGGCCTCCCCCAGGCAGGGCTCTGAGATCTCTCCTCATGCCCACCTCTCCTGACGAGTGAGAAAGTTAAAGAAATACAGAGCTAGGTACCTCCAAAACCAGGCTGGAAAATGCGTCCCCCTCCTCCCTTCCCTCCCTCCCCTCCAAACCCAGGGCTCTGCCAAACAGGAACCTCCCTCTGGTAATCAGCCTGGCACATAGTGGGCCCTCAAAAAATATTTGCCTCCTGTTTTGCCAAGCTGCCACCTCCTCCACCGTGACCCACCGCCTAATGAATCACAGTCCCCTGCACGGGACACAAGCCCCAGTGGGGATTCAGAGGTGTGGGTGAGGAACCATCAGCCCTCCCTAGGAGCTCAACAGAGCCTTCCTGGAAAGCGAGGGACTCTGTGGCTTGCCTGGGAGGGGTAAGTGCAGTGGGGTGACCAGAGCTGCAGGGGCTCTTGGGTCTAAGGCATCAGTGGAGCCATGCTCCAGGTGGGGGCTGGTCTGTAATGGCCTCCACTTGTTTCAAATGGTTCTGGGGGAACTCCAGACAGCTCCCCAAACTGCAGTGGAGGTAGGAGAGTCCAAAGGCGTTGGGGGCAGGGAGACTGGGGCTGTGGGAAAGACGAGGGAAGGTGATGCCGTCTCAGATTTCTTGGAGATTGAGAGGGAGTTTTTGAAGCTACAGCTTTCGTGCCTTTGAAATCCCCAGAATGGACCTATGAGGAGATGAAAGCCCCCCAGCAGCCCCACCAGCACTCTGCAGGCTGTCATGCAAGGGCTGGCCTGGGGAGAGGCCCTGGGGCCCTGCCAGCACCTGCTTTGGCAAGTGCCCTGCCCTGTTCCAGCCTCTACCTTTTCACTGTGGAACAAGCCAAAATCTCCCAGCTGTGCAGACTCCATTCAAGGACCAGGTAAATGCAAGGGCCGGAAGGATGTGCTTGTTCTTTGTCACTTTCTACCCCGTAGGAAAGTGACCGACACCCACATTGGCCCCCACCCACCTGGCATGTTCTCCTCTCTCTCTCTCACCTGTCTGCTCACATGCCCCCCACCTCACATCCTAAGGCCAGCCCCCCACTCTCTGTCCACACCCCCTCACCTCTCTAGCTGGAGCCAGCAAAATGGCTATGCTGGGAGAAAGACAGGCTGGGTTCAAGTCCTGACCACAAGGGGGCCCAGGCACAACCTCATCTGTAAAGTGGATGTGATGGCAGGAGTGGCCCCACTGGGTTGGGGTGGCCAGTCCTGCTCAGCAGGGGTCAGGCCTCCTGGGAGCTCTCTTGTTATCATGCTGAGGCCCACCCTCCCGCATGTTCCTCAGCCTCCCTCTCTGATCATGGAGAAGTCCCCTCTCCCTATCTGTCAATCCTGCCAAAACACCCACCCTATGCTGGCATCAGCCTCATCTCCCGGGATGTCCTGGACTACAATGAAAACAGCCCCACTCTGGCCTGACACAGTACATCATCCCTTTCATCAGCTTCTGAGCCATGCTGGGGACCCTGCAGTGGGTGGTCTTTCCAACCTGACTGGGCCCCAAGGCTTGCATCCATCCCCTCCTCACCCCTCACCACCCCATCCTGCCCCACCCCCACCACAAGCAGTGTCTGGGCTCCTCCACACTGTCTCCTCCATTTCCTGGAAGCCCTCCCCCTCCAGCACAACCGAGGACTCTCCCTCAGCCCCCTGCCCACCCCCCACCTCCACTAAATCACACAATCTGCTGCTTCCTCATCTGTATCTGCACACAGCCCTGCCCCCGCTGACAGAGCCTGAGCTCCAGATCCTGCCACCCCCAGCCTCTCTGTACAGACTCCTCTCTGTACTTTCATTCATTCAATGAGGAATGTTTATTGAGCATCTACTATGTGTAGGCATGTTCCCAGCACTAGGGTAGTGTGGAAGACAGAATAGAGAAATGCTCTGCTCTCGTGGAGCTGGCCTCCCAGTGGGGTGAGATGGACAGCATAAAGTGAGCATGTACTGTGTGGGCCATGACTGGTGCAGAGGAGAAGGCGGGAATGGAGATGGAGATGAACGGGGATGGAGATGGGGATGGAGATGGAGATGAAGGCGGGGATGGAGATGGAGATAGAAAGGAACGGGGAGGAGGAGGTGCCATTTTATAAAGGTGAGTGTAGAGGAAAGCTCAATAAGGTGAAATTTGTCAGCATCTCTCCAGATGCTTCTCACAGCGTAAGCCTGCTTGGGTCTCTTCCACATTCAAAAGCTATCCTCACTCCGTGTCCCTTCAGCCACCAGCACATTGCATTTCTGCCATTCACAACCACAATGCCAAAAGGGTACAGCTACACTCGCCATCTCCTCACTCACTGCCGTGCCCTCCAACCTGGCTTCTTGCCATCCATCCCACCCCAGAAAAGAAACTTGTGTCAGACGGCATGAGAATGACTTTCCTGTTCCTGGAACCAGTGGACGCATGCTGGCCTCTCTCTATGCTGAGTTCTCGTGGTCTCACCCTGTGGACCATGCGCCTCCCTTTACTTCAGTGGCACCACCTTTCGCTGCCACTTCTCAGCAGGTTTACATGCTCCACTCCTTCTGACGGCCCCACCAGGCTATGTCTCCCTGTGCTTCTGTGCCCCCAACTTGTTGTAATTGACAGAGAGAACATGCATGGAAAGTGTGCTGTGCACCGCACCATGTCCCCTCAAGTGCACAGGCTGAAGCCCTAACCCCCAATGTGATGATGTTTGCAGGTGGGGCCTTTGGGAGATTTGGGTTAGACAAGGCCATGAGGGTGGGGTCTTCATGGAGAGATTAGTGCCCCTATAGGAAGAGACCAAAGAGCTTGCCCACTCTCTCCCCAGGTGCTCACGGGAGCACACGGCGAGACAGTGGCCGCCTGCAAACCAGGAAGGGGCCTCACCATGAACCAGATTGGCCAGAACCTTGATGTTGGACTTTCCAGCCTCCAGAACTGGGAGGAAGTACATTTCTGTTGTTTACGCCACTTATCCTATCTTGTTTATTATGGCAGCCCAAGCCGACTGCACAAAAGTTAACTGTTCAGCTTGAAGAACGACCACAAAGTAAACACTCATCTAACCACCAAGTCAGGAAAGGGCGCTAGCCACCTCTCGAGGCCTCCCTCACTCCCCTCTCTCTCCACTTCCATGGACTGAACAGCTGTTGACTCCCAAAATTCATATATTGAAATCCTGTCCCCTAATGTGATGGTTTTAGGAGGTGGGGTCTTTGAGAGGTGATTAGGTCCCAAGGGTGGGGCCCTCATAATGGGATTAGCCGCCTTATAAGAAGAGACGTGAGAGAGTTTGCTTCCCCTCTCTGTCCCTCTCCCTCTCTCTCTGTCATATGAGGACACAACAAGAAGTTGGCTATCCACAAATCAGGAAGCCCTCATCAGACACAGGATCTGCCGGCACTTTGACCTTGGACTTCCCAGCCTCCATTACTGTGAAAAATAGATTGTGGTTTATGCCGTCCAGGCTACAGTATTTTTGTTCTAGCAGTCCAAACTGACTAAGACACCACCCCAAAGATAACCCCCATCTTGACTTTTAACACTGTAGTTTTACTAGTTTACTAGTAAATTGTAAGGTAGGAATGTTTTCATAACTGCTTTCATTTGCACAATGTTTTTTTTCTGAGAAGCACTCATGTTATTTATATATATGTAACTGTAATTTATTCATTTTTCATTGTTGTGTAATATTCTATGGCAGAAATACACTGCAGCTGACCCCACTGTTGTTGGGCACATAGGTTGTTTGTTCAGTGTGGAGGCTAATTATGAACAACAATTCTGTGGCTCAGCATTCATGTGTACACAATTCTGGGAACTGGCTGGGTGCAGCAGTTCATATCACCAGCACTCTGGGAGGCTGAGGCAGGCAGATTGCTTGAGCCCAGGAGTTCAAGACCAGCCGAGGCAACATGGGAGACCCCGTCTCTACTAAAAAAATGCAAAAATTAGCCAGGCATGGTGGTGCATGCTTGTGGTCCGAGCTACTCGGGATGCTGAGGATCACTTGAGCCTTGGAGACAGGGGTTGCAGTGAGCCAGGATGGTGCCACACTGCACTCCAGCCTGGGCCACACAGCAAGATTCTCTTCAAAAGAAATTCTAGGAATTGCTGAGTGATAGGGTCTGTTTGTTTAGCTTTAGTCATGGACGTCAACCAGTTTACCAAAGAGGTAACAGAAGATTGTCCCTGTTGATCCACAACCTTCTTAAATGAGGTATTGTCATTTTGATTCTAGCCATTCATCACCTCTAACGCCAAACCCAGCATCCTCTCTTAAAACTGGAGGCTGGGCACGGTGCCTCACGCCTGTAATCCCAGCACTTTGGGAGGCTGAGGCGGGTGGATCACAAGGTCAGGAGATCAAGACCATCCTGGCTAACACGGTGAAACCCCATCTCTACTAAAAATACAAAAAATTAGCCGGGCATGGTGGTGGGCGCCTGTTGTCCCAACTACTCAGGAGGCTGAGGCAGGAGAAGGGTGTGAACCCGGGAGGCGGAGCTTGCAGTGAGCCAAGATCGCGGCACTGTACTCCACTCCAGCCTGGGCGACAGAGCGAGACTCCGTCTCAAAAAAAAAAAAAAAAAAAAAAACTGGAACTGGACCTCCTCTTTGTCTGCACTTAGGATGCACTGGAGTCATCCCGACTCCCACGCCTTCACCCCCCACAGCCTGTCCTCCTTCCAGCCCTGTCGACATGCACTCACACAGAGCTCTCCAGCCCTTCCCCTCCTTGAGCCAGCCTCCTCACTCTGCCAGAATTCAGAGCCTCACCCCTCCCTCATGTGGTCCGTGTTCCCCTTCCTGGTTCAGATGTTTCCAGGCTCCCAGCTCCATATGACAACATCTCAGCTCAAAGGTCTTCACAGTCTGGCCCCAACTGCGTCTCCAGCCAACTCCCTGTGTGCCCCGTTGCTTCTTCCCTGGACAGCTGCCCTTCCCAAACTCTACATCTGCACACACTCATGCTCCCGCCGACAGTGCCATCCCTACGTCTCACCTTTTCTCCATTTGGAATTAGCCTAAATGCTATGATTAATGGTGACTCTAGCAGCGGCTAGCATTTATTGAATGGCCACAGGGGAGGTCATTAGTGCTGACCACACACATCCTGCTTCTCGCCTCCTTCTGTGCCTGGGGTAGATTCGCACTTTCCCATCCCTTTTAATATTAGGTGTAGTCATGAGACTTGCTTTGCAGAGTACAAGGTGAGGTGAGTGACTAGCGTCTCTTCTGAGTGCAGCTTCAGTGGCCTCTGTAGGGTTTGACAAATTCTTTTTTTCACTGACTCAGGATCTTGGAAAAGCACTCCTCAAGAGAGATTGTCCATCAGCCCGAGTCCTTAATTGAGTACAAATAACAGGGCCCTGTTCGATGTGCTGAGTGAGTGAGAAACACGCATGTGATATGTTTTGTCACTGAGAGTTGTGGGTTGTTGGTGACAGCAGCACATCCTCACCTACCTGCCTGCTACCTCCCCCTTTGCCAGCTGGTGGCTGAGCACTTCACATAGGTGACTTCATTCTGTCCTCAACACATGACAGCCCTGCCTCAGCCGGAATGAACTAGAAGACCACAGCCGTGAATGACCCTCCAAAACGCAGCGGCTTCAAGGCTATTTCGCACTCCTGCTGCGTGTGCATCTCGAGTGGGCTACAGCTCTGACCCCTGTTATCTTCTTCCCGGGACCCCGGCTGATGGAGCTGCACATGGCTGGCTTTGTGCAGAGGTAACAGAGAGAGACAGGGGTGGTGAGCTCACTCTACAGCGTCGCTGGCCCAAACAATTCACAAAACCACCACATGCAAGTTCAGTAAGGGCAGGGAGGGCACTGAGGGTCACATGGCCACGTGACCTCAGCGGAGCGTGCAAGTACAGTCTCCCTCCAGGATGGGGCTGCTAATACGTTGCACTATAACACAGCCAACCACAGGACCCACTTTACAAATGAACAAACCGCACCTTTCTCCCAAGTTACTCAGCTCCTAAGTGGCAATCCAGAGATGTACCCAGGTCTGTGATTCCAGGGCTGGTATAGTCAGCCCATATACCAGCTGGTATAATACAGCAGCTAGCTGTCCTAACCTAGCTGCTTCTCTGCCAGCATTCCCCTCCATGACCCCCAGGTCCCAGGACCAAGCTTCCAGGTGGCTCTCTTGGCTTGTTCGACCACTTTGAACCTCATAGAGGCTGGGCAAATAGTGCCGCAATGGATCTTTCCTCCAGTGAAATGATAAGACGAAAGCCCACCCACCCCACCCACAACCCAGGTCGCCATGCCTCTGGACGGAGAGAAAATGTCTTGGAATTCTGAAATATGCCAAGACCCAGCAAATGAAGACGAAGTCTGTGTGGAAGGGCCCAGAGCCATAATCCAGCCCAACACCCTCAAGGTTAGTGAATTTCTGCCCCTGCACGAGTAACACTTGCTTGTGACAGAAAATTTGGAAGTAAAGGAAAATATAAAAGTTATGGTCCTGAGTCCAAATGTAATTGCCAGAAACCTTTTAGAGTGTGTTATCCCAGGACCTTTTCAACGTAGAGTTTTGTTTTTACATAATCATGATCAGACCTTTTTTTTTTTGTATTTTATTTGTTTTAGTGACATATTTTAAATGGACTAAAATGTATTATTACAATCCCCTACCTTTTGAATATTGATTCAAAAGGAATCAATATTAGCATTGACATATTCGCTTCAGCTTTCTTTTTTACTTTTATTTTATTTTTTGTAGACACAGGGTCTCACTATGTTGCCCAGGCCCGTCTCTAATTCCTGGACTCAAGCAATCCTCTCACCTTAGCCACTGAAGTAGCTGGGACTACACACACAAGCCAAAGTGCCCAGCTTTGCTTCGGTTCTTTTCATTTGAAAAATGAGACCACAGAGATATGGCTGAAGTTCCTTTACATCCCTTCCTAGTCCTCATCTTTCCTTTCTCTTTCCAGAGGCAAACACTATCCCCAAAGTAGTGCTTTCTTCCTATTTATGTTCTATTCCTTAACATACATACATGCATTGTACCATTTTATGTAATTTAGAAATTTATATAAACCTGATCATATTGATCACACCATACTACAAACTGCTTTTTTTCCTAAGCATTATGTTTTCAGCTCTACCCTAGTTTCTTCATTGATCTTGCAAGCTGGCAGAAAACAATCAATGGTGTGCCGGAGCTTGCCCCAAGAACCTTCTCGCAAGAGCTGATCATGCATATCTTTTCCCAACTCTGTGTTTGATGATGTCACGATGGTAGCTAGACATCAGCCATGGCAGAGTATTTACATCCCAGAAATTGGCAAATTCTCCAAATTAAGGCTTTTTTTCCTGGATAGCAGGTTGTTAAATATTTACGAGCATACCATTAATGTATTATTTCTTCTACCTGCTGTCCACCCACCCACATAATATTTAGGTTGTTTCTAACCTTTTTGGATTTCAAACAACACTGCAGGTACATCCTTTTACTTAGTTCCTCATAGCCTGCAGTGTAAAGGTTTCCTAGGATGGACAGGTGGAGGGCGAGACCACTGAGTCATACTGGTGACATTCCTTCTGGGTCATGCATACTGGAATATATACATATTTAACTTCCTACTCATTGCCAAATAGAGAAGCAATTTACACTCCTACAGCAGTGTATCACATTCTCAAGTGACACTTGGAATAGACTTAAATTCATGTGAAGTTGATGGGTGAACGGGTATGTGATGATTGCTTACTTTGCATTTCCTGATTCCTAGTGTTTGGGAATCTTTCCACTTGGCCATTTGAATTTCCTCTTCGATGAATCGCCTGTCTTTTCCCATTGCCCATGTCTCCATTGGATTGTGTGACTTTCTCCTTATTGGCTTCCCAGAGCTTTTGATATAATTGTATCCTCTGCTGTTTATATGTGTTGCAAACCTATCCTCTGTCTGTTTCTATGTTGCAAACATTCTCTTCTAATTTGCTGTTTTTGTCTTAACTTTGTTTATGGTATTCTTGTCCTACAGAAGTCATTCATTTTGATGTAGGAAATGTATCAATATTTATCTTTCAGGCATTTTGCCTTTTGTGTTCTGTTTTACCAATACTTGTCTACCCGCTGAGTTATAAAGGTAGTAAACAGAATGTCCTTCCTTTATGTTTTAGGACGTATACTTACCTCATTTACAGTATGCTTTTCTGTTTGGGGTGAGGCAGTGATCAAATTACATACTTTTTCCATATGAAGAAAATAATATCCAAATCATTCATTGAATAGTCCATCCTTTTCCCACTGATTTAAAATGCCACTTCTTTTCTATACGAAGTTCCCATATACATGTGCCTTTATTTCTGGATTCTCTATTCTGTTCCATTGGTCTTTCTGTCTGGCCCATGTGGCAGTACTACCCTGCCGTAGAGAGACAGCTTTATAACAAGTCAATATCAAGTAGGTCAAATGGCACAGTCTTTGCCTTTCATCAAAATTGTCTTGGTTATTCTTGGACTTTTGTTTTTCCTATGCAAATTTTCAGTTTTGTAGATCCCATTGAAAATCCTGTTGGGGCCCGGCATGGTAACTCACGCCTGTAATCCCAACACTTTGGGAGGCTGAGGCATGTGGATCACCTGAGGTCAGGAGTTCGAGACAAGCCTGGTCAACATGATGAGACCCCATCTCTACTAAAAATACAAAAATCAGCCAGGCATGGTGGCACGTGCCTGTAGTCCCAGCTATTCCGGAGGCTGAGGCAGAAGAATAGCTTGAAGCCGGGAGGCAGAGGCTGCAGTGAGCCGAGATCGCACCACTGCACTCCAGCCTGGGTGACAGAGCGAGACTCCGTCTCAAAAAAAAAAAAAAAAAAAAAAAAAAGTAAAAAGGAAATCCTGTTGGGATTTTCACTGAAACTTCAATTAGCTTATAATTAACCAGGAAAAAATAGACACCTTTCTGATATTGAATCATCCCATCAATGGATATGGTCTATCTCTGTATTTATTCAGCTCTTCTTTCATGTCCTTCAATTAAATTTTATAATTTTCTTCATAACAATAACAACCATTTATATAGAAGTTAATATGTGCCAGCTACTGTTCTAAACACCTTATATTTGTAAACTCAATTAATCTTCCCAGCTTCCCTGTGAGGTGAATATTATTATTATCTCCCTTGTACAAATGAGGAAACTGAGGCACCAAGTGATCAAGTAATTTTCCCAAGCCAGGAAGCAGTAGGGCCATGACCTGAAGCCAGACAATCTGGATTAGGATCCTCTGCTGTGAACCACTGAACCACTCTCCTATACTACCTCCGAAAGGGCTGGTACATCTTTTGTTAGATTTTCTCTTAAGCGTCTTATAGATTTTACTGCTACTGTAAATAGGATTTGCCCCTTCTTACATGTTCTAATTGGTACTGTTGTTCAGTAGGAAGGCTATTGATTTCACTATGTTGTCCTGTGTCCAGCAATTTTGTTGAACTGTCACATGCTTCTAATAGTTTGAGAGCAGATTCTCTTGGATTTTCTACGTAGACAATTATGTCATCTGCAATTAAACACAATTTTGGCTTTTCCTTGCTGTCCTTAACCCACTTGCTGTCTAGTCGTTAGTTCCAATGCAAGGCAGTATTGAACAGCAGTGGTGGTAGGTTTCTTTGTCTTAGTTCTAGCAATGATTTCAAAGTTTCATCATGAAAAATGATGTTTGCTATCAGGTTTTGATAGATGCCCTTTCTCGGGTTGAGTAAATTCCTTTCCTGGTTTTCTGAGAGCGTTTCCTTAGAATAAGTATTAAAATTTGTCTAATGTGGATGCTTTTTGTTTGGCTGCTTGCTTTGTTTTGTGGTATCTATTAATAAGAATATGACTTTAGCCTTTAATCTATTAAAGAAGTAAATTAAGTTAACATTTTTTGTCTTTAACTATCCTGACATTCCTAGGGTGAACTTCACATGGTAATTAGATGACTGATAGATAAATGGATAGATAGATAGATAGATAGATAGATAGATTGATTGATTGATAGATAGACGATAGATAGAGCCATATTTGTTTTGCTAATATCTTTGAGTTTTGCACCTATGTTTAGAAGTCATATTGATTAATAATTTTCTTTTCTTGCAATTTTCTAGCAAGTTTGTACTAACATCATAAATTGAAGAACTTCCACTTTTTATGTTTTTATAGAATAGTTTGTGTTATTATAGAGATCATATTCCAAAGTTTCCAAAGTGGTTATATCATTTTACGTTCCCATCAGCAGTATATAAGAGTTCCAGTTTCTCCATATCCTCACCAAAATTTGGTATAGTCAGCCTTTTTAATGATAGCCATTCTAACAGTTATGTAATAGTAGTATCTCATTGTAGTTTCAGTTTGCATTACCCCCGTGACTAATGATGTTGCTCATCTTTTCGTGTGCTTATTTGCCATCTGTATATCATTTTGGTGAAATGTCTGTTCAGACATTTTGTCCACTTATTAATTGGGTTGTTTGCCTTCTTACTATTGAGTTTTGAGAATCCTTTATATATTCTAGATACAAGCCATTTATCAGACACGTGCTTTACAGAGAATTTCTGTCAGTCTAGGGCTTGTCTTTTCATTCTCTTAAGTGTCTTTCAAAAAGGAGATGTTTTTAATTTTGATGAGGCCAAATTTATTAATTTTTAATTTTATGCAACCTGCTTTCAGTGTCATATCTAAGATATTTTTGACTAACTGAAGGTCACAAAGGTTTTTACTCTGTTTTCTTCAACAACAGGGATTGGTAAACTACAGCTTGCAGACCAGCTGCGTATTTTTATATACAAAGTTTTACTAAAATACAGCCATATCTATTCATGTATTTTCTATGGCTTCTTTCATACTACAATAGCAGAGTTCTATCATTACAACAGAGTCCATATGGCCTACAAGCCTAAAATACTTACTATCTGGTCCTTTAAGAAAAAATTCTTCACCTCCTCTTCTAGAAGTTTTATAGATTTAGGGTTTATATTGAGATCTATGATCCATTTTGAATATTTGTATATGGTACAAAATATGGATTGAAGTTCATTTTCTACACATATACAATTGTTTTAGCACCCATTATCTAAATATTCTCCACTAAAGTGCATTTGAGTCTCTATTCAAAATCAGCTATGTCAGCTGCCATATATGCATGCATCTATTTCTGGACTCTGTATTGCATTCCCTTGATCTGTTAATCTATCTTGACACCAGTATCACTTGTATAAATTACTGAAGCTTTATAATAAATCTTGAAATCAGATCGTGTTAGTCCTCCAACTTCGTTCTTCTATTTCAAAGTTGTTTTGGCTATCCTAGGTCCTTTGTATTTCTATATGAATTTTAGAATGAGTTTTTCAGTTTCTTAAAAAAAAAAAACCTGTTCAGATATTGTTTACACTGTGTTGAATTTCAGATCAATTTGGGGGGAACTGCCATCTTAACAATATTGAGTCTTCCAATCCACTCCCATAGTATATCTCTCCACTCATTTAGGTCTTCTTTAATTTCTATCATCAGTGTTTTATAATTTTCAGTGCATAAGTCTTTCATGTCTTTTATCAGATGTATTCCTTCCTACCTCATATCATAACTGGTAGTTTTTAAGCTTCTATTCTGATTGAGCTTGTGCCTTGCAAACTTGTTAAACTCATTTATTAACTCTGGTAGCTTTTTTGTAGATACCTTTGGATTTTCTACATAAATAATCATGTCATCTGTGAATAAAGACAGTTTTACTTCTTCTTTTCTAATCTGAACATCTTTTTTTCTCTTTCTTGCTTTATTGCACTAGCTATAACGTCGAGAAGAATGTGTGCTGAGAGTAGACATTTTTGCCTTCTCCCAGTCTTAGGGAGAAAGCATTCAATCTTTCATTTAGCCTGTAGGTTTTTCTCATAGATGCTCTTTATCAAGTAGAGGAACTTCACTTCTATTCCTAGTTTCCTGACAGATTTTATCAATTTTATCAAGAATAAAGGTTGGTTTTGTCAAATCCTTTTTGTGTTTATTGAGATGATAGCATAGGTTTTTATAAATTGTTAATATGGTAAATTACATTGATAATTTTTGAAAGTTAAACCTACCATGCATTCCTGGGATAAACCCACTTGGCTATGATGTATTATCCTTTTTGTGTATTGTTAGATTGAATTTGCTAATAATTTTTTAATTCATGTACATGAGGACACGAATTTTTTCATAATGTCTGTCTGGTTTTGAGATCAAGGTAACTCTGCCCCACAGAATGATTTGGAAAGTGTTCTCAAGTTTTTGGAAGAGTTTATGTAGAATTAGTATTATTTCCTCCTTAAATGTTTACTGAAAGTCATCAGTAACGTCATCTGGGCCTGGAGTTTTCTTTGTGGAAAGGTTTTAAATTGTAAATTCAATTTACTCAATAGTTATAGGACTACTCAGGATATCTATTTCTTCTTCAGTAAGCTTTGGTAATTTGTGTCTTTCCAGGAATTTAACCATTCCCTCTAAGTTGTTGAATTTATTAGCAAAAAGTTGTTCATTATCTTCCCTTATTGTTATTTTAATGACTGCTGAATATATACTAATGTCACCTTCTCATTCTTGATACTGGCAATTTTATCTTCTCTCTTATTGTCCTGGTCAGTCTGGCAAGAGGTTTATCGATTTTACTGATAAAAATCTTAGATAACTTTTTAACCAATAAATAACCAACTTTTGGATTAATTTATTTTCTCTATTGTTTTTATTTTATATTTAGCCAATTTCTCTTCTGGTCCTTACTATTTCCTCTCTTCTGCTTACTTTGGGTTTAATTTGCTCTTCTTTTCCTAGTTTCTTAAGGTGGAACTCAAGGCCATTGATTAGGAACTTCCTTCTATTCCAATATACATGTTTAGTGCTGTAAATTTCCCTCTAAGTATGGTTTTAGCGACATCTCATAGATTTTGATACACTGTGTTTTCATATTCATTCACGTAAAAATACTTTCTAATTTCCCTTTCTTGGACACATGGGTTATATAAAAGTGTGTTTCATTGTTTCCAAATATTTGGAGATTTTCCAGAGCTCTTTCTGTTACTGATTTCTAATTTAATTCTATTATGACAGAACATACTTTTTGTGACTTGAGTCCCTTTACATTTATTGAGACTTGTTTCGTGGCCAGAATATGGCCTATTTTGATGAATGTTCGGTGGTGTGTACTTGAACATCTATTCTGCTGTTGTTGGGTAGCATGTTCTACAGATATAAGCCAGGTCCAGTTTGTTGATAGTGTTGTTCATATCTTCTATTTTCTTACACATTTTTTTGTTTACATGTTTCATCAATTAGTAAGAGAAGGTTATTGAAACCTCCAACTATAATTGTAGATTCATCTATTGCTTCTTGCAGTTCTATCATTTTTGCTTCATGTCTCTGATTAGGTGCATAAGCATTAACTTTTAATTAATTGTTCCCTTTATCATTATGAAATTACTTTATTTAACCTGGTAATATTCTTTACTGTGAGATCTACTTTGAGATTAATATAGCCACTGCAGCTTTCCTTTGATTAGTGTTAGTTAACGCAATATATCTTTTTCATTGTTTTACTTTTAACTCTTGTCTTTATATTTCAAGTGGGTTGCATGTAGGCAGCATATATTTGGGTCTTGCCTTTTCATCTGATCTGATGTCTTTTTATTGGGATATTTAGACCATGGCTGCTCAAAGTGATTATTGGTATGATTAGGTTTATATCTCTCATCTTGATATTCATTTTCCATTTATTCCATTTTCCTTTGTTCCCTTCTTTCTCCTTTTCTGTCTTCTTTGGGATTAATTAAGCATTGTTCAATTATTCCATTCTATCTACTTTCTGGCTTCTTAGTTACAACTCTTATTGTTTTAGTAGTTATTTTAAGGTTTACAGTATACATCTTTAACTTATCACAGTCTACCTTCAGGTGATATTATAGCATGTCAAATATAGATTAAGATACTTATACTTACTTATAATAGTATACTTCTATTCTCCCCTCTCAGCCTTTTTGCTATTATACAGTTTACTTTTATATATGTTATAAACCTCACACTACATGGTTATTATTTTGTGTCAAGAGCCAATTATACTTTAAAGAGATTAAAATAATAAGAGAAAATATCATATCCGACCTATGTAGTTACTACTCTGCTCTTTGATCCTTTGCATAGATCCATATTTCCATCTAGTATCACTTTCATTCTGTTTGAAGCACATCCTTTAACATTTCTTGTACTACAGGCCTGCTAGTTATGAATTCTTTAAGCCGTTATGTCTCAGAAGTCTATTTTGCTTTTATTCTTGAAAGATTATTTTCTGGGTATGAACTCTAGTTTGACTACTTTTTTTTAATTTCATGCTTTGAGGATATTGTTCCACTGCATTCTCACTTGCATTATTTTCTAGAGAAATCTGCTGTAATCCATATCTTTGCTGCTTTGTATATAACATGTTTTCCCCACCCCACGCCTTTCTCTGGCTACTTTAAGATTTTCTCTTTATTATTTTGGGCAATTTAATTATAATGTGCCTTAGTGTGGTTTTTTCCCATTTTTATTGTGCTTGTGGGGCAATGAAATTCTTGTATCTGTGGGTGTACCATGTTCATCAAATTTGGAAATTTGCCAGCCATTATTTCTTCAGATATTTTTCTGTCCCTTCCTCTCCTCTCTTTCAGAAACCCCAGTTATACATATATTACGCCTCTTAAAGTTGTCTCAACTCAATGAGAAAGTCTCTGTTTCTTTTTAAAATTTTTGTTCTTTTTTTATCTTTTTACTCTCTATATTTCTTTTTGGATAGTTTCTATTGCTGTCTTCAAGTTAGCTAATCTTTTGTTCTGCAATGTCCTCTCTGCTGTTAATCCTATCCAGTGTGTTTTTCATATTATACATTGTAATTTTCATCTGTAGTAGTTTGATTTATGTCTTTTCTATATCCTCCATGTTGATTGTATGTCCAATCTTTCCTCTAGCTTTTAGAACATACAGAACATGATTATAATAAGTGTTTTGATGACCTTGTCTGCTAATTTTAACATCTGTGTCAATTCTGGATCAGTCTTAACTGATTGACTTTTCCTTCATTATGATTTGCATTTTCCTGCTTCATTGCATGGCTAGTAATTTTTTACTGGATGCCAGACTTTGTGATTTTTGCCTTTTAGGGTGCTGGATTTGTTTGTATTCCTATAAATATTCCTGAGCCTTGTTCTGAGATGTAGTCAACACATTTATAAACAGTTTGATCCTGGCCAGGCATGGAGACTCATGCCTCTAATTCTACCACTTTGGGAAGCTAAGGTGGGAGGATCACTTGAGCCCAGGAGTTCAAGACCAACCTAGGCACCATAGTGAGAACCTGTCTCTACAAAAAATGGAAAAATTGGCCAGGCATGGTGGCATGTGCATGTAGTCCCAGCTACTCAGGAGGCTGAAGCAGGAGGATGGCTTGAACTTGGGAGATCAAGGCTGCTGTGAGCCATGATTACACCACTGCACTCTAGCCTGGGTGACAGAGCAAAACCCTGTCTAAAAAAACAAAAATGAAACAGTTTCACCCTTTCAAAAGTTTTGCTTTGATGATTTGCTAAGGATGCTTGCAGAAATTATCAATCTAGGACTAATAATTTCCTCCTACTGAGGCAAGACTTTCCTGAGTTGTCTACCCAATTTCCTGTGAATTACAAGATTTTCCAGTCTGGCTGGTAAGAGCAGGCACTACTCCTGACTGTGTGCGTGCTCTAAGTACTGGTATCACAGGTCCTTTTGGGGGTTCTTTCCCTGACTGTGTAATTTCCTTGCATGCATGTGCTGATCATTACTCAACTGAGCACTCAAGTTGGACTTCTGCATAACTCCAGAGCTGTCTTTCTTTGCAGCTCTCTCCATTCCATTAGTCTGCCTGTGAAATCCAGCCACTTTGATCTCCCCAGACTCAGCTCATTCTTTCAACTCGGGGGTTCCAGCAGACTCCAGTGGGCAACCTCTCCCTGCAACGTGGCCAGGAATCTCTCAAGGCAGTAAGCTGGAGCAGTCCTTGGCCTCACCTTGTTTATTTCCCATCATTCAATGATCACTTTCATGTCTGATGTCCAATTGCTTGAAAATCCCTGTTTCATTTGTTTCATGCCATTTTTTTTACTTGTTTAAGGTGAGAAGCTAAGTCTGGTCCCTGTTATTCCATTTTGGCCAGAAGCCTAGCAGCTCCATTTTAAGCCCTGAACCCTCCCTCCACATCGGGCTTCAGGTAAGTGGCAGGTACCTCCTATTCCTCCTCATGCAGAGATGGGATTCCCAGCATAGCCCTCTCCAAAGCAGTATGCTCCACAAAACTCCTTTTATTATGCACCCCTCAACCCTTTCATACCCTGCCTGTCAGTAAAGAGTGGGAGCATCCTTGCAACAAACTTTTGACAATTTTCTTTGAAAATACTTCTTCAACTAATTCCTCACTTTAATGTGTCATATTTATTTTATTTGGTTATCTCAGTGAGAATTGAAGGCACTGATATACCTAGCGCCTGGCACATCATGGGTGCTCAGGGAGTCTCTATTGCCCTTAACTTTTTCAGATTCTGCCAGTCCACTACTCAACAAGTGAGCCGAGTCTTGTGGGGATTGAGATTCACAGAGAAGCACCTCTTTGCCATACCAGGTAGGACAGGAAACCACCTGTTACCACCTGAATTAATTGCATCCACTATTTTCGAACTTAATACCAAAGAGAAATGGATGGTGTAACTTTTTACCCCATACACTGGATTCAAGAAAAATAAATGGGCATAGAGCTAATCCCTCCCCTAGGCCAGCCTTGGGGAAATTTGGAAAACAGGCAATTAAGCATGATCGAGCAGTTTGGCCCAGGAGGAAAATGACCTCCGCCTGCACATTGCTCTCTAGTGATCAATAATTCACAGCACTTGCCAGCCATGTGTGCAGCCCCCAGGCATCCGTCCCTCCCACCAGCTGGTTCAGCCCTTTCAAGAGGTGCCCAAAGGCCTGATGCTCATCCCCACCTCCCACCTGGGCCTGGCCATGTCAGGAAAACAAGACTCCAAGCCTTTTGTGGGCAGGTTCCTGGGAGCGCTCATCTGGGACTTATGTCCTCCATCTATAAAGGGACTGCAGGGAATGAACTCTACCCAGCCTTCAGCAGGGAGATGGCATTCATCTTTCCCACTGGCATTTCCAAGCCATCCTCTCATGACACTTCCTTCATGGAGCCTTCCTTGATTACTTCTGTGCTTCGAGTCATCATTAAGTCCATACCACAGTTATTAACTATTCATTAATTTTAAAAATGATTGCTCACAAATTAAATATCAGGACTACAGGACATACTGGAGCAGAAACCAATGAACAGCACCCAATCGTGCCTTGAGGGCTCCAGGAAGCCACAGTCCTGAGAAACAGATGGACAGGGGAACCAGATGGGACAGGTGGGACAGAGGAATGGGGAAACATGACTGCAAACCACATCAGCCACATCCCCTAGAGTGAGGTGGGGAGGAAGACCCATGCTGTCTCACCACTCCAGGGAGAGCGGACGCATCAGGGCACAGTGTTAGGGAAGCTCTGCATCTCTCAAGATATTCTGAAAAGGAACATCAGCCATGGCGAGAAGCCGAGGTTGCAGCCCCGCTCCCATGCCGCACCCTGGGCAAACACTCCTCAAGCAGGATTTCACTCCACTTCCACACACCCTGTGGGTAGGGACTCTTAGTGTCTCCCTTTCACAGATGGGAAAACTGAGGCTTAAAGAGGTTAAGCAACCTCAGCCAGGTCACACATGAGCAGTGGATAAGACCTGACGCCAGGAGGCCTGGCTGCAGAGCTGTGCCCCAGACCTCTCCTGAACGCGGGGCACCACCCCACGTAAACCCTCTGCCACAGCCCCAATGCTCCAGGGCCCTGCTCTGTGTCACTCACAGATCTGTTTTATCCCATTTCCCCCACTGTAATGTCATCTCTGTGGACAGGGATTTTTGCCTGTTTTGCTCACTGTGTTGTGTACCCTAGTGCCTGGTGTGTGGCAGGAATTTGTATTGTTGGGTGAATTTGTGGATGAATGGATGATCAAGGAGGCCAGTAAGTGGCTCAGGTGGTCAGCCCCTCATCCTGCCCCTCCCCAACATCTCTGTGCCTCCTGCATGATGGTGGCACAGGCTGGCCAATGAGCTTCTGCATGGAAGATGGGGCAGGCTACTGGGGTATGTCATGGTGGGCCAAGCCAGGGGGCCATGTAGGGTGGTGGAACCAGTCCAGGTATTCCCTTGGGGAACCAGAGGGTTGAGTCCAGTGGGGCTATCAGAACCCACAAGGCCTTGAGAACCAAAGAAGTGATGATTGGTTCAAACAGGAGGGTGGCAAGGCCAGGCCATCATGGGGCAGGTCTCTGGAGGGGGCCAGGCTGGAACTGGGCCAGTGATATAAGTTGGCTCTATGTCCCCACCCAAGTCTCATGTCAAATTGCAATCCTCAATGTTGGAGGAGGGGCCTGGTGGGAAGTGATTGGATCATGCGGGCAGACTTCTCCCTTGCTGTTCTGGTGATGCTGAGTGAGTTCTCATGAGATCTGGTTGTTTAGAGGCATACGGCACTTCCCCCTTCTCTCTCTCTCTCCTGCTGGCCATGTGAATATGTGCCTACTTCCCCTTGGCTTTCTGCCACGATTATAAGCTTCCTGAGGGAAGCTTACTACCCATATTTCCTGTACAGCCTGCAGAATTGTGAGTCAATTAAACCTATTTTCTTAATAAATTACCCAGTCTCAGGTAGTTCCTTATAGCAATGCGAGAACAGACTAATACAGCCGGGCTCCATCCACTGGCTCTGCTGCAGGGCCTGAGTAAACTACTGTCCTCCAGGGACCGGTAACACCAGGGACAATAAGGAGGCTTAATCAGGATCCTCTGATTGCAAGTGACAAAAAGCCAGCCTAAATTAGCTTAGCAAAAAAGGGGACACAATTCCAGGCCCTGACAGTGGGCCCTGGGGCTTAAACTCCATGGGACCCTCTCTGCCTCTCCTCTCTGTTTCTCTCATGGGGTGGACACAGCCAGTAGCAGCTCCAAGGACATGTCCCACAGTGCCTTGGCCAGAGCCAGAGAAGGTATCACCACCCACTGCAATCCAAAAACCCAGGATGGACTCCAACAGGGTCAGCCGGGGCCCCTGCCTACCCATGGCCAACCCCACAGACAGGGAGGTCTGGTCTTCAGCCTGTCCAGGGTCGTGGTGCTGAAGACTTGATGGGGTAGGGGATGCTATAAGAGCCTCCCCCCGAGTGCTCTGGCGTCTTTCTGCATTCCACTCCAAGGCCTCTGCCCACACCACTGGGCCTGGAGCGCATGCTCAAGTGTGAGTGAAAGTCAGTGGCCCCACGCCAACCCCCCACCCATCTGAACTGATAATCCCTGGAGAACTACTGCTGTTTTTTAGAGATCAGTTCTGGAGCCCTCTGTATAATTCTCAGTAGACTGGAGCCCTCATCCCTACAGCAGGGACTCGAATGATGTGCCCTAGGATCTCATCCCAAATAAACTGCCTGCACCCACATGCCAGGCTCAGGCACTACTTTCATGGAATGCAAACTAAGAGACACCACAGAGAGGAGACCTGGGGTTTGGAGAACACACAGCAATGACACAGGTGCATACCGCTCCAAAAGGAGCAAGCCAGCCTTTGGCAGGAGGGAGGCCTGTCAAAGGCATGGGCCCCAGGTATGGGACTGAACTTCAGGGTTAGGATTCTGACCTGCCAAGACAATGATGTCCTCCCAGTGGCCTGGGGACCCTATAGGATCTGCTTCCCCTCCCCAGTCTCCCTCCTCACTCCATTCCAACACACCAACCTCCCAGCTGTTCCTCCAGCTCAACATGCATACCCTGCCTCGGGGACTTTGCATCTGCTATTTCCTCCCCTGGGCCATTCTTCCCTCAGATACCTGCAAGCCTCGGCCCCTCACTTTGCACAAGACTTGACTCAAATGTCACCTTCCTAATGAGGCCAACCAGGTTCCCCCTACCTGCAATTGCAACCAGCACGCCTGCCATCCACCCACCCACACACAAGCACACACGCACGCGCGCGCACATACACACACCCCTCCTGGTCCCCCTTTCTGGGCTTTGCTTTAAAATTCGTTGTTTATCAGGACTATTGTCTGTCTCCCTCAATCAGAATGTCAGCTTCAGGGAGCTGGGGTGGGGGGCGTGTGGACATGGAGGAGAGTCTGGGGGCTTCTGTCTTTTTCACTGTCCTATCCCAAGCAGGCCACACAGGAGGTAGCAGCACAGCTTAGCAAAGGCATGGTGCTGGGGAGAGGTGGGAGTTGTGTGCAACATAAAAATGGCACAATGCATCCTGCCCATCAAGATGACACACTCCGTACATCTGGTACACTAACAGTGCTGTGTTAGAAATCTGACACATACTAGATCGATCTAGTGCAAAATGAAAGATAAATTTATGCCAGTGCCTTCCTGAAGGAGAAGCCCGTGTCTGTAGCCAGCTCTCCACACCCGCAGCGGAACACACCCTTGAAGGACGGCAGACACGGAGGGGTGGACCTGGCTTCGCCCTCATTGCTCCCAACAGTTCCCTGTCTTCTGGTTTGCATTTAAATCCACGCCCAGCCCCCACCCTGATTAATGGTTTTCTCTTTCTGTCGACTCTTTAGTCGGGAGCCGTAGCTTTAAAATCACACAGCCTCGGTGTATTCTGTTACCTAGCAACAGCCATAAATCAACAGAACATGCTGGAATGTTAAAGCAAACCTTCCTGGCTGTTAGATGCGTTGGCCTTTTTTAATCCAAACATGCTCATTTGCCCCACGCCTCGGCTACACCCAGCTTCGAGCCTGCAGCGTACCTGGGTTTGCACATTTTTTAAACCACCTTAGGGTCTGTCTGATTTTTCCGCCTGAGTCTTTTGTGCTTTCTTGGCACTCTGGCCAACACCCAGGGACAGGATCAGGCAGGCTCTGCTGACACGGCTGGGGCAGGACCCATTGGTCTAGCCTGAATGCCTCCGTCTCAGCCCTACAGCCAGGGGGCCCATACCAGCCCTGCAGTATCTAGAAACACAGGGGACGCAGGAGATCCTGGTTCCTTACCATAGGTCCCCAAATCGCCGTCAACCTGGTCCGCTGGGTGGGTTAATATGGGTGTGAAGGCCCTCCCCGGGGTGTCCAGGGGAATCCCTCACTCTCCCCACATTGGACCCTCTAACACATTCAATCATTCATTCACTTATTCAACAGACAGGAACACAGCACCTCCCGCATGCCAGGCCTTGCCCTCAAAGAGCTTGCATCCTACTGGGGCAAGGAGCTGAATGTAACACCGAAGCACTGGTCTCCGAGACGGAGGGCCACCTGGACCACACGGGTGCCAGATGCCCAGAATACAAGAGGGAGTGACACAAACCCAGCCCCTAACTCAGACACTCACAGCCCAGGTGGAGGCCAGCAAGCACCCAGGGCACCAAGCACACGCGGCACGCCGTCCAGGTGGGAGCCCCGGGCACAGGGAGGCATCAGCTGGGAGCAGGGCAGACAGGCATCCTGGGACACAGGTCAGGGATGCATGGGAAGGGAGAAGGCCATACTTGGCCCTTCCTGGAGTGTGGCTGGAGAGCCTGGGGCCAACGCTCATGCAACTGCACCCAGCTGCTGCTGCCAGGGTGGAAGCAAGGGGAAACCTGAGTAAAAGGGTTTTATTCAGAGAACTCTCCTGGCTGCCCTGTCCAGAGGCTGCCCTGAGACCAGGATGGTGGTGGCCTGGCCCAGGAACATACTGTTGGGAGGACTCTGCTGTCCCTGTGACAGGGGAAGCTGTCCACGCAGCGAGGTTGCTGGAGGAAGAGCAACTTGGGGAGGCCAACAAGCTGGTGGGCACAGCCTGCCAACACCCCATCCCACAGCTGAGGGCCCTGCCTCTCCTACCCATCCAGCCTGCCCTGCCAAGGGGCTACGTGGCCTCCACAGCCAGCATGAAGTCCTCAGGCTGAGAGCCACAGTGTGGGGTGAGTATCAGGGCCACACAGCCTGGTCCACTCTGCCACTCGCATGTCTGCCACACCTGGGTCCACCCAAGTGACATCAAGCCATCGTCGGCACAGGGAATGCCATATGGCTATCGAGGAGGCTGGAAGGACAGTTGGCCCCAGAACACAGCAGCTGGGGCAGGCCTGGGGCCCATGCAGACCAGCACCCACGAAAACAGTGTCCCGGGCACTCCCAGATCACCGGTGCCTGGCACAGTACCTGGCATGCAGAGGGGCTCGCAACCTGGGGATGAGTGTGACAGCTGCCGGATCCCACCTGGGATGAGCCATGTCCCTGCCCGCCCCCACACTCTATGTCCTCCTGGTGAGGGAACAGGCACGGGATCAGGTCTGGGTTCATCCCATGCTCTGGCAGTGATTCCAAGAGAAAGCAACATTGCACGAGGGTGACAGTGAGGTGAGGATACTTTCTCCACCTGGAAATGGAGATAGTAGGTCACTGAGCCTTCCTCCAGGGGATGTGGTGAAAATCAGCTAAAAGATGCCAAGGCGCTTTGAAACAGAACTGCTGCCGGGAGGGAGAGGAGGCTCTTCGGCTGGCCCTTCCGAGTTTCTCCTGCTGGATAACTTTTGCGTGGTGTATGAGTTCCCAGGCTGCCATTATAAATTACCACAAAGTCTGTGGCTTAAAACAACAGAAACATGTCCTCTCACAGTTCTGGATGCATCTTAGAGGGCTAAAATCAAAATGTTGGCAGGGCCAGTGCCTTCCAGAAGCTTCAGGGAGACTCTGTCCCAGGGCCCCCTCCCGGCTCTCCATGGCGGCACTCCTTGGTGCCCCTTGGCTTGTGAACACATCACCCCAGTCTCTGCCTCCTCCTCTGTATCTCCCTAACCCCCCTCTCTTTTCTCTTATGAGAACACCAGTCATGGGATTTAGGACCAGTTACCAGAGAGCAAAACCAGGACAATCTCGTCTTGAGATCTTATTTAATTACTTCTGCAAAGACTCTTATTTCCAAATGTGTCACATTCACAGTTACTGCAAATTAGATCTTGGACATATTTTGCGGGGGGGCAAAGTTCAGCCCTCTATTTATGGAAAGAAAATCCTAACTTTGAAAGAAACACATTCATAGTGTGAAAATAATCAGACCAAAGAATCATCCCATCTGGACCCCACCAGCCCAGGCCTCTGAGGATGGGATTTACTGAGAGCTGATCTGTGAAATGGACGCAACAGAGGCTTTGCTTGGACACCCATCCTTGCATTTCCAGTGAACACCCACCTACAATCAACATGTGATGAAGGGAGGAGGGAAGGGCCATGTTAGGGGAAGAAGAGCCAAGTCTAGGTGTGAGTCCATTTGGAATCATGGATATTCCCTAGGCACCTTCTGTGCGTTAAAGTCTGTGATAGGCTGGACACAGTGGCTCACGCCTGTAATCCCAACATTTTGAGAGGCTGAGGCGAGTGGATCACCTGAAGTCAGGAGTTCAAGACCACCCTGACCAACATGGTGAAACCCTATCTCTACTAAATACAAAAAATTAGCCAGGTGTGGTGGTGCATGCCTGTAATCCCAGCTACTTGGGAGGCTGAGGCATGAGAATCACTTGAGCCCGGAAGGTGGAGGTTGCAGTGAGCCGAGATTGCGCCACTGCACTCCAGCCTGGGCAACAAGAGCAAAACTCCATCTCAAAATAAATAAATAAATAAATAAATAAATAAATAAATAAAGTCTGTGATGGACACAGGGAGTGTGACGATGCCATACGTATGGACGGGGGTGGGAGGGCCATAGTAAATAGCAGGGCAGGTATAAGAGCGTGATCCATAGACTGTGCCAAACAACAACTGCCCTCTCTTCCTGAGGGATGGAGAAGTTCCATAGGCCTTTAAGGGGACAATGCTTGATCTGAGTCCACACCTGAGCAGCAGTCATTCAGGGAAAAGAGGGAGGAGGCACCCCAACTGAGGAAACAGCACCATGAGCACCGGCAGGACACCCAGCAGCAGGGTGTGATCATGGGTGCAAGAGGAAGAGTGGCCAGCTACTTATTTTCAGAAGAGAAATAGATGGAGGTGGCAGGGAAGTGGGGAAAACGTGCCCTACCAGATAGCAAGGTTGTCACAATACTTAAGGCCGTGTGATATTGGTGCAAGGACAGACAAACAGGCCCACAGAACAAAATGGAATCCACACTGTGCATATCAGGAAATGGCAGAGTACAGAGAGGATGTTCCAGACCAGTGGGAACAGGTAAACCATTTACTCGGTGGTGCTGGGAGATTGTTTTCCTTTTGGAAAAGAAAAAAAAATTAAAATCCCTACCTCAAACCCTAGACAAAAATAAATACTAAGTAAACTAAAGATTTAACCATGAAAAGCAAAACTGAAAAACTTGTGCAAGACATTATAGAAAACTTGTTATTATAACCCTGGGCTAGGATAAGACTTCTTCAGCAAGCCCAAAGTACAAACCATCAACAGAGCATTGCCTTCTGCTACATTAAAATCATCATAAAGCGAAAAGACAAGCTACATGCAGGGAGAATGCATTTGCCACAGCTAAAATGAACAATGATTAACAGAGAAAGTACACAAGGCCCTTCAAGATGGCAACAAGAAGTCAAAGGACCCAAAAAGAGGGTTTGCACAAATCAGGGAACAGTGTTTTCTAGAAGAGGTCATGAGAAGTGCCTTAAAACATATGAAAGGCTCTGCAGGGAAATGGAAATTAAAATCACATGAGAGACCATTAGCAGTCACCAGATTGGCAAAATCTAAAAGCCTGCGAATGTGGAGAGCTGGCGAGGACTTACAGCATCCATACGCTGTTGGCTTTGGTGCCAGTACATACAGTAAAGCTGACGTGCACACCCAAACCCCAGCAATTTCTCTCCAGTAAACACCCTAGTGAAACTCTTAGAGTCCAAATCTTGGGAGACACGATCGTGCAAATAAGGGAACAGGGCACAGCCATAGAAATTAGCACATCACCCTACACACATCGACAAGGAATACGAAATGAAGGAAGCCAGGTTCCTGAAGAACACACACAGCATGTTCCATTATATAAAAATCCAAAATCTTTGCGCAGCTCAACACTAGATGGTTTAAGCCTATATCTTTGTGATGCAACTTAAAACCAGGCAATGGTGGAATTAATATTAGGACAGTGGTTACTTTCATGGGCAGGGAGAAACTCAGAGAATAGTAGGCTCAATGCTAAGCACGGATCCACAGATGCTGCAATTTATTACCATGCTCCACAACCTACACAAATGATGATACAGTCTGTTGTATGTATCAAATATTTCATAATTTTAAATGCATAAAAATAGAAATTTAAAGTATCAAGGATTAAAAAAATAGCAATGGGGTGGAGATAATTCATTGGGTGTGCCGTGAATACTAATGAGGGTCAGCAGTTTGGAAAGGGGACCATGGGAGGTGACACCCTGCAGTGCGAGCTCCAAGGTGGAGGAGCTGGTGTCTATGCACGGTGACGTTGGGGAGCAACAGTTCACTCACCCAGACGGCAAACCCACCCACTGAGCCCAGTGAGCTCCCGGGCTGTGCTAGGGCCTGCACGGGGACATGAGTGACTCAAACAGTCATCAATGGGGAAAAGGACTCTTCTCAAGCCTTGAACATTGCCATGTTTCTTGATGGGGCTGGTATTGAAATGGGGGTCCCTGAATCTACACCTCTGATCTTTTTGGTGACAGAAAAGGCAGCTAGACAGTATCATATTCTTCTCCCTCTCCCCTCTCTCTCCTCTCTCCCCGTCCCTCTCCCTCTCCCTCTGGAACTTCATCTAACTTGGGAGACATACCCAAGTTAGACAGCTCAGGGCAAAGCGGACCACACAGCCAGTCTGGCAGGCAAAAGTGGCCAGGACGTGGTGCCCAAGGCAGATTGGGAGGGGAAAAGCAAACCAGGCGGCTACTCCTGCTTTCAGGTGCCCTCACTAGGCTGGGGACCTCAGGAGCTGGGACTCCTTCATCCATTCAGTGCTTGGGTGTGTTGAGTGACTAAACAAAAAACCCAACTATGAGCAGCCCAGGGGAAGGACTGACTCACCCATCTCCAGTCCTCCCAGGTGTCTGGCTCAGGAAATATTGAGGGAATCAGATAGGCATGAAGTACATTCTGGAGCACTGTGGAGCGCAACCCTGCCCCCTTCAGCCTCACCCCACCCCATCCTTCTCTCCCTTCGGCTGCATGAGTCCTCTCGCAGTGCCTCCGACAGGCCACACACAGTCCTACCTCTGGACCTTCACACCTGCCTAGGCAGGGTACTTCCTTCAAGACCAGACGCTTGGCACCCTCATTGGAAAGGGATTTTCAATGTGATGTTTTCCTCCCACATTCTTGTCCTTCCCTCCAATGTTGGCCAAAGTGTGCTGACGAAAATGCATCAAGGGCTCAGTTCTGCCTAATGGGTCATCTAGGGTTTTATAAAGCAGGAGGAGATGATTTTTTTTGTCTTTTCAAACTTGCTGCGGAGTGGTCATTTCTGTATATAAAAATTTGTAATATTTAAGGTATATTTATCTTACTGTTCTGAATAAACAGAATGGACCATTGAACCATAAAAAAAAAAAAAACAACTCCTACCCCAGACACCTGCTGGGCTCCCTCCTTACTTCATTCAGCTGCCTGCGCCCAAGGTCCCTTTCTCCACTGACCACCCAATGCAAGGGTATGCCCCTCCCCACCAAGCCACTCTCCTTCCTCCTTCCAGGCTTCCTTCCCCTTTCTTCTTCCAAGTTTTTACACCACCAGTGATTAGACACAGGAATTATTTGTTGATCCATGTATTTCTGCCTGCTCCCACTAGTTGTGAGCTTCAGGAGGAGGAAACTTCTGGCTTTTTTCACCACTGTGTCCCCAGGCTAGAAATGTTTGTTCCTAACAACACCAGGTCCTTAATCAACATGAAATGAATTAAGATTGCAGTGGCAGAAGGTATTTTATTTATTTATTTATTTTTGAGACAGAGTCTCACTCTTGTTGCCCAGGCTGGAGTGTAATGGCGTGATCTCGGCTCACTGCAACCTCCACCTCCCGAGTTCAAGCGATTCTCTTGTCTCAGCCTTCCGAGTAGCTGGGATTATAGGCGCACACCACCATACCCAGATGATCTTTGTATTTTTAGTAGAGATGGGGTTTCACCACGTTGGCCAGGCTGGTCTCGAACTCCTGACCTCAGATGATCTGCCTGCCTTGGCCTCCTAAAGTGCTGGGATTACAGGCGTGAGCCATTGCACCCGGCCAGCAGAAGGTATTCTAGAAGGGTGAAGATGAGAAGACAGGAGTCACCCTAACCCTATTTGATCTCATCCACTCCAAGCTGTCGGCCTTGGACCTACCATCATTTGGAAGGGGCCCATCACAGGGGACCCCCACCTTGGCCAGAGTCATCCCAGGAGGGACCCAGGACATTGCCAAAGAACCTGCTTTCATGGTTGTGTGTGACCAGGAAGGAAAGAGGGGGGTTCATTTGAGCCAAGTCCTGGGGTGCATCCGGGGCCCTGGACCCCAAATGACAAATAGCCCAAGGGCCTTGCATGGTACATACCCTGTAGGTGCCCCAGGATTAACGGTTCAAACACCCTGAAGCTGGGGACAAATTGCTCTAATCTGAGGAATTATCTAAAACCCTGCAGGGCCCTGAGGGAGCTGGGTGTTCATGATAATAAAAGCTGACACGGGAAGAGTGGCCACATTAACCACAGGGCTGCGAAGCCGTCGCACGGCACACATCCACACAGGAGAGGCAGGGAGCAGGAAGCCTCTCTGGGCAAGACGGCAGAATGCCTGCCTGCTGCCACACAGCCAGGCAAGCTGCCCAAACAGATCCCGCAACTCTGGGGGAAGAGAGAATCATTGTGATCCAAGGCTTTTTTAAGTTGGAATAATTAACTATAAATTATTCAGTGATCTGGGATGCTGTTTTGTGACAAATGTAAGCCCAAACTCTGCATTTGCTCTGTGCCTAGGATGCTGTTTTCCGATTGCTGCACATCTAACCCAGCTGCTGCCATAAAATGTAATTGGCAGACACTGGAAACAGATGAGGCAATCACCCATCAGGCCTGGGAACCACTCTGATAGTGGGACCTGATGGGCTGGCACAGGGTGCACCCTGTGAACAGACAAGCCTCATCTGCATCAGGGATGGAGCAGATACCAAGAATACAGGAATGGGGGCTGAAATCACACCCCCTCTCAATCCAGAAAATGCTGACGGAGACCCTCCGAGTTTCCCAGCCCAGTTCTCAAGATTGACTGGGATGGGTCAGCTGGGGGACCATGCCCCTTCGGAAATCCCCCAGGGAGGAGAATCTCATGGGCACTTAGAGGTTGATGCACATTAGCACCATTAATCCTTGTAACACTTTCATTCATTCATTCATTCATTCATTCATTCAGTGGGTTGACACTGGGCTAGCATCTAGAGAAGGAAGCAATGGGGGAAAGGAGGTCCTTGTCCCATGAGGAAGGCATGCGTGTTGGCCCATTTTACAGACGAAGAAGCCATGGCTTAGGGTGGCCTGGCCTTCCAGATACTCACTCTCTACCTGGCCCTGCTGGCCCTCAGTCTGCTCTCTCAACCACGAGGACCTCAGCCTCCAGAGGACAGATGGAGCACCTGGTCCAAACAATGGCCTATGACAGGTCCCATAAGGAGAGAGACCCAGTATCTTTGTCTTTTTGGTCCCAGAGCTCAGCAGAAAGCCCAGCACATAGCAGGTGCTTAGAAAGCATTTGCTGAACAAATAAATGAAGAATTGGAGATGGAAGAGGATTTGGTCTGGAAAAAAGATGCCCAGGGGCATGTCTCTGTCCTCAGGTGTCTAAAGGGCCACCAAACAGCACTAGGAACCAGCCTGTTCCACGCGATCTGGAGCAGGATAGGGAGTGGGTTTCTAGGGGATGAGGACGAATGGATGCAATGTGTTTCTTTTCCATGTAAGAATAAGCATATCTGTGATCAGAGCCCCTCAGGGTGGGGTAAATGAGTCCCACCTTCGGGAGCTATGCTTCTTGGTCACTGGGGACCGTCAAGCCAAGCCACAACTGAGCCTAACTTGAAGTCCACAGGGGCTTTCCATATGCCGGGGAAATCCTCTGGGACTTCACCTTAAAAGAAACAAGCGAATCTCCCCTCTGGTCTGTGATGTACGGTGCAGCTGTGTGGACTGAACAAGCAAACACAGGCAGGGTGTCTGAAGGATGGTGACTGTGGTGTGGCCTCAGCCCCGGGTGAGTCCCTCCCCTGCCCTCCTTCCCTTCTTCCTGCCCTCCCTCTGTCCCTCCCTTTTTCCCTCTCTCCCTCTCTCCCTCCCTCCTTCCCTGCTTCCTTCCTTCCTTCCTTTTTCCTTCCTTTTATTCCATAACATTTATTGAGTTCCCACACATGCCACACCCAACCTGTGCTAGGTCCTGGCATTTCTTCTAGGGGGCTAGAAAGACAATTAGTCAATCAATCAATCAGTTCCAGATACCCTGGAAAAGACCAGGCAGGGTAATAGGATAGAGGGACTTTGCACACTTCCTGACCCCCTCCTTCCAATGAGGGTCTATTTTCATTTTATCCGAGCAATACCCAACATTTGCACTATTCTAATTTTCAGGCCTCCAGTCACTGGAGCCGAAAAACCTTGGAGATGTCCTGGATGCCTCTTTCTCTCACACCCACATCTAATGCCCTGGCTCTGCCTTCAAACAGTATCCCAGACCCGGCCGCTATTGCCACCTGCACCCCTCCCCTCTGCTATACTGCTGTCACCCTGGGCTGCACATTCCAGAAGCGTCTTCACTGGCTCCCACTTCTCAGCCCTTCCTCACTGCTGTCTGTTCTCAACACCTGTCCAGAGCAACTCTCCTTAAACTAATGTCCAAATCTTCCAATCCATGCCACTGCTGCAGACTTTAACAGCTTCCTGTCCACTGCAGCAAACCCAGATTCCACACAGTGGCCCAGGGACCCCAGGTCATCCACCCATGGCCTGCCCCAGCACTCCTCGGACCTCATGACCTCCTCCCTTCCTCAGCCCACCCCACTCCAGCCACACCTCAGGGCCTTTGCAGCCACTGTTCCCTCTGCCTAAAATGTTGTTGCTCAGATATGCACACATTCACTCAGCCACCACCCTGGAGTCCCTTGATATTCCTTCTTAGCAAAGCCTCCCCTGCCCAGCCAGTTTTCAGTAGAAGCCCATTGCCCAGTTGCCTCCCCTCCCATCACTTTTCTTGGCCTTCTTTTTCTCCCTGACACTCAGCATCTGCTAGCATAGTATAGGTGACACCAATGGGACCTGTTTCTATTTACTGTATGTGTTTTGTTCATGACAGTATTCCCTGTGAACGGTAGCCCTTGTATCCCCTATTTACAGGCTCATGGGAGACCCCATAAATAACCAATTTGACAGTTTTGTGTGAAGTCCCAGACACTGACCCAAGAGAAAAAAACTTATGTCCATACAGACTTATGCATAATGTTTATGGCAACTTCATTCCTAACAGACAAAAACCTGTAAGCAAACCTAAACATCCATCAGCAAAAGAATGGACAAGTACACTGCATAGACATAACAGTGGAATACTACTTGGCAATTAAAAAAAAAAAAACAAAAACTGAGAATTCTGCTTCTAGCAATGCTAAGAAATGCAAAGTAGGTCCTATCAGACCAACCCTCCCACAAATAACAACCATGAACTCTGGACAAAATATAAAAAGTAACCACCTAAGGCACCTAAGGGCAATCAAAAGCAGGTGGGTACTGGAGGGGCCAACTCATGTAAGAAGGGAAAAGCACCAAATGTTTCATGCTTTGTGGCAGTTGGCCTGAGAGCAGTCCTCCTCCTGCACCATTCAGAGAGCTACAACTGTGATAGAAATCTCCCATCTTAGTGGCCTTAAGAAGTAGCTGACAGCATGTGGGGCAATCTTGGCTACTGGAATCTGGCAGGGAATGAGGAGGAAGAAAGATGAGGAGCACCAAGTCCCATGTATGAAGTCAACCCAGATCTCTGTCTTCTCAGGACAGATGTCAAACAGTCCACCAAAGGCTAAAAGAATTAAATGGAGGATTTAGCTGCTACCTTCTGCAAGGGGGACATTTTACAGTCTGAGTACAGCCAACTTAACTGCCTATAACAAAAAAACAATACTCTTGGGAGTAACATAATAGAACCCAGAGTGTCTACAATGTACTGCTCAAAAATTCAGGGTACAAATCAAAATTAATTGATGTAAGAATAAATAAAACCCAAAAGAAAAAAAAAATCAACTGAGATGGACCCCAAATGCTGGAATTGGCAGACAATCATTTTAAAGCAGCTATTTGTACTATGCTTAAGAATGTAAAGGAAAATAAAATCATAATGAATTTAAAAATAAGTAGTCTCAGCAAAGAAATAGAAACTACTAAATAATAAATTAAATGGAAAATCTAGAACTGAAAAATACACTACCTGAAATTTTAAAAATTCACTGGATATACTAAAAAGCAGATAACAAATTCCAGAAGAGTCAGTGAAAGTGAAGGGAGATCGACAGAATTTTTACTCTATCTGAAAAACAGAGGAGGGAAGTTAAAATAATAACCCAGCCTCAGGAACCTGTGGGCCAAACACCAAACAGTCTCCCATGAGTGTGACTGTTGTCAAAGAAGGTGACAAAAGAACGAGGCACAAAAGTATAACAATGGCTGAAAATGACCCCAATTTTTGTGAAACACATACATTTCCAGATCCAAGAAGTTCAGCGAATCTCAAGCAGGGAAAAAAACACAAAGAAAACCACATAAAGGCACGTCATAGTTAAACTACTAAAAACCAAGTATAAAGAAAAACTCTGGAAAGAAGCCGGAGAAAAATGACACATTACAAACAAAAGAACAATGACTTGATCCACTACTGACTTCTCATCAGAAACTATGGAGGCCAGAAGGCGGTGGGATGACATCTTTAAAGTGCTTGGAAAAAAAAAAGCCTGTCAATCCAGAATATTATATTCAGTGAAAATATCCTTCAATTATGAAGATGAAGTAAAGACATTTTCAGATTTAAAAAAACTAAAGGGATTCATTGCCAGCACACTTGCACTACAAAGAATGCCAAAGGAAGTTCTTCAGAATGGAAACACAGATTTTCAGGAAGCAATGAAGAACACTGGAAATGGTAAACATGTGGGTAAACATAAAAGACCATTCAATACATATAATTATTTAAAGCAAAAATCATTACATTGTATTGTGAGGTTTATAGTATATATCAATATAATCCATTCGATAGCCATAGCAAAAGGATGAAGGAGGAAGTACAGGTACCTATTGTTATGCTTTATGTAAAGTGGTGGAAAATTAATAAACTTTTCATAGTAATGAAAAGTTAAGGATGTATAGTATAATCCCAGAGCAACCATTAAAAACATAATGCAGAGATAGAGATTTAAAAGCTCATAGATAAATTAAAATGCAATTTTTATAAATCCAAGAATAAGGCCAGCTGTGGTGGCTCACGCCTGTCATCCCACCACTTTGGGAGGCCAAGGTGGGTGGATCACTTGAGGTCAGGAGTTCAAGACCAGCCTGGCCAACATGGTGAAACCTTGTCTCTACTAAAAATACAAAAATTAGCTGGGCGTGGTGGTACACGCTTGTAATCCCAGCTACTCAGGAGGCTGAGGCATGAGAATTGCTTGAACCCAGGAGGTGGAGGTTTTAGTGAGCTGAGATCATGCTACTGCAATCCAGCCTGGGTGACAGAGTGAGACTCCCTCTCAAAAACATTTTTTTTAATTAAAAAAATAAAAAATAAAATCCAAGAATGAAATACTGCTTACTGCAACAATGTGGATGAATTTCATAGGCATGCTGGGCAAAAGAAGCCAAACACAAGAGTACACACCACATGATCCTACTCACATGACCTTCTAAAATAATGTGTTGGCTCTTCAGCAAGCAGAAATAATTGGCTCTTCAGGTGTGGTGCTGGGAAGATAATGGACAACTGATTGAAAGAGGAGCAAGGGATTTTTTTCTGAGGTGATAAAAACTTCCAATATCTATTTTGTGTAATGGTTACATGTTTGTCAAAACTCATCAAATTGAACACGTAAGATCTGTACACTTTACGGAACATAGCTACCTCAATTAAAAATTATTAAATCATGTAAGTTTACGTGGGTCTCTGTATTATGATTTTGGCATTTAGACAGAAAACAAACGTCACGTGGAACACAGCTATGCCAACATTCCACAACAGATCTTATTCACATGGAAACAGGACACAGCCACAAAACTAAACCAACTCTGAGGTCACAAGAGGCCTCTCTGAGAAGTGACTTCAAAGAGCAATCAATGAGAAGGGCTCAGTCATGAAAATATCCAGGGAAAGAACTTTCAGGACACAGGAGATAGGAAAGCAAAGATTCTGAGTAGGTGTTCCAGTTACCTACTGTTGTGTAACAAACAGCCCCTTAAAACAATTCATTACCATCTGCTATAGTGGTTGGGCAGACTGACTGGGCTTAGCTGAGCTGTTCCTTCTTGGTGTTCCTCATGAAGTTGCAGACAGCAGTGGGGGCTGCACTCATCTGAAGGCCCAACTGGGCTGGATGTCCAAGATGGCTCTTTCACATGTCTGGTGGTCGATGCTGGCCATCAGCTGGGAGTTCACTTGGGGCTGTCAACATATGGCCTCCCATGTGGGTTGCCATTCTCACACCATGACTGCTGGTTCCCCCAGGATGAGCATCTTAAGAGCAAACTCAAAAGACCCAGATCACCAGATCACCGGATGGAAGCTCCATGGCTTCTTATGATGCAGCCTCAGACATCCTAGGAGGAGGATCAAGGATGACTCCTAGGTGTCGGGCCTGCAGAACTAAGATAGGAAAGACCAGCCAGGACAGTGGGAATGCCAGTGAGGAAGAGGGCTGAAGAGAAAATTCCAAAGTTCCATCTCAGTCATGTTAAGTTTGCAATGCCTGGTGTAGACATCTAACAGAATGTCAAGCTGCAGCTGGGAACAAAAGCACAGGTGCTCAAGGATGAGGCCTGAGCCTCAGTTTCCCCAGCTATAAACTAAAAGGTTTGGCCTGGGTGATCTCGGAAGACCTTCCTGCCTCTGACTACATGCAACATTGGGAACATCAAGGCCTTGGGCAAATGTACTGATGCTGCAGCAACGTCGCAGGAAAGCCTTGAGCAATAGGAAGAGATGGAAGTTACTGTGTGACTTAACAGTCCGTGCAGTTTCCACTCTTGCCCTCTGGCAGCCCTGGGCTACCCTGTAAAGAAGGTGGGCTACCCTACTAGACTCTCTATGTGTGGAGTGAGAGGCCGAGCCAGCCTCCAGCTGTTCTAACCAGCTCAGCTGAGGCACCTTGGATGACCCAGGCCCAGGTGAGCTTCCAGATGACTGCTAAAAGTCACTAAGTAGCCTCAGGTGAGACCAGCAGAAGAACCACTAGCTAAGCCTGGCCCAGATCACAAACTCTTGAGCAAATCAATGGTTGTTTTAAGCCACTGAATTTTGGGGTGGTTTGTTATACAGCAATAGCTAACTAATACACTACATAAGATTCAATTGCCCACTCCTCATGTCTTCACTAAACCAGTCTCCTTCAAGATCAGCTCTGACCCTCTGGGTAAATCATGTTTCTTCCTTAGAATTTAATTTCCTCATCTATGAAATGGGAGGGTTGAACATGATTGCTGAAATACCTTTCAGCTCTGAAAATCCTTAGACGACAAATCAAATTTAGGATGAGCTGTAGAGCAAAAAACAATGATGTAGCATTTGATGCTGAGCACAGTGACACATGCCCGTGGTCTCAGGTACTCAGGAGGATCGCTGGAGCCCAGGAGTTTCAGGCCAGCCTAGGCTACATAGTAAGACCCCAGTCTCTAAAAATAAAAATAAACAACTACATAGTATTGTTAGAGTAGGTAGTTAGGCAGAACTGAGCAGGGCAGGAGAGCCTGCCCCAAATGAGGAATGTCAGGTGACCATCAGGTGATGGTCAGGCGGTTATTAAACGGTCTCTCTAAAATAATAATTGGTTACAGCTGGCATCAGGGAAAGGCAGTCTCCCAATAGAAACAGCTGAAGCTGGGGGCCAGGTGCGGTGGCTCACGCCTGTAATCCCAGCACTTTGGGAGGCCGAGGTGGGCGAATCACGAGGTCAGGAGTTTGAGACCAGACTGGCCAACATGGTGAAACCCTGTCTCTACTAAAAATACAAAAAAAAATTAGCTGGGCATAGTGGCGGGTGCCTGTAATCCCAGCTACTCGGGAGGCTGAGGCAAGAGAATTGCTTGAACCCGGGAGACAGAGCTTGCAGTGAGCCAAGATCGTGCCACTGCACTCCAGCCCTGGCGACGGAGTGAGACTCCATCTCAAAAAAAAGAAAAAGAAAAAGAAAAAAGAAACACCTGAAGGTGATGACCAGCAGCTTCCTGACAGGATCTGAGTTGGGCGAGTGGGCTCAAACATGCACACTAAGAGGCAAAATGATGGAGTTTAACTGGAGTATGACCTTCTAGGAAAACTCCACTGGTAAGGGAAAAACGACTCAATGAGCACACGCACAACTTCAGTAAACACATTAAGACGCAGCCCCTCCCAAGTGCTGGCAGGCCACTGCGCATATGGACAGCCCACCCCAAAAAACAAATCAAGGGAAGAGAGGCACAAAATCCCAGAAGCATGCCAACGTATAAAACCCCAAGTCATAGGTCAAACAGCACACTTGGCCCTCTTCCTGCTCTAAAACTTTTTAATAAACTTTCACTCCAGCTCTAAAACTTGCCTCAGTCTCTCACTCTGCCTTTTGCCCCTCAGACGAATCCTTTCCTCTTAGGAGGTGAGCACTGAGTTGCTGCAGACCCACACGGATTTGCCACTGCTAACAGTATTTGATTCTTAAGGATAATCAGATCATTGTTTGAACCGCAGTGTTTAAAACAGCTTGAACTTCTCAGACAGCAAACTGTACATGAAGCTGGATTTTCCCATGGTTGGGAAAGAACAATAGCAAAGCTGAAACACTCCAGCTTGAAAACAAAGGAGGAAATCTGAAAGCCTTGCCTGGCAGCCCTTCTTGAGAAGTGGTATCTTCATCTCAGTCTGCATCTCAGCACTTCCCATAACCCTCCACCCACAGAGCCAGTGCAACATGTCAAAGATTTATTAGCTAAAACACAAGAGATATTCAGGGGGAAAAAAAGTCGAAATGTTATTCAGAAATCAATAACTGCAATGAAAAAAATCAATTGAGCCTCTGGCAAAAAAAAAATAAATAAATAAGTGAGGAGGTAAACCTTTACACCAGGGGAAATGGTGTGTTTAATAAATCTGCCCAGAAATCCAACCAAACTAATCTACCCTTACCACGATCTCATTTAAGTGGCTGTGTCTGCCTCTAGTCCAACGAAGCCACCCTTTCAGAGAGCTCAACCCTGCCCTTGTGCCCATTCACAAAGCTGTGAGCTATGCCACCCTGAACTCACTTATCCGTTCAACAAACACTCATGGAATGCCTGTGAGTCACGCTCCATACCTTCTAGCTGGGTGGCTTTCACTCTCCGTGCCTTAGTTCCCTCCTTAGGTTTCCATGGTGATCACAATGGCACCCACCTTCCTGGGCTGTCACAAGGCCGACTCCACGCAATGCACATGAGCAGTAAGTGCACTTGGTGGGGGCTGTCACCAGGGTCCTGGGCCCTCCCTTTCCTGCACCCTCCACGTGTAACTGATTTGTTATTCTTGTCTATGTCATTTCCACAAGTGTCCCAGGTGCTTCTAACGTCCTCTCATTCCACAGCCACCACCATAGTCAGGCCAGCCACATCTCTCACCTGCAACTTCAGACTGGTCTCCCCATCTCCATTCCTGCCCCACTCAATCCATTCTCCACTCAGCAGAACAAATGGCCTTACAAAACCTACACAGGATCATGCCACCCACCTGCTTCAAATCCCTCCCATCTTACATGGAGTAAGCCCAAACTCCAACCTGCATGGCCTGGCCCCCTTTCACCACCTCCCACCACCCCCACCCCTGCTCAGGACCCTGAAGATTCACTAGCCTCTTTCTGTCCCTGGAGCAAGGCTGACCAGCTGGGCACTTACCATCCCTTTCCCTGAAACTCCATCCCCAGATCTCACCCTTGTTCTCTGGTCTTGGTTCAAATGACACCTACTCTGATCTTCCCTGGACATCCAGCCTCAAATGGCCTTTCTCCATCATCACCTTCTATCCATCACCCTGTTTTAACTTCTTCATGGTGCTTATATGTACCCGAAATTGTTTCTGTTCATTTATTCTTCACTATCTGTGTCCCTGCCCCGCCCCACATGCATGTGCATGCACACACAAACAGGCACACACATGCACATACACACGCACGCACACACGCACACCAGAATGTCTTCTCAGCCCAACAACGCCCAGCCCCTGGAAATGTGCCTGATACGGAGGAGGCCCTCTTAGAAAATGTTTGTTGAGGCCGGGCACGGTGTCTCACGCCTGTAATCCCAGCACTTTGGGAGGCCGAGGTGGGCGGACCCCGAGGTCAGGAGATAGAGACCATCCTGGCTAACACAGTGAAACAATGTCCCCACTAAAAATCCAAAAAATTAGCCAGGCATGGTGGCAGGCACCTGTATTCCCAGCTACTCAGGAGGCTGAGGTAGGAGAATTGCTGGAACCCGGGAGGCAAAGGTTGCAGTGAGCCAAGATCACACCACTGCACTCCAGCCTCGGCAACAGAGTGAGACTCCGTCTCAAACAAAAAAAAACAAACAAACAAAAAAAAAAACAGAAAATGTTTGTTGAATGAATGAATAAGAGGAACTTTATTTGATTTCTGTCTCCAACACTCACTAGCTGTCCCTGAATTTGTCCTTCTCTTAATTTCTTCATCTGTAACATGGAGATAATAATCGCCCATTGCATGCGGTTTAGTGAGTGTTACATGAGAAAAACACGCAAAATGCTTAGAACGATGCCTGGCATGGCGTGAGTGCTCAGTACATGTTAGTCGTTCCGCTGGTGATGCTGATGCTGATGCTGATGCTGATGCTGATGCTGATGCTGATGCTGATGGTGGTGGTGATGGTATTGATGGTGGTGATGATAGTGACAGTATTGATAACTACAGTGATGGTAATGGTGGTGGTGGCGGTGATGGTGGTGATGGTGATGGTGGTGATGGTGGTGGTGACAGTGATGGTGGTGATGGTGGTGGTGACGGTGGTGGTGGTGATGATGACGGTGGTGGTGGTGATGGCGGTGTTGGTGGTGATGGCGGTGATGGTGGTGGTGGTGGTGGTGATGGTGGTGGTGGTGGTGGTGATGGTGGTGGTGGTGGTGGTGGTGGTGATGGCGGTGGTGGTGGTGGTGGTGATGGGGGTGGTGGTGGTGGTGATGGTGGTGGTGGTGGTGGTGTTGATGGTGGTGGTGATGGTGGTGGTGATGGTGGTGATGGTGGTGGAGGTGATGGTGGTGATGGTGGTGGAGGTGATGGTGGTGATGGTGGTGGAGGTGATGGTGGTGATGGCAATGGTGGTGGTGATGGTGATGGTGGTAATGGTGGTGGTGATGGTGATGGTGGTGTTGGTGGTGGTGATGGTGGTGGTGGTGGTGATGGTGGTGGTGGTGGTGGTGGTGGTGATGGTGGTGGTGGTGGTGGTGGTGGTGGTGATGGTGGTGGTGGTGGTGGTGATGGTGGTGGTGATGGTGGTGTTGGTGTTGGTGGTGGTGGTGGTGGTGGTGATGGTGGTGGTGGTGGTGGTGATGGTGGTGGTGGTGGTGATGGTGGTGGTTGTGGTGGCGGTGATTATGGTGGTAGTGGTGGTGATGGTGATGGTGGTGATGGTGGTGATGGTGCTGATGGTGGTGGTGGTGGTGGTGGTGGTGGTGATGGTGGGGGTGGTGGTGGTGGTGATTATGGTGGTAGTGGTGATGGTGATGGTGGTGATGGTGCTGATGGTGGTGGTGGTGGTGGTGATGGTGGTGGTGATGGTGGTGTTGGTGGTGGTGATGGTGGGGGTGGTGGTGGTGATGGTGGTGGTGGTGATGGTGGGGGTGGTGGTGATGGTGGCGGTGGTGGTGGTGGTGGTGATTATGGTGGTAGTGGTGGTGATGGTGATGGTGGTGATGGTGCTGATGGTGGTGGTGGTGGTGGTGGTGGTGGTGATGGTGGTGGTGGTGATGGTGGTGGTGGTGATGGTGGGGGTGGTGGTGATGGTGGCGGTGGTGGTGGTGGTGGTGATTATGGTGGTAGTGGTGGTGATGGTGATGGTGGTGGTGGTGGTGATGTTGGTGGTGGTGGTGGTGATGGTGATGGTGGTGATGGTGGTGATGGTGGTGGTGGTGGTGATGGTGATGGTGGTGATGGTGATGGTGGTGGTGGTGATTATGGTGGTAGTGGTGGTGATGGTGATGGTGGTGATGGTGCTGATGGTGGTGGTGGTGGTGGTGGTGGTGATACTGGTGGTGGTGATGATGGTGAGAGTGTTGATAATTACAATGATGCCAATGGTGGCAGTGAGGATAAGACCTCACCTGGGCCAGGGTCTGCACAATGATATAATGTACATAACAGTGTCCAGGGTGGCACTTGACACTTTTATGATAAGGGCCCAATAGCTGTAGGTTTCAGTTCAATTCAGTTCAAAAGCAAATGGTTCATCTTATGATAAAACCCAGTGAAATCAGACCCAATAAAACCACACATTTAAAATGCTGATTTAACAGCATTAGCTGGTCCACATATCAGGATAAAAAAAAATACTTCACTGCACTTTGTTGCATCTTGGGGAATTTTATTTAACAATACAATTAATTTTGCTCTAAGTATATGGGCTTTTTAAAGACTTGCTGCAGCCAGGATAATTTGATTATATCATAAAGCTAGAAAATTTACCAAAGGACAACACGTAATTTATACATTCACTCACTCACTCATCCATTCATTCACAAGCATTTAATAAGCATCTACCCAGTAAATATGTTTAATCTTGAAAACTTAAGATATTAATGAATAAATTACAGCCCTACAGGCTTTGGTTTTCCATCCAGTTTAACAAATAGGCCCTGGAATACGATGGAGTCAGTCCAAAGAGTGGGCACAGAGATGCTGTTTTCTTTTCAAGGAGCAGTGGTGCTGGTGCATGGAGAGGAAGCCATGGTCTCTGGGCAGAGGCAGAGAGACAGTGTGTGTCTGGGGAGCCCCAGAGAAGGGTCCTCCCAGGGGTGGAACAGGGGGTGAAGAGTGAGCCACAGAAAGGCTTCCCAGGAAACAAGAGGCTTGCCAGTCACTGCGAGGGAGGGGCCATGCCAACCAGCCTGAGAAGCCAGCAATTGCCATGCACAGACCCTATTTGTGCAGCTCCCTGATGAGCTGGAGGAGTCTCAAGTAGGTAGGGTGAGTATGAAAGGGACAGGTCAGGTATGAGGGTGAACAAGCCTGGACCAGTTCATTAAGGGCATCTGTGCCCAACCAGGGAGCTTCAGCTGTGCTCCCCCATCAGCAGTGCAGACCCATGAAAAGGGCGTGCACTGGGCCACACCCCAGAAGGGGTGGTGGGCAGGCCAGGGAAGGGCCCCCAGAGGCCCCCATCTCCTCCCCACTTGGCTCAGTTTTCTCCAGTGGGGAGCACCCACTCTGAAGACACCACCCACTCTCTCCTTGAATGAATCACCTCCGGTTCAGAATAACTTAAGGAAATATTTTGCAAATCTCTGGTGGAAATAAATTAAATCAACACTAATTCTGAGGCATGCTAAAAATGTTCAAATACAGATGGGGTGTATAATTGGGCCTCATATATTTAGGAAGCTGAAGAATACAAAAGCAGAACCATGTTCATGTGCACCGAATTCATTTTATGTAAGGAAAAAATAATTTACCGTCCTTTGACTTTTTTTTTCAGAAGGTACAAAACCTGGTATAATTTAGCTATTCTTTTCCTATGTATCTAAATAGCAGGTGACAATGTTGTGCAACCAATCTTTTCAATTTTGTGAACCTATGAGATTAACAGAAATTTCATTTCATTTACTAAATGAACCAAGTGGAGGAGTTGGTATTCTCTTTGGTTCAATTCAAGTAGCATTTATTGAGGACCAGGTAAGACGAGGTACTGCCCAGGTATTTGTACATCTATCCCCCTTTAACCCTCACAGGTCTCAAGGCAATTTTGTTATGGCCACTTTGATAGAAGAGGTGATTGGTGATCAAAGATGTGACCTGGCTGGCTCAAGGTCTCAGCATTGATAAGGAGTGGAGCTGAGTATTTGTCCCCCAGTGGCTGGCCCCAGGGCCCTTGGTTTTTGTAGGACTCACCTCCCACAGGCTCTGAACTCAAAAAGAGATTGTTCCAATGGTCTGAACTATTATGCTGGGGAGGTTCAGACACCGGGTTCTGGAATATGCCCAAAGAATGTGGGATAGAAATTAGTGCAGGACAAGCACAGGTCAGCTCTGCAATGCCTGGGGTGGATATTCATTTCCTAGGGCTGCCATGAAAACATCACAACCTGGGTGGCCCCAAACAACGGAATCATATTCTCTCCCAGTTCTGGAGTCTAGAAATCTGAAAACATAGTGTCAGCAGGGCCATGCCTTCTCTGAAGGCTCCAGAAGAGGGTCTGCTCCACGCCTAGCTCAGCTTCAGGTGTTGCCTGCAAGCCTGGGCACTCCTTGGCTTGTAGCTGCATCACTACAATCTCTGTCTCTATCACCATGTGGCCTTCTCCTGGTATGACTGTGTCTCTTCTAAGGATGCCAGTCACTGGATCAGGGCCCACCCTAATCTAGTAGGTCCTGCTTCATCTTCACCTGATTACATCTGCAAAGACCCAACTTCCACATGAGGCCACATTCACAGGCATCAGGGGTGAGGACCCCAACATATCTTTTGAGGGGACACAATTCCACCCACAACAGGATGCTAATACAGGTGGCGGCTGGTCACTTTAAAGGTAGAATCAAATCAGCTCTTAATGGTTAAATCTTAACCAGTCAACTGGAGGCTCTGGCAAACTGGGGAAGAGAGCAAAATACTTCTCTTGTTTGACAACCGAACACTCTCATAGAACCAGAACCTTCTTGGCACAGCTGGGAAGAGCATTCAACAAGTACTGGATGGTGAGCATTTCCCAAGCACCTACTCTGTGCCAGGCCAAAGGCTGGGAGGCAGCATTGCAGGGCTAACCAGCAAGAGCCTGGAAGTTAACACTGATGGGGTTTGGATCTCAACTCAGCTGTTTATGTGACCCTGGGCAAGAGACTCATCTCTTTGTGTCCTGGTTTTCTCATGCACAAAAAGAGAACCACAGAGTACTCACCTCAAAGAGCTGTCATGCAGACTAAATGAGTGAGTACTTCTAACGTGCTTACAAGAATGCCTTGCATATAAACACACGAGAAATTTTAACTATCATCTAATCCCTTTGCCTATTGCCTGGTATGTAGTAAGCACTCAATAAATATCATTCATTCAGCAAGCATTTATCAAGCTCCAACTGCATGCCAGCACTAAGTTAGGTGCTTGTATTTGTTTGCTAGCACTGCCATAATAAAGTACTGTAAAGCTGTCCTGGAAACCAGAAGTCCAAGATCGAGGTGTCCGGCAGAGCCACCAGGGATCCAGGGGAGGATTCTTCCTCACCTCTCCCAGCTTCCGGCATTGCCAGCAATGGTTGGTGCTCCTTGGCCTGTAGCTGCAGCATCCAATCTCTGCCTCTGTCCTCACAAGGAGTTCTCCTGTGTGTGTCATTGTGTCTCCTCTCCTCTTATTATAAGGACATCAGTCATGTTGGGTTAAGGACCCATCCTGCTCCAGTATGACCTGATCTCAACTA
This sequence comes from Homo sapiens, assembly GCF_000001405.40. Taxonomy (NCBI): domain Eukaryota; kingdom Metazoa; phylum Chordata; class Mammalia; order Primates; family Hominidae; genus Homo; species Homo sapiens. The sequence goes on from NC_000004.12 coordinate 6,516,061, forward strand.
ACTACATCTGCAAATACTTTATTTCCAAATATGGTCGCATTCTGAGAAACTGAATTAGGACTTCAACAAGTATTTGGTGGTGGGTGAGGGGAGTGATGCAATTCAACTCCTATCCACATGCGTGATGTTTTTCTGGCAGGCGTCCTTAGGACCCACCACAGTGTGGTCCTGACTGCCCATCGTCCTCCACACATCCCCAGAACCCTGCCCTGGGGGCTCCAGGACCATCCTGGGAGAGTTTCTTGGCATTGCAGCCTGAAAAGAGGATGATGACAAGGACTGTGTGCACAGCAAATTCCTGCCCGTTGCCTCGTCTTACCCGCAGTGCTGCTTTGCAAGGTGAGGACCACCACTCCTCTGTGCAGCTGAGCAAGCTGCACCTCAGAGAGGGCCTGGCTAGCCTTTAACTCCCCATCCGCAGGGCCTGATAGGATGCCCAGCTCCTGGACCAGGCCATCCGTCCATCTGTCCACCCTGCCCCAGGTGTGGGCAGTACTGCCGGGCCCATGACTCCTCCTCCCAGGCCCTGTGAGCGTGTGCTGCCTGTCGTGGCTTCTATAAAATTCTGGAGGAATTAGAACAGCATGGACCCTGCAGCGAGTTTTTCATTTAAAAGAAAATATTCCATTTGCTAGCCTGCACTTTACTTTTCTACATGCTTTGGCGTTAACACATTTCATATCTGACAAGAGAGTGATCATAAGGGATCCTGTTTTTAGTCCTCACCTGGCAATATAAACAGTTGGCGCAATGCAGTCCCCTTGAGTGTCTGTGGGAGATGTCACTGGTTCATGAAACCCCGCCCCAGCTGACCCCAAGCTCCCTCCCACTGCGAAATCACTCAGCAGTCTTGGCGAGTGGCATGTAGGCAGGGCACTGCCTCACTGTCCCAGAAGCTCAGGAACTGGGGACACGTCAGGAGGATATTTATAGACAAGGCAGAGTTTTCTTTAAAAAGCCCTGCTGCAGTGGGTTCCTCCCACGCCCACACTCCCAGGAATAACTGTGAGTGGCTTTCCCCTTCACCAGCCCCAGGCGGGAGGGAGACCCTGATGCCAATATGTGGCCTCCTTCCCAGCAAGCCCACCAGATTGCTCGCCTGGCAGAAGGTAGACAGGGGTCTCTGAGTGAGGGACAGGACTGATCTTCCCCTGTGATGCTGACTCCCCAGAACCACACCTTGCCCGGCACCTGCCCTGTGTGAAAGGCACCATGCTGGGCACACAACTGAATCTCAACCCAACAGCTCACCCTGGAGTCAGCCTATCTGGGTCCAAAACCTGGCTGGACAACTCAGTAGCTAGGAGAGCCCAGGCATGTTACCTAGCCTATCTGAGCCTCACTCTCTTCTCTGTGAAGTGGCAATGATAAGAGGGACTACTTCCCAGAAGCCACATGAAGATCTCAGTGACAGTGGAAATTGGCATGTGCAAAGTACTCCCTACACGTCAGGTGCTGCTGTTATTATCCATCTCTAATACATATTTTCCCCATTTTGCAAATGAAGAAACTGAGGTTCTAAGAGGTGAGAGGGCCCGGCCTGCACAACTAGGAAAAAAAAGACAGAAGAAATTACCCTGCGGCTCTTTGGGATGTCTTCCTACAGAAATGCATCCCCTCCCCTGATGCACCTCTTCCTTTCATTTATCATTTCAACAGTCCATCATGCTGAGCCTGGAGGCCCACCTTGGAGCCCAGTGTGGGAAGAAGGGGAAATACTGGGGTCTGGAAGCCAGGTAGACAGGGGTTCCAATACCAGTTCCCCTACCTACAAACTCTCCAGGTCCATATTACCTGGGAAGTTGGTACTTTGCCCCCTGCTCTACAGATGATAAAACTGAGGCTCAGCTAATGACTTGTGCACAGTCCCAGGTGAGGCCAGAAAATCTGTCTCCAGGCAGAAGGGAGTCTGTCATGCAAAGCGGAAAAAGAAGCAAAAACCCCACCTGACAGTATCAGAATGGAGAGGATTGAAACAACACACTTCTATATAACACATGACTCAAAGAAGTCTCAAGAGAAATTCAAAAGTATTTTGAACTAATTAAAAATGAAAACACAACTTATCAAAATTTATGAGAGGCAGCAAAAGCTGTGCTTAGAGGGAAATTTATAACATTGAATGTACATATTAGAAAAGAAGAAAGATCTAAAATCAAGCACCTAAGCTTCCACTTCAGGAAACTAGGAAAAGAAGAGCAAATTAAATCCACAGTAAACACAAGAAAATAATAAAAATTAGAGCATAAATAAATAAAATTGAAAACAAGAAATCAACAGAGAAAATTAATGAAATCAAAAACTGGTTCTTTGAAAAGATCGATAAAATTAATAAGCCTCCAGCCAGGCTAACAAGGAAAAAGGAGAAGGACACAACTGTTAATACTAGAAATGCAAGAGGATACATCACTACAGATGCCATGGACATTCAAAGGATAATCAAGTAACACTGTGAACAACTCTATGCCCACAAATTTAATAACCTAGATGAAATGCCAATTCCTTAAATGATACAATCTGCCAAAACTCACACAATAAGAAATAGACTATCTAAATAGGCCTATATCTATTAAAGAAATGGCCCAGGTGTGGTGGCTCAGGCCTGTAATCCCAGCACTTTGGGAGGCCAAGGCAAGTGGCTCATCAGAGGTCAGGAGTTTGAGACCAGCCTGGCCAATGTGGTGAAACCCCATCTCTACTAAAAATACAAAAATTACCCAGGCATAGTGGCACACGCCTGTAGTCCCAACTACCCAAGAGGCTGAGGCAGGAGAATTGTTTGAACCCGAGAGGTGGAGGTTGCAGTGAGACAAGATCACACCATTGCACTCCAGCCTGGGCAACAGAGCAAGACTCTGTCTTAAAAAAAAAAAAAAAAAAAAAAAAAAAAAAAGAATAGAAAAGAAAAGAGAAAAAGAAATGGAACCAACAATTTAATAACCTTCCCAAACAGAAAGTACCAGGCCCAGATGGGTTCACTGGTGAATTCTAACAAATATTTAAGGAAGAAATTATAGCAATTCTCCACCATCTCTTTCAGAAGACAGAATGGAGAGGATAGTGAGCAGACTCCTGAGAGGGGAGCATTCTGCCACCATCCACCCTTCTGACTCCCCTAGAATACCAGCTGTGTTGGGCCCCCAGCTATGTTGGGAGACCAAGTTTCTAGGAGCCTTAGGTTACAGGGCTTGCCTAGTGCTGGAGTCATATGAGAGCCCCCACGGCACCTAGGAAAGAAGGGAACTGTGGTAGGAAGAGATAAATCACAGTGCAAGCCAAAATAGTCCCTGTGGTATGAGGAGGGAGAACAGAGCCAGGCCCCATGCTTTTGAGAGCCACAGAGAAAGCTAAAACCCTAAAAGTCCACCCAGGCCCCACGGGACAGGCCCATGCCTAGCTCCCCAGCCCCAGCTCCCGTCATGCAGCCTCCCTCTCCTCTGCAGCCACACAGGCCTCTGGGCCATGCTGCCTCCTGCCACAGGGCCTTTGCATCTGCTGTTCCCTTGCCCATTTGATAATTCTGTGCCTCCACTACTCAGTGGTGAGGCATGTACATTCAGCCCCATTCTGTCCGCACCTATTCACAAACAGGCACTTAATGATATTCATTAAATGAATGAATAAATAAGCAAGTTGGGTAACAGAGGAGCTAACAGGGAGAGGGTGGGAGATCCTGCCCTCTTCCAGGCAATACTGATATGCATGCTGTGTGCCAGCAACCAAGCCCCTCAAACACCAGTGTGGGAGAGCAAGAAGGACCTGAAAGTGATCCACAGAGACACAAAACTGCAGAAAAGGAAGGAGGAGACAGAGTGGCCTGAGATGAGGGTGTGGGCTTGCAGTCAGGTAACCAGAAGTCCTGGCTTGCTCATATATATCTCACCACCTGGGGTGAGCTGCTTTGCCCCTGCAATTCTGCCTGGTTATTTGAAATGAGGGCATGATACCCTCAGAGGGGACAGAAGAGTGACAGGACGGGCTGGGTGTTATTCCCCAGGGAGCCCCCAAGGCGCTTTAACAGGCAGAGAGGGACAGGATCAGATTCATAGGTTAGACCAATGGCTCTGGCTACAGGGGGTGAGTGGATGAAGGGGTACGCTGGGGAGTTGAGAGGGGTCCTAAGAACCTCAAGAATGACAATGGTGCCTGCCCCAGGGTGGGAGATGTGCAGAGGAGGAGGGAGGCACGGAGTGGACACTCAGCAAGCGGGGCTCCGGCCCGGGCTGGGCTCACAGCAGTCCTCTGTCAACAGCCAACATTACCGCAGGGGGTAGCATGGTCTATACCCAAAAAAAGGGCAACTCTGTCCCCGAGCAGCTCACTGTCCCACATCCTTCTGGACAAGATCTCTCAGGCACTGCCCTGAGCAGAGTGGATTCCATCCCAGGCCAGCAGCAGCCCTGTCAATACTGTCAGGGTGACAAATGACCCACGTCACACACAGGCGAGGGGCTGCCTGAAACAGAGCATGACAGGGCCATCCCCAGGGCACAAAGCACAGCCCAAAACCAATAAAAACTGGCAGCCCTGTGTGATTCAAGTCCAAGGGGTGTATGGCATGAGCTTCGCAGCTCCACACTCCCCAACAGCAGCCTTCCTCACCTCCACTTTGGAGACAGGATGCCATGCAGGGGCTGAGAGGGACAGGAGAGCACTGAGCTTGGAGCCTGGGAGCTGTGGTGTGGCTGTCATTTATGCAAGGCCCACCACGTGCCCAGGTATGCCTGCAGTCTTCCCTGCATCGGGTCACAGATTCTTCCCAGCAACTCTCAAGGCTGGAGTTATCAGCCATGTTTCACACAGAGAAACTGAAGTGCAGGAGGCAAAGTGCCCAGGGCTGGGAAGTGGCCGAATGGAGACTGATTTCTGTATTCTTTGTCCATTGTTCTTGTTAATTATCACCATGACCTCTGGGGCTTACATACCTCCTTATCCTGATAGGACAGAATGCAGATGAGGAGCAAATTCAATTCCCTCAATTAGCAGAGTCTGAAATGCACAAGGCTTGGAAAGTAAGGTTCGAAAAGGCTAAGTAACCAGCCTGAGGCCACACAGCATCGGTGGCCACAGCGTCTGTCTGACTCCAAGCCGGGTGCCCACCACTGCATGTTGTCTGAAGGAAGAGGATGCCTCCAATGTGCAAATACAGCACCCAGTTCCAGCCCTGTGCCCTAGGCAAACCTGCTGGTGAGGGCTTTTGGGGCTTTATCCTGCCACTTGTATGTTGTGTTCAGCTGGTCGTAAACCACTGCTCACATGAGCTACCATCAATTAGACACGCACTCTTTACCAACTGCCTCCAGGATCTTCTCATTCACCAGGGCTCCCCTCTCCCATGATCTAGCCAGAAAGCGGGGACTTCAATGTATCATTCAGGTGGGTTAGAAGCTTCTGCCATTCATTGAGCCCCCTCAAGGCCCTAACAAGGGACACCCCACACAGTGGCTTCCTCCCAGTGCTCCAGAGAGGAGCCCACCCATTCAGTGTGGCTTCATCTCCCTGCGTATGCACTTCTTAGGAGTCGTCTCAGGAGCCCTAACCCACGTCCCACCCCTCCAGGGCCCTCCTCTCCTCCCTCGAGGTGATGTGAGTTCATACGTAGGAGGCACTTACACAGGAGCTGGTACCGCTTCCCCTGGACTGGCCACCGGTCCCCTTTCCAGGGGGCCACTCTCCCTTGCCACACACTGCATCTGCAGAACAGCCCATTTGTGAGCATTTACTACCATCCAAGAGCTAGCTATGAGGGAGGAATTATTGCTACCCTCATATTACAAATGAGGAAACTGAGGCACAGCTCACGGAAGAGCCGGGAAGCACACCAGGCCATCTGCCTCCAGAGCCACCCACTAAACCTGCCTCCAGCGGTGACTACTTTGCTCTTATTGGGTTCTGTTCTCCCCAAGAGGCAAGGGGGCCCCTAAGCCAATGGCTTTGGGGGCCATGACAAGTGGGGGCCACTGAGCTCTGGGAACAGAGAAGTGTTGTTTCCAAACCTCACCCGATGGGCCTGTCTCTGTGAAATGCACCGCTCCTGCCTGCACTCTCCCGGCCACTCACAGCTCCCTCCCACCCACTCTCCTGCCTTCTCCCTGCCTTTCCTGGTCCCTTGGCCTGGAGTCTGCCCTACCCCAGGAAGAGGGTATCTGGGACTCCAACAGAGGCAGAAAGTTGCTGCCTTTAACCCTTTTCTGAGACCCCAAAATGTAAGTACCCAGGAAGGCTGATGTCATTCAGTAGTTGTTCAAATGAACATAACCCCAGCCGTGCTGGGAGCACTCCCGGGCATTACCAATCCTCACTGTAGAGGTGGGAAATTGAGGCTGGCGAGGTCCACAATGTGCCCCCCCAGACCCCACAGCTGGGGACACAAGTGAATCCAGACCTGAGATTCCAAGACCCTCATGCTTCCCAAGCACCTGCTTCCAGAGCTCCAAGAATTCCCACCCTGTGTTCCCTCCAGCCCCATGTTCCCCACACGGGGATGGCAGGGCTGGGGCCCCCGGAGTCACCGGGCATGGTGGATTCCCCCACAGGAACCACATTGAGCACTGAGTTCTGCTCAAATGTGGGCCCAGGGGCTGGCTGCGTGAGCACCCAGAAGTGGCCACAGGGCACGGAGGGACCAGCTGCACCAGTTTCTGATACCACAGGATGCTGAGGTCTCAGCAGGGGTCTGCCCTGGGGCCCTTCTCCTTGGCCCCTGGTTCTTGGCTAATATCTGCTGAGCCAGACACAGCTCCCACTTTGGAGGCACTCCGCCCAGGAGGGAGACAGACAAACAGACAGACACACCAATAGGGACCATCCCCTGATACTCCTAATGGCTTTCTAAGCACTGTGGGATCCCATTCCTCTCTCACTATTACACAGATGAGGAAGCTGAGGCAGGGAGAGGGGCAGGCCGCAGATGCACAGCAGCCTGGCAGGGGTGGACCGGGGAGGCTCCGAACTCAAGCCTTGGGTCAAGAAGTCATACGTCCTATGGCAAACCCCAAGCCAGTGTTTCTCCAAGTGCGGTTCCAGGGCCTCCTGATCACATTCCCCAGGAGTGTCCTGTTGAGAACCATGTCCAAGGACTGTGCCCTCAGAGGGGCAAGTGCTGCGGAGGGGCAAGAAATCCAGGATGCATCCCAAGCAGCTGCTCCAGAGGAAATAAAGGCCTTCCCTAGCCCCAACCACCAGCTCCCTTATGTTTGAAAGAAAGAACACAAGACTTCAGAGTCAGGCCCACTGGGTTTCTAAGGCTGTCTTCCCTCCTTCTTGCTGTGTGGCCTGGGGCAAGTTACTCACCCTCTCTGATCCTTGTTTTCCTCATGGATGATAACAACAAAAAGACAAACAACCCAATTTCAAAATGGGCAGTGGCCTTGGACACATACATTTCACCGAATGGTCAGCATGCACAGGAAAGGTTGCTCAACGTGATGAGTCATTAGGGAAATCCAAATCAAAGTCACAATGAGACAACGCACACCCACGAGGATGTCTGGAATCCAAATGCAAAGCGAGTGTTGGCTGTTGGGAGAGACGCGGGACCTGCACACACTGCTGGGGGCAGGTGAAGCGGCAGGGCCACCGCAAAAAAAGCTTGGTACCGCCGCAACAAATTAAACCTGGAATTATCCTGTGACCTACCAATTCCACTCCTGGGTGTCTATCACGGAACACTGAAAACACACATCCACATGAACACTGGAACGCGAATGTTCCCAGCAGCCTTATTCATAATGGCCAAACAATGGAAACACCCTAAGTATCCATCCATCCACAGACGAATGGATAAGCAAAATGTGGTCCACTCATACAGTGGAACATATTCAGCCCGGAGAAGGAATGAAGTTTTGTTTTTGTTTTTGTTTTTGTTTTTTTGAGACAGTTTCGCTCTTGTTGACCAGGCTGGAGTGCAATGGCGTGATCTCGGTTCACTGCAACCTCCGCCTCCCAGGTTGAAGCAATTCTCCTGCCTCAGCCTCCCTAGTAGCTGGGATTACAGGTGCCTGCCACCAGGCCTGGCTAATTTTGTATTTTTTTTTTTTTTAGTAGAGACAGGGTTTCACCATGTTGGTCTGGCTGGTCTCGAACTCCTGACCTCAAGTGATCAGCCTGCCTCAGCCTCCCAAAGTGCCGGAATTACAGGCGTGAGCCACTGTGCCCAGTCAGAAGGAATGAAGTTCTAATGCGAGCTACATCCTGGATGAGCCTTGAAAACACTCGGCCAAATGAAAGAAGCTGAATGTAAGTGAACTGCATGATTCCATTTCCATGCACTGTCCAGAACAGGCAGATTCACCGCAACAGAAAGTGGACTCATGGTTGCCAGGGACTAGAAGGAGGAGGAATGGGAGTGACTGCTTACTGAGTATGACAAGTTAAAATTAAGGTTTAATTGAGCAAAAAACGATTCACGAATCAGCTGCTCTCAGAACCAGAACAGGGTCTAGGAATCCACGTCTGCACCGTGATCAGGCAGCATTTATGGACACAAAACGGAAGAGAGGGTCAAGACAGCTTGACTGGTTACAGCTCAGCCTTTGCCTTATTTGAATGGTTGGCCACCTGGGACTGGATTGACAGATGCTCAGCTGCTGTGGTTGGGCCGAGCTTCACCTATTTGTTACAAGAGCCCCTCCTAAGTCAGGCTTCCGTTAATCACAAACTAAGTTAGGTTGCAGTTCATTAAGAAAGGATTCATGTACAGAGGCATCTTCAGGCTAAATTTCATTTAGTTTGAAAAATAAAAATAGGCCGGGCACAGTGGCTCACACCTGCAATCCCAGCACTTTGGGAGGCTGAGGTGGGAGGATCCCTTGAGCCCAAGAGTTTGAGAGCAGCCTGGGCAACATAGCAAGACCCCATCTCTACAAAAACATTTTAAAATTAGCCACACATGGTAGCATTTTAAAATTAGCTACTTGGAGAGGCTGAGGCAGAAGGATCACTTGAGCCCAGGAAGTTGAGGCTGCAGTGAGCTATGAAGGTGCCACTGCACTCCAACCTGGGTGACAGGGTGAGACACTCTCTCCAAATAAATAAATAACAAAATAAACAATAAAAATAAAAGCTGGGCGTGGTGGCACACACCTGTAATCCCAGCACTTTGGGAGGCCGAGATGGTTGGATCATCTGAGGTCAGGAGTTCGAGGCCAGCCTGGCCAACATGGTGAAACCCCATCTCTACTAAAAATAAAAAAATTAGCCGGGCATGGTGGCATGTGCCTGTAATCCCAGCTACTCGGGAGGCTGAGGCAGGAGAATCTCTTGAACCCAGGAGGCTCAGGTTGCAGTGAGGCAAGATTGTGCCGCTGCACTCCAGCCTGGGCGACAGAGTGCGACCCCATCTCAAAATAAGTAAATAAATAAATAAATAAATAAAATCCTAACCACCCCCAGATGACTAAATGGACCCCCTCTTGGCCAAACGGACTCCAGAGAAACCTTAAAAAAAAACCTGAGTTCCAGGCCACAATGGGACCGGAGGTCAGACACACTGCATTATACCCCCTCCTTCGCTAAATGCCATTATGCTTTCCCTCTTAAGGGTTAAGCAGAAACCAGCCCTTTCGAAAGCCTTGCCCTACTGCTGATTCCAACCAACCACTCAGGGCTGCCCCTTTCTTTTTCAGTTTCAACACAGACTGTCCTTTTTGGGGGGATGGGGGAGGGTAGGTCTTGCTCTGTCTCCCAGACTGGAGTACAGTGGCACGATCTCCACTCACTGCAACCTCTGCCTCCCGGGTTCAAGTGATTCTCCCGCCTCAGCCTCCCGAATAGCTGGGACTACAGGCACTCGTCACCACACCCAGCTAATTTTTATATTTTTAGTAGATACAGCGTTTCACCATGTTGGCCAGGCTGGTCTCGAACTCCTGACCTCATGATCTGCCCGCCTCAGCCTCCCAAAGTGCTGGGATTACAGCACGTGAGCCACGTTGCCCAGCCCAGCATTCCTTCTTGATAAGAGTCCTGATCTTGAAATGGTTCTGGCTCATCTACAGAGGCTGCACAGAGGCTCTTCCCGTCCTCTGCTTCACCTTCTGACATGTAGGGCCCTGACTGTAATACTTACATATTAAGTCTCTACCCCAAAGTCAACATAGGATGCATGTAACATACATGTTAGCTTATGACAAATGCACACACGTCTCCGTGAATATTCATAGCTCTTCCTATAGCCTGTTGAATACATATACTTAGCTAACCCGTTCATCATAAATTCCCTTCCTGGAAATGCCTGCTTCTGGCTCCTGCCAGAGGCTATGCTTCCCAGCCTGAGGTTAGCCAGCCTGCAGGCTGCAGCCCTTCATGAGGAAGAAAGCTCTCGGCGCTCAGTGTGTGGTCCTGGCAATTCTTCAGCTGACAAGTTTAACAGTTTGTTTTTGGGGTGATGAAAATGTTCTGGGCCTAGATAGTGGTGATGGTTGTATAACATGAATATACTAAATGCTACTGAACTGTGCACTCTAAAATGGTTAAATTGGTGAAAAGAAAAGAAGAGGGGGTGGTCGTGAACGCTCCATGTTGAGGGCACCCTGAGCGCAGTGCCTGCCTGGCCCTGGGCAGCGAGAATGTCCATCCATCTCCCTGGCCTGTTACTGGGGCTGAAAGCTGGCAAAGGAGGGAGAGAATCCGGGGGCTGGTCTTTGGGCTCCAGCGACCCAATTGGAGGAAGAAAGAGGTAGAGGGGTGAGAGGGTGCAGAGAACCAACCCTGGTTTTGCATAAATGAATATGCATCATGGCCACCTCCCACTGAGCAGAAAATGCAAACTCAACACCTCCCCACCAGCCTCATTAAGTGCAATCAGGCCTGATTCCCTGAGGAGGGGGACAGCCATCACGGTAGGCTTTGTTACAGCCCTGCCACCCACCCATCCACCCTCGCACTCCAGCCCCGAGTTCCCCAGCTGCTCACTAGCCTACTCCAGGATCCCAAAGAGTGGGAGACGCCAACCACGGCTTCAATGCGGAGGAGAAGGAGCCCAGGCTGGTGTCGGGAGCTGCAGGTTTGAATCTCAGCTCCATTGTAAATCGCTTGATCCCAGGCAGCCTCAGCCACCCTGAGCCTCAGTTTTTTTATCTGTGCCATTGAAATATTTCCATTCCTGCCTAGAATTCCAAACGAACTGGCTTAATATTAGCTATTTGCTACCAACTCGCTGAGCGACCTTGGCCAGGGAGCGGGGATCTGTCCCCTCTCAGGGCCTCGGTTTACCCCGCTAGAAGGAATGCACCGGACAAGCTGCCTCCAGTCCTTGCCCATTTCTGGCTCTAAGAAAAGTCTGGTGTGAGATAAACCCACAGAGCTGCTGTGCACCCCTGAGCAGTGCCAGGCGGAACAGAACACCCCTCTCTCTTTCTCCTGGTGCCCCAGACGGTGAGTCACCTCCCTGCCATGCAGCCTCTGTGGCCAAGGTGCATGGACCTGCCAAGTGCCCCAACCAACATGTGCCATGAGAATACCATGAGAACACAGCCCCACTCCTCAACAGCTTGCCAGGGACTTGCCAAGGCCTGGGTAACCCCGCCCGACCCCACCCCACCTCCAGGCACCACCCCAGCTTCCTTATGCCCTGGCCACATGGAACTCCGGCCATTTCCAGAATGCACCTCTCTTCAGGCAAGACTGGCTCCAGAATTTTCCAGGCCCGGTGCAAAACCAAAATATGGGGCCCCAGCCGGGAACAGAGATGTTGGCCCCCTTCCCACAGGCCCCACCACCTCAGCCCATGGAGGACAGGCCACCCCTGAGCAATGGCCACCCGAGAAGTGACCTGGCTGCCACCCTGGACAGAAGGCAGGGCCTGGGGCCCCAGCAGGAGGAGAGCGGGCAGCTGAGAACCTGTCCCAGGAGCTGGGGAAGGGACAAAGGAGGCACAGCCCGTGAGCCCAGACTCCAAGCCCCAGGACATGATCCACGGTCCCAGCAACTCCACTTATAGAACACCAAGCCCAGGATAAGACGATGAAGAATCTCAGGACGGTGAGCGCAGAGCATCCACCCCAGTGGGCCCTTCTGAGTTCGGGGCCCTGTGTGACCACCTGGTTACGGGCTGTGAAACTGGCCCGTGTTTTCAGGCTGCTGCCTGCCCTGTACCCTCGGCCTGGGAAGTCCTCGGCCCCTGCCCGGGCAAACATCTCTTCCTCTTCCCGGCCTGCAAAGCCCGCCCTGGCTCTCCGGAAGGCCAGCTTGTGCGGGGAGCTGGGGTGAAGGGTGTTGGCTCGGGCCGGGAGGGCCCTTCCTGCCTGCCTGTGAACATGTCCTGAACAGGGGCTTCCAGGGCCTGTGCTCAGGCCCAGGCAAGGTGGGACAGCTGAAGGGTGGCTGCCTGAGCTGGTGAGCGCCCTGCCTCAGAATCTTCAGGATCCTGCAGACCTAGGCAAGGTCTCATGAATCATCAGAGAGCGTTCCTCCACTCGACCCAAACTGCCTGGAGCCCCAGTCACCAGATCTGACCCTGGCGTCTGAGAGCCAGTGTGTTCTGACAGCCAGGGAGACTCAGGAACAGATCTGGCCACCAAAGCCCAACGTATCACCCATCCTTACTGTCAGGCCTCTGAGCCCAAGCTAAGTCATCATATCCCTGTGACCTGCACATACACATCCAGATGGCCAGTTCCTGCCTTAACTGATGACATTCCACCACAAAAGAAGTGAAAATGGCCTGTTCCTGCCTTAACTGATGACATTATCTTGTGAAATTCCTTCTCCTGGCTCATCCTGGCTCAAAAGCTCCCCTACTGAGCACCTTGTGACCCCCACTCCTGCCCGCCAGAGAACAACCCCCTTTGACTGTAATTTTCCTTTACCTACCCAAATCTTATAAAACGGCCCCACCCCTATCTCCCTTTGCTGACTGTCTTTTCAGACTCAGCCGGCCTGCAACCAGGTGATTAAAAGCTTTGTTGCTCACACAAAGCCTGTTTGGTGGTCTCTTCACACGGACGCGCACTAAACTTACTTTATTTCTTGCCATCACCAGGTTCAGAGCAGCCCAGAGCTGGCCTATTCATGTCTCCATAGGCAGATGGCTTGGCTGGGACCTCACAGGGACAGGGAAGGGGGCAGCTGGAGGACGAGGGGCTGCTGGGCCGTAGGCCTGAACATCTGGCAGCCTCATCGGCAGCAGAAGCAGAGGCCTAGTCAGCCAGCAAAGGCTCACGGTCAAGGAAGCGACGCAGGAGCTCCCACTTCAGGCTCTGGGCAGGGCCAGGGATTAACCCAGGGATTTCACACACGACAAAGAGCCTCAGACTGGCCTCTCCCCTGCAGCCCTGGCCTCTCCTCTAGGCACCACCTGAGCCGCCCACCTAAGCGGCCAGGCTGGGAGCCAGCAGGGGGCTCATAGTCAATGCGTGCACACCATGAGCCAAGCTGCATGGGCCCCATGGAACGTATCAACCATTAGCCTCCAGACAACCCAGTGAGGTGGGTGCCAACACCTCCAGTTTGCAGATGAGAAAACTGAGGATTCTTGAAGCTCAGCCCTGTGCCCCCATGGAAGTGCTGGAAAGCCACTGGGTTGCGGTTCACATGCAGCTCCACTGACTCCAAAGCCCCTACCCCATCCCCCATCCCTCTTCCCTGGCACAGTCCTCCCAGAGGGAAAATTGGCGAGGCTGAGAGGGCCCACATCTCTCTGCCCACTAGACCGTGAGCCCTAGGTCTGCTTTGCCCACTGCTGTGGCCCCAGCCACTGACCCAGGGCTGGGTACACAGCAGATGCTCAATAAATGTATGTGAAATGAAGAACAGTGGGTGAGGACCACTCACTTCTCTGCTTGGGAAGGCCTCCCATGACAAGGATTCCCCCAGGATGACAATGGCCAGGAGACTGGGAGGGGACAGCAGCGAATGGGAGGAGAGGCTAGAGCGCACGAGTGACGGAGCCCACTATTCCCACTGTGAGGCCACACTCAGTGCTGGGGGAAGCAGCTGGATGAGTCCCAGAGAATCATTCACCACAGCGTGTGTCTTAGGGACACAGATTCACAAACCACAAGGCACCACGCCTGCTTTACAGGAACCCCAGGAAAGCAACAAGAGTAACGATTCTCGAGGGTTTACTCTGGGCCAGGCTCTGCCCTTAGCACCGCCCATGGAATATGACGTCTTAAGCCGGGGTCCCGGGTTTGGGGTTTTGAGGTACACACCGTGAAAAAGCACCCACTTGTAACTGCATCTTGAGTTCTCCTTGTTTCAGAAAAGGTCCAAGCCCATCCTAAAAACCCCACCCAGGGAGGAGAGGAGCTTATCCGCCATTTTCCATGCACGCGACGTATGTAGAAGCGTGATCCGCCACCGCACCTGCACTGACTTTAACCCCCCATGAGATGGCTCAGCCCAGCAGCCCCGTGAAACCCTGGGATCCCCTCTGCCCGGGAGGCGCTGCTTTGGGGACCATCCCTGGTGTCCTCCTTACTTGCTGCAAGTCCTACAATCCCCTTGTTAAGCCCTCCGTGGCTGTGGTCGCTGGACTGTCACCCACCACGCAACTGAACCTGCCCGCTGTCCGGGTAACAACATGACAGCAGGGTGTGACTCTGAGCTGGACTGCTGGGCTGGGACCCTGGCCCCCCACAACAGGCTGTGTTTTTGGGAATCAACTTCTCTCAGCCTCAGGTTCCTCTTCTGCCAAATGGACACTGCCCCATCCCCTACCTCCTAGGCAACCATGAGATTTGTACCCACTGAACATGCAAAGCTCTCAGAACAGTGGCTGCGACCACTGTAAGTGGCCATCCCAACTAAACCTCAAGGCAAAACGCAAGGTGGCTCCTGCCATCTGGCCCTTTCTACAGGCGCATAGGGTGGTTCTCCACCAGGCTGCTGTGCACCTGTCACAGTGAGGCCCCAAATGTTGACCAACAGGAGGGACACATTCCTGCTTGTTAAGTGCAGCTGCGGCATCACTGTGCTCTGGGGTCTCAAAATGGGTGTGTGGAGGGGAGGAGCCCGCTCTGAGTGACAGGGACCACAGAGCCAGCTTGGCATCCCCAAGAAAGATCACCCCTCCTGGGGCCAGGAGCTGTGCCTGGTGGCACCAAAGGCAGCAAGGGCGGGTGGGGTTCCATTCACACAGTGTCACCAAGGAGGCTTCCCACCCTGAGACAGCCGGCACCGCTCTCCAGGGCAGTGTCCTTCGAGGCCTCTCAGTCCCTCGAGGAAGCACCCACCAAGTCTCATGTTCTGAGGGTGCAGATGGCAGTGAGGAGGGGCTGAGGCAGGCTGCAGGGGCCCAGGGGTGCTGTGCACCCTCACAGAGGAAAGGACGTCAGAGCCAACCCGTGACAGCAAAGGCCATCTGTCCAGAGCAAAAGGCCGAGGTGCAGGAAGACCACCAAGTGTGCCCAAACCAAAAGGAAGCGCGTCCAGGAGAGGGCAGCTACAACCGCCAGGAAACAAGCAGTCCCTGGTAGCCCAGATAACGCCCCTCCAAGGGACTTGAGGGAGCAAAGCGGGAATGAGCAGAATCATGTCTGTGTTTCTTTCCCGTTTTCCTTTTTTTTTTTTTTTGGCTAACACTTATGGAGCACCTAAATGTCCATGTTTCACAACTTTCACCGAAAGATCCTGCAGGCTGTTTGCAGAGCAGGTGCTCTGTGAACCCCAGCTCTTCCTCAGTTGCTGTTATTATTATCATTATTAGGGGGCGAAGTTACTGTTCCAACATACGTCCACTTAAGGTAAAGCCCGGAGTCTCCCTACCTTGCCACTCAGTCCCCAGCATTCTCCAAAGAAGGCTGATGAGTGAGCTGTGATTAAAATGGAGCAAGTGAAGAGGCTGAGGCAGCAGAGCCGGTGGCCCAGGTCCGGAGCAGGTGGCAGCTGGCAGACACCGGATGCCCCGTCCTGCATGTATTCACATCGGTCTTCCCAGGTCTCATCCCCCAAGGCTACACGTGATAGAACCCACCCAGTATGGATTCCATTTTCTGGAGTGTAAATTATTCTTTGAGGATCCAGTGCTTTGCAAAGGGCAGGAGGCTGGCCCTGTGACATTGTCAGGAAGGTTTAGCCATCAAGGGCTGTGTCACCAGGTCACCCTCTCCCCCATCACCACAGGTTCCCTCCAATAACACCAACTTGTCCTCTCTAACCTGAACACTCCACTTTACAGATGGCCTGGCCATGGCAAGTGCGATCTATGGTCCTCACGACTGCCTTGGTCATGATCATCATCCCCAGTCCATAGAAGGGGCCGTGAAGGCTCAGAGAGGGTGAGGGCTTTGTCCAGGGTTGCCCAGCAAAGTCAGAGCTGGAGAGGAAGCCATGTTTCCTGATGCCCAGGCCAGGGTTCTCACAGTGTTGAGCAGCCTTGACCTTGCTGGGAAATAATTCCTGCCCATCCCAGACCAGACTGGGGCACCCCCAATCCCCATTTTGGGCCAGGCCTTCCAAACACAGAAACAAAGGGGCAGAACTCATGGGCAGCAGCATCTCCAGATCTAGCTGTCTGGGGAGGCGCAGGCTCATTTCCACTAGAAAAGCGGGATTTGCCTTCCCTTAAATGCACATTCCACTCTGCGTTTTTAAAAGGCAAAATAAAGACACTTCCCAGAAGCATTAAAAACAAGGAACAGAAATGTCCAAGGATCACAGTGTCCAGCCCCTGGCTTAGAAGATGAAGCAGTGTCTGAAGGCACCTGTTCTTCCCAAATTAACCCAGCAGCCGCCATCTGGATCACTGCAGCTGCCTCCTCCGCTGCCACCACCATCACCCACATGGCCCCCGGTCCCTGTTCCTCACATTGCCAGCCAACATTCTGAGTCAAGTCCCAAGGCAGCAGCACCGGGGGGCCAGGTATCTGTGCCCTAGCTGCAAGGGAGGCTGGGAGACGCATCCCCAGCATTGTCTGCTCTATTCACAGAGTGGGAGGCGAGCTCAACACAGGGGGTACTGCACTTCACAGTTTACACAGCACGGTGAAGCCCACGCTCTGCCCTCAGCATGGTGCATGGAGGCAGGGGTAAGCAGGGGGATGAGAGACGGCTCTGGTCTTGAGTTAATGACACAGAATTCGGAAAGGCTGGGCTTGCAAACGTGACTTTAGAAAGCTTCCTATTTCTAAAAGGTGGATGCTATTGAAGAATTCACAATCATCTCAGGCTGTAAATGAAAGTAATCCTAAGAACACATGCCCGAGACCCAGAAGAGAACATGGCAGGAGTAAAAACAAACAGCCCATGTAATACAAGTTGGTCACAGCCAAATCCTCTTAGGCCCATGAGCATAATCTTTGAACAGGATTCTAAACTGCAGAGCCTCCCAGCCTCCCTCAAACAAGGCTGTAAAATGAAACAGCAAAGGTCTTTCTCCAGCAGAGAAGAGAGTCCCTTCTGTAATTCCTCACAAAGACCTGTCCTCCTGCCCCAAACAAAAGGTGCCCCAGCACAGGCAGAACAACTGTGGGGTGCCAGGGCCTGGTACCCACAGCCCCGATACCAGCCATCCAGGGCTCAGCACCCCATGGCCGGCACTGGGCCTAAGGAAACATACTGTTTTATGTCGTTAATGCCTATGACGCACAGCTGCTTAAGGCTGCCTGGGGACCGTAAGTCTGCAGTTGACATTGCCGTCCAAATGCAGGATTGCAGACTTTAAGACTCTCTGAAGATGTTGTTTGTGCCTTAAGTAAGGGTAGAAACCCAAGATGGCAGCACGTTATTTATAACTGAGCACACCAGGAAACACTCTAATGTCCAACACAGGAAATTGGTTCAATAAATGAGGATCTACCTACAGGCCCGTCGACCCGGGTGGCCGTTACATAGCAGGCTGCTCGGTGAAAAGGTATGTGTGAACACGCCCCCAATACACGCACACATCAACATACAACAAAACATACACATATCCCAACACAAACACATACACATCAATAAGCTCACCACACAGCAACACACACACACCCCAATACACATACCCCAAACACACACACACCCCAATATACACACACCCCAACACACACATGTCAACAAGCACACACCAACACACATATCAACACACACACACCAACATACACATCAACACATACACTAAAACACACACCAACATACACATCAACACATACACTAACACACACACCAACATACACACACCAACACACACACATCAACACACACATCAACACATACAACACACACCAACACATACACATATCAACAAACACACACCAACACACATACACACACAGTAAGCACACCACATAGCAAGACACACACATATCCCAACACACACACCCCAACACATACACACATCAAAAAACACACATCAACACACATCAATGCCACACATCAATACGTACACTAACACACACCAACATACACACACACCAACACACACACAACACATACAACACACACACCAACACATACACATATCAACAAACACACACCAACACACACACCCTAACACACATACTCCAACAGTCACACCAACACATACAGCACACATACATCAATAAACACATCAATACACACACCCCAACATACATGCCCCACCATACAAACACATCAACGCATACAACACACACATCCTAAACACACACATCAACACATACATGAACACACACATATCAACACACACAGCCCCAAAGAGATACACACCAACACACACCCCCCAACACGCACGGCCCGCACACTCCCTCGGGCGCCTTCCTGCACCCTGTACTTCGCAGTGACAACCCCGCCTCCGCATGGCTGCCCTGGTGGATTTCTCATGGCACTCGCCCCCAGTCGGGGTCTAGTTAACAGACTGACTCTGTCTGTCTGGGTCGGCCGCTCAGTGTGAGCCTCAGGAGTCACTGTCCGCTTGCCCACTGCTGCGACCCCAGGGGCCGGCCCAGTGCTGGCCACAGCGGGCACTCAACACTGTTGGCCCAGTGAGTAAACAACGCTCCTGGCTCCTGCCCCAGCTGCCTGACAAAGTGACCCTGCCACAGTCCACAAGGAGGTGGCGCATGAAGGGGGCCTCACCCATCGGCCTGGGAGACAGGGGCGGCAATGGGGGCTGGTGGGGTGGGGCCAGGGCCCAGGCGGCAGGAGCCAGGGTCGGGGGCCCAGGGGCCAGAGCAGGGGAGGGACCGGATCCCAGCACGGTGGGGTCGGCTTCCCGCTGTCAGGCTGGCGCTGTGTCGGGCGCCTGTGACCCACAGCCCACGTCCCCAAGCTCACCGGCGCTGCTGCCCGGCTGTGAGAACGGGCTTCTTACCGGAAACTTCCATCAGCTGAGGTGGCCTCAACGTGTCCGCCTCACGCATCCTGAGAGAGGTGACTAACACAGGTCATTTCAAAAAAGGTCTTCTTTCTATTTTACTTCTATAATCAGAAAAAAAAACTAAAGTTGAGGAATCAAAGAGCCTTGGTGCATGCACGCCGCCACACACCACATGCAACGCGAGCACCGCCACCCACGGCCGCCCTGGCCGCCGCCCGGCACAGCTCCAGCCAGCCCTGGGCCAGGGTTGGAAATGCCTCCCTCCTCCCGGCTGCAGGAGCCGCCTGAGCCTCAGCTTCCAAATCTGTGAAATGGGGACGACACACCACCTTCCCCTCGGGCTATTTTGGCCCCAAATGGGGTTACTCCTCCCCATCTCCCGTCTGTCGTTTGTCTTCAAACTTCACCCCGCAGCAGCTATTTCCCCACAGCCTACGAAATCCCTCACTAGGGACTCCAGGTCACTCCCGCTTAAAAACATGGAACTAGAAGCCCCGCCCCACCCCATACAGGCCCACAGCCCACTCAGGCACAGGGACAGCTTTTCCTGGCCAACTTCTGAGCCTGCGGATGAGAGCACATGGCCACTGAGGTCCCACTGTGGCTCAGCTGAACTGTCGCCACCTCCAGGAAGCCTTCCCTGATGCCCTGTGGCAGGGACAACACCCCACGCTGCAGTCCACTGAACTAATACTTACCTTGAGGTTGCTTGGCTGCCTTTATCACAGTGTTAGTCCCGCACCACCCCCACCCCTGACAGCTTCTTTCCAGCTCCTTCCTTAGCATCTGACCATCATCTTTTCCCCACCTCACTCTGTGTAGCCTGAGGAAGGGATGAGGGTTAGGTAAATTATCAACAGACACTGAAGGAGAGCCTCTCAGCCTCAAGGTGAAGGATAGGAACTATAAACCCGGGATTATGGAAGGAAACATTGCTGTTTCAGGGGCACACAAAGTTTTATGGGTAACTTCAAAGAAGGTAAGATGTTTAGAGATGACCCTGAGTTGAACAGATTTCAACAACTAGCATGCACAGTGCACTTTCCTCACTATGTAAAGAACTCTTACAAATCAACAAGAAGACAAAGATGAAAAGCTCTGCAGAAAAGTGAGAAAAGGAGACTCACCAGTCATTCACATAAAAAGAAACACACACGAAGAAAGAAAAAGAAATAATTATTTAATCCACATAAGAAGAAAGGCAAGTGAAAAAAGGTGTGTCCACTCATCATTTTAAAAGAATGTGAATTAAACCAGAAACGTAGCACTTTTCAAATATGGCAGTGACCAAAAAAAGGCCCTGTGGCCCATACCCCGCAGGAGTGTTATCAGTGGGGAAAGCCCCTCCTGTGCAGGGTGGGTGCAGTGGAGAAGGGGGCAGCTCCACAGGGGACAATTTGACAATGTGAGGCTTCTCAATGCACAGGCCCCTTGTCTGCTAGGGATTCAGGTGTAAATCTCACTCTTCTGTCAAGAACAATCATTTCCAGTGTTGTTTGTAATGGCAAGTATTGGTAAACGACATACATGGACATCAGCATGGACCTGGGGAAATAAGACATGGCCATCTATCAGTGGATGCTAAGCAACTGTTGAACAGGATGAGGCATTTCTATGTGTGTGTGCCAATATGGAAAGATATCAGGTCAGGTGAGGTGGCTCACACCTGTAATCCCAGCACTTTGGGAGGCTGAGGTGGGCAGATCACCTGAAGTCAGGAGTTCGAGACCAGCCTGGCCAACATGGTGAAACCCTGTCTCTACTGAAAATACAAAAATTAGCCAGGCGTGGTGGTGGGCACCTGTAGTCCCAGCTACTCGGGAGGCTGAGGCAAGAGAATCACTTGAACCCAGGAGGCGGAGGTCACAGTGAGCCGAGATCGCTGCAGTGCACTCCAGTCTGGGCGACAGAGCGAGACTCCATCTCAAAAAAAAAAGGAAGAATGACATCAAAGGGGAAAAAATCAAGGTTCATAGCATGGAGGTCTAAAAACAAAGGACACACACATAAATGCTCATCAGTGCAGAGAAATGTCTGGAGGATGCACAGGCGATTACATGGGGAATGGCTCTGGGGTTGAAGGGAAAGGAGAGTGTGCCTTTCAGTTCACCTCTTCTGTTTGGTTCAAACATTGATTTTTACACACCTTCTAAAACTTTGTTTTTAGTGGCATGGCAATTTACAGATTAACCCTTTCCATAAATATTATTCAGCCTGAAAAAAAGAATAAAATTCTGACACATGCTACAATGTAGACGAACTTGAAGATTTTTTGTTTTTTTTTTTTTTTTGGAGATGGAGTCTTGCTCTTTCACCCAGGCTGGAGTGCAGTGGTGCCATCTCGGCTCACTGTAAGCTCCGCCTCCCAGGTTCACACCATTCTCCTGCCTCAGCCTTCCGAGTAGCTGGAACTACAGGTGCCTGCCACCACACCTGGCTAATTTTTTGTATTTTTAGAAGAGACGGGGTTTCACTATGTTAGCCAGGATGGTCTCGGTCTCCTGA
Organism: Homo sapiens; assembly: GCF_000001405.40. NCBI lineage: Eukaryota > Metazoa > Chordata > Mammalia > Primates > Hominidae > Homo > Homo sapiens. Next base: position 6,537,782 of record NC_000004.12, read on the forward strand.
CCTCGTGATCCACCTGCCTCGGCCTCCCAAAGTGCTGGGATTACAGGTGTGAGCCACCACGCCCGGCCAAAGATATTATGCTAAATAAAATAAACCAGTCGCAAAAGGACAAATACTGTGTGATTCCACTTATATGAAGTCCTGGAGGAGTCAAATTCATAGAGACAGGAAGCAGAATAGGGGTTACCAGGGCTGGGGTTATGGAGAGTTGGTGTTAATGGGTACAAAGAAAAAGCTCCGGCGATGGGTCGTGGAGATGGTTGCACGACAATAGGAATGTACCGGATGCTACTGAATTAGACACTGAAAATGCTTAAAATGATTAGTTTTATGTTATGTATATTTTACCACATTAAAAACAATCCAAAAAAAAAGTTCTGCATTCATCATTCCATTTAATCTTCCCAACGGCCCACTGAGGCGGGCACCCCTACAAGTTGAATGACTTGTCTCAGGTCCCACAGCTGGGGCGTCAGATTTGGGAATCAAACCCAGATTCCCCTCTTCCTGGCTCTTTACCCCACCCCACGGACGCTTCCTCGGGGTACAGATATCGGCATGGAGAGGTGCCCGCCGCCCATCTGCCAAGTTCCACCGACACACAGGTGCATTGAGCCAAGTTCATCGTCCCCAGCGACGCAAGCGTTTCAGAGCAAAACGGAAACATACAAGGATGATTTAACAATCTGTGTTGATGGTGCTGAACACACCCAATGGTGGGAAGGGAACAAAATCAATCCCCTGCTATTTTCACTAGGCAAAGGAAAATGAGATGAGGTCACGTCATCTTCCAAACGCCAATAACACGGCAAATGAAATTATACAATAAAACCTCAAGTCATCCACCGTGGCAGCAGATGTTCCCTTGGCCAAAGGGGCTCAGGGTTCAGGCTTGGAGCGGTTGCACCACCCACACCACGTGCTACGTTCACGAAAGAGCCGGCCGCCAATGCAGTCTGTCCCTCTAACTTGTTCTCGTTACAAAGGCAGCAGACGCGTGGAGCTGGCCGCTCCCCCGCACCGTCATGAAATGTCCTCCCGGCCCTGCTGCTTGAGCTACTCGTGGGCGGGGACCTTGTCGGTGTATCACTGCTGTTTCCCGGTACCTGCTCAGAGCAGGTGCTCCACAAATATCGAGCCCGTTACACAGTGAGTGATTTATTATACAGCTCAAACCTGCTTCTGACTTTCCACCAGGAAGGGCTAGATTGCTTCCCCCTAAAATCTGCATGCTGCAGTCTTCACCCCTAGAACCTCAGGATGTGATCTTATTTGGAAATAGGGTAGTTGCAGATGAAATGCATTGAGATGGCGTCATTAAGCTGAGTCCCTAATCCAATATGCCTGATGTCCTTCCAAAAAAAAAAAAGAGAGAGAGGGCGGAAATTTGGACACACAGACACACACACATAGGGAGAGTGCCGTGTGAGGATGGAGGTGGAGGTTGGGATGAGGCTTCCACAAGCCAGGGAGTGGCACAGGTTGTGGGCAAAACACCAGAAGCCAGGAGAAGAGGCTGGGACAGATTCCCCCCATAACCCTCAGAGGGCACCAGCCCTGCCCACACTGTGACCTTGGACTTCTAGCCTCCAGAACTGGGGACAATACGTTTCTGTTGTCTTAAACCAGCCAGTCTGTGGACTTTGCTCTGGCGGCCACAGGGCACTCACACATGTATTGTGTCACGCTTCACCGGTCTCTCTCCCAAGTCTAGTGTAACTTCCAGACTATTTCAATGACTGAGCTTTATAATATGTTGTAACATCACAGAGGACGATTCCTGCCACTGCTTTCCTTCTCCCCTTCAAAAAATAAAGGATAAAAAATCTACCATTCTGAAAGTTCTTCTCAAGCCCAGACTACAGAAGCGCCTGCCGACCAGGCAGTGGTCAAGGGTGGCAAGTGCGTGGGGAAATGGAAGAATCAGATCTGGGGTTTGCTGAGTGTCCCTGCAGGCGGAAGCTGCACTAGGCATTCCCGATTACCCTCGCTCAGCCTCACCACAACCTTGCGGGCGATACAGGAGTCTCCCCATACGACAAGTGAGGCCCCTGAGGCACAGAAACTAGATCTCCCCAAGCCCGTGCAGCTGTGTGGGTAGAGGGGTCTGGGTCCTAACCACCACACCACCCTATTCCACTAGAGAAGGCAGAAACTGGCCACGTGGCCACCTGCCCCAGGCCCGTGAGGACCCTGCAGTTAGCCCTGCCCTACTCTGTCGCCTGGCTCCAATGACACCAAGCTTCTCACTTTAAAGCATATGCAGTCTTTAATCACAGCTTTATTGAGGCATAAGCCATATACCACACACTTTACTTTTATAAAGTGTACAATTCAGTAGTTTTAGTGTATTCACAGAGCTGTGCAGCCCTCACCATGATTTACTTTTAAAACATTTCATCACCCCAAAAAGAAACCACATGTTCATTAATGGTCATTCCCCAAGCCCCTAGCCCCTGGTAACCACTAATCTGCTTTTTGTCTCTATGAATTTTCTGATTATGAACATCTCCTATAAATGGAATCATACACTATGTGGTCTTTTGTGTCTGGCTTCTTTCACTTAACATGATCTTAACATGATGTGTTCAAGGTTCATTGATGTTGTAGCGTGTGGCAGGGCTTCCTTCCTTTTTAGGGCTGTATAATACTCCACTGTATGGATAGACCATATTTTGTTTACCCATTCATCAGTTGATGGACATTTGGGTTGTTTTCATTTTTGGCTACTATGAATAGTGCCACTATGAACATTCATGTGCAACTTTTTGTATGGATGGATGTCTTCAATTCTCTTTGGTAGATGCCTAGGAGTAGAATTGCTGGGTCATGAGATAAATCTATGTTTAACCTTTTGAGGAACTGCCAAACTACTTCCCAAAGTGGCTACACCATTTCACGTTCCCACCACAGTGCATAAGGGCTCCACACATGTGGTTTCTGCATGAAGATGGGTGTGCTCAGAATGGTCTTTCCTTGTGCATCAGGGAGAGACTGATGGGGATACATGGGAAGAAAGCAAAAATCTCCATTTGGGCTTCCCAGCCTGTATCAGTTAGGAGCTGTGTTAGAAAGCTAGGAAGAAATGTAGGGTTTTTCTCTTTTATAAAATAAAGCCAGAGGCCAGCAATCCAGCACTGGAGCAGAACTCTGTGTTGTGGTTAAGGCTCCAGATCCCTTCTGTCTATCTGCTTCTCCATCCATAGCATATGGTGTCCTCAAGTCACTTCATGATTACAAAATGGCTGCCATTGCTCCAGCCATCACATTCCAGACAAGAAGAAAACAAGGGAAAGGGCAGGGGCCAGCTGAGTCATTCTCTGTGGAGGATCTTTCCCAAAAGCCCCACCCAGTGATCTCAGCTTATGTCCCATTGGTTAGAACAGGGTCCCATGGCCACCTCTGCTGAATTACAGACCTGGGAATATGAATTTCAGCTGGACACACAGCCCCCTGATTTAAGTCAGGGCTGTTAGCCAGAAATCCAGGAAGAATGGATATTGGGAAGACAACCAGCACTGTCCTATCCTCCATTCTCCAAAATAGCTGCCACCTGAGGGTTGCAGCATTTGGGAGTTACTAGAATACAGGTCAAGATTAATTAATTAATTAATTAATTAATATCTGTTTCTCTCTGCCTGCTGTCCACCACATAGGTTCCCTGTCACACAGGAGCGCTGGAGCAGAGGTGGACAGAGTGGTCAGATCCTCAAAAACCCTGCCCTGACCAGACCAGACCCTCGCAGGGGATCATGAGTTGTTTCGTTTGTTTGTTTGTTTGGTGAGACAGAGTCCCACTCTGTCACCCAGGCTGGAGTGCAGTGGCGCGATCTCAGCTCACTGCAACCTCTGCCTCCCAGGTCAAGCAATCCTCCTGCCTCAGCCTCCAGAGTAGCTGGGATTACAGACACCTGCCATCACGCTCAGCTAATTTTTGTATTTTTAGTAGAGTTGGCCAGGCTGGTCTCAAACTCCTAGCCTCAAGTGATCCACCCACCTTGGCCTCCCAAAGGGCTGGGATTACAGGTGTGAGCCACTGTGCCCAGCCATGTGAGTCATTTTCTAACTTTAAAAAAAGGGAGGAGGGGAACCAAGTGGAATCCCTGAGAAGGCAGGAAATTGCTGACTGAGCTACTGATTCCCTCGCTGCATAGGTTCCGTCATCTAACAAATATTTCTCGAAGACCTAGCATGGGCTAAGCTGCCAAGTACTTTAAGGGATTCATGACAAATTCCTGTCCTTTATCCAGGAGCTAAGTCAAATGCACTCGTGATCACAATGAAAGACCACAGTACCCTCCAAAAGGGACAGTGACATTCTACAGAGCTTAGGGAGCAGTGCGCTCACTCCCAGCCACCATGTGAACAAACTGAAGCCCAGAGAGGTGCTGTGACTGTCCCTGGTCGCCCAACAATAACCCCTGGAGATCTGCACTAAACAAGGCATGCCGCAGACAGAGGCCACACTGGAGGCAGAAGCCAGTCCTATGCCTAGGGGATGCTCCCCCAAACCTCATGATCATCTTCAAAAAGATTAATAAAGTCAACAAACCTCCAACAACATTAACTAAGGAAGAATGCATTTGACAGGACAGAACACATTACAGAGATTTAAAAGATAACGCGAGAATGGTTGGGCGCGGTGGCTCACGCCTGTATCCCAGCACTGTGGGAGGCCAAAGTGGGCGAATCACCTGAAGTCAGGAGTTCAAGACCAGCCTGGCCAACATGACGAAACCCTGTCTCTACTAAAAATACAAAAAATTAGCCAGGCATGGTGGCATGGTGGCAGGCACCTGTAATCCCAGATACTAGGGAGGCTGAGGCAGGGAGAATTGCTTGAACCTGGGAGGCAAAGGTTGCAGTGAGCCAAGATCACACCACTGAACTCCCCTTGGGTGACAGAGCAAGACTCTGTCTCAAAAAAAAAAAAGAAAAAGAAAAAAAGATCATGCTAGATTACTGTGAAAACTTAGAAGAAACAGATAAATTTCTAGAAAAATACAGCTCACTAACACTGACACGAGAAGAAATAGAAAACCAGACTTTGTGCTTCCACTGTAAAGTTTAAGTGAAAAAGCCACAACCTTAGATATTTACAACCCATTTGAACTCAGGATTCATGTGCAGAATATATTAGAAGGACAAAATTGTCGTAATCAATTTTTGGAAGACAACCCAACAGGAAAAAAAGCAGGGAGGCCTGCATTTCAAAGAACAGAAGCATGTTTGGCCAACAGAGTGGACTCAGAGAGGGGCCACCCAGACGCCCCGCAAGGAGGGATCTTTGCCGCAGCAGGCGGGGTGCTGTCAGGAGACACCTGCAGGGTGGATCGCCTCCTGTGACTGGGCAAGCGTGAAGAAGCAGCCATCTGGGCCCAAGGCAGGACGGCGTGGATGCACCACCGCAGCCCCTGAGCTCCTCACAGTCAGCCACAGCTGTCAATGGACTACAACTCGGCTCAGCTCTCCCTCTGCCCAATCCTGCTGCCTTCCCTCATCAATCAGGCATGGACCCCAAGAGCACGTCCTAATCGACACCCCACACACTGAATTCCACCCAGCTCAGCCTCTGCCTCCTATGGGCCAACCAGGGCAGCCAATGAACATGGTCACCAAAAAAAAATGGCAATGGTTAAAAAAACAACAACAAATACCAGGCCAGGCGTGGTGGTTCATGCCTGTAATCCCAGCACTTTGGGAGGCCAAGGTGGGCAGATCATGAGGTCAGGAGTTCGAGACCAGCCTGACCAACCTGGCCAAACCCCGTCTCTACTAAAAATACAAAAATTAGCTGGCCTCTCCCCTGATGTCAGCTGCTAGCAGGACAGCTGGCCAAGGGACCCCTGAGAACCATGCTTAACCAAGCGGCTGACATGGAGACGGAGAAGCAGCTAGGGGCCACCCAGCTTGTCACATAAAGCGTGAGCGCGGAGTGCCAGGAAACAGGCTCCCTTGCCCTGCCCGTCCTGCTACCTATGACCTCACATCCCAGGCCTGGACATCCAGTTGCCACCTCATGACCATGAGCAAGAAACCCACACCTAAGATACAGCCCCAAGCAGTACTGGGGGTGGTAAAGCCGAGCATGTTTCTTTTACGTGGGTCTGCTCTCCGTAACACCCATGAGGAATCTCATCTCTGACTTTCGGCCCCCGAGCTGAGCTGTCAACACAGCAGCCTTCACTCATCCAAGGATCTGCCTTCCATGGAAGACGCTCAAGTCCCCAGAGTGGACTGCCCACAAGGAGGGGAAAAAGAAGCCCAGTGTCCCCTACCCCAACCATCCTCACCCTGGCCCCATTTGTTTACTGAAGGACAAGAACCAGACTCAAAGAAAGAGGGTCTGGTCCAAGGCTGAGCTTGGCAGAGCAGAAAGACAGTGGAGCCTGGTTCCTGTTGGCCTCACCCAGCCAAGCCATGAGCTCTGGATGGCAGACCCCTTGCCTTTTACGGTGAAAATGTTTTTGCAGCCCTATCTCTTTCAGTTCCAGCTACCGGAAGTCCCTCTAGTCAATTTTCCTCCTACTTGTAGATGAATGCTTTCCTGGTTTATTATCATTATTATTTTTATTTTTAGAGACAGGGTCTTGCTCTGTTGCCCAGGTTGGAGTGCAGTGGCATGATCACGGCTCACCGCAGCCCCAAACTCCTGGGCTCAAGTGATCCTCCCAACTCAGCCTCCTGAGTAGCTGGGATTAGAGGTGTGGGCCACCATGCCCAGCTAATTTTTGTTTAAGAGACGGGATCTCACTATGTTGCCCAGGCTGGTCTCTAACTCCTGGCCTCAAGTGATCCTCCTGCCTCAGCCTCCCAACGTGCTGGGATTACAAGAATAAGCCAGCACACCCGGCTCCAAAAGCATTCCTAAATTGTATGTGATTATTTGCACAAAGTGTCCCCCTGTGCTCGGGCAGAAAAGGAAGAAGCATAAGCAAGAGTCTTCCTCTTGAAATAGAAACTGCTGGCCAGCTAACACCCTTCTCCCTGTGCTCTGCAACTGTGGATGCCCCAAAGAAGCAAATTAGCACAAACTCCCAGAAGCAAACCAATGCTACAATTGGAAAACAATGTCCCTGTCACTGCACAGTGAGGTTGATTCCAGGTTTATTTTGTGTTGCTCCTACTGTCAAATAATTCTTCAGTGAATTTAGGCAGAAGGAGATTTCTTAAATTTTTTTTTATAATTTCCTCAGGATAAATCCCCAAGAGTGTAAATGCAGTGTCAGGAAGGATGACGACTTTTTCCAGTGCCTGCTGCCTAATGCCAGGCCGGTTCTCAAAGGGGTCCCCACAGCCTGGGGCTCTCCCGGGCTCACCCTCACCATACCAGCACCAGGAGATACGTTATTAATGAAAAAGTCAGGCCTATTGCCTCCTCCAGACATTTTGGAAAAGCTCACATAGTTTTTAGGGATTTGTTAAAAATTCATTTCAGAAGTTCTACCAACGCACCAGTATTTCAACAACTGCCTAAGTAAACAACAAAATGACTGAAATCGTGTTATAATTTATCATAGTAGCAGTGGAGCTCAAAATCAATAAGTTAATTTACCTCCACTAACAAGGTGCTTTAGAGTCACAAGTGAGTACAAAATCAAATGCCTAAAAGGTGCAGGCCATGAGGGACCAGGTATGCCAGAAGACTAATCACCAAAAATTACTGTCTTAAGTCTCAGGTGTCATAAAGCCAGGCATGTTTCTTTTACATAAGTCTCTTTTCCATGATACCCATGAGGCTCAAGGCAGAGAACCAGACACCAAGGAAGAGGCTCTGGGACAAGGTCAGGGGGCCTGGTTCCCATCCCAGCTCAGACATGAATGCACTCAGCCATTCTGAACCAGTGGCTGCACCTCTCTGACATCAGTTTCTCCTATAGAATCTCTGAGCAACCCTCTTTTTCTAAGAATCCCCAATTCCCTGCCTGACTCTTGTTAGCTGGGGCACCTCGGGTGGGCAGTTTCATTCTTCAGGGCCTCAGTTTCTTCAGCTGTAAGGTAAACACAGTAAGGCAACGTTTGCTTCTCTCTTAGGGCCATCACATGGATTCAAGCAAGATATTGTAGCAAAATCAGTATTTCGCTGACCAACATCTACTGTTGATTTAGCTACAAAGGGTTGTGGGAATAGAGGTAGAAAGCTATGGAAGGCAATGCCCCAGCACCACAGTTCCCTGGGTGGGGGGTGGGGGGGTTGCGTGGGGCAGTTTCCAGAGAAGCATGGAGAGATGGAGTTATTGGGACCCACAAAGCACAGAATCAACACGTGGCTAAACGAGAAGGGCCCTGAGAACGATAATAGCAGCTGTCGCTGACTTAGCATCAATGGTGCACTGGCCACTGTATTCAGAGCTTTGGAGACATATCCATGGGAACTCTGCAAGGTCAGGTTTATGGTCAGGATCTTCCATAAGAGGAAGGCAAAAGGTTTCAAGTGTGGCTGCAGTACAGCCAGAGTCAAACCGGTGATCACGGGCAAGGCAGGGTTGAGTTGGACATCACATCTCCTGACTTCACACCTGGGAGGGGGTGCACTGGAGGGGCCGTTGACACACAGCATGTGCTTTAAAAAAAGTATTAGTAGTGGTCATAGCAATAGGAATAATAGTATCTTGAGATTACTAAAATCTGCAGCATCTCATTAATCCTCACAATAACTTCTTAAAGGAGCTGTGGTTATCATTCCCACTTAACAGATGAGAAAAAATCAAGGCTCAGGGATGTGCAATGACTAGCCCAGGGCCACACAGCTGGTGAGTGGTAGATTCTGACAAAGCCTTCTCAGGCCTGCACCCTTCACTAAGCATCTCAGCCGTCCCTTCTCTTTCCAACCTCAGGGATGCAAAGGTTGGGGACCACATATTGGGAATATAAAACAGTATATTTCTTAGACCCAAAGGTGTGTTCGTTTTCAAAGGAACAGAAAACAGGGCTGAAGCCCTCAGGAGCTCCCGGGCCCATCATGTGCTCCACCCGCTGTCAGAATTTCAGCACCAAGAACAGCGACAGACTTAAATCATGGCGCCCTCTGGTGGTCCTTATGAAAAAGGGCAGGCCGTGAAGCGGGGGCTCTGCCGAGGGTCAGCCCGGAATCTTTGGAAAAGGGTGGGGACAAAAGATGGAAGAGGGGAGAAAAGGAAAGAGGGGAGGAAAGAGAGACGGGAAGAAGAGCAACAGCTAACGGCCCCCAAGCACAGGTAGCAGACAGCCTCTAAATGCTCCCAGCGGCTCACATTCACCTGATAACCTGGGGTTGGGGGAGCATTTGGGGGAAACTTGTGCAAGCCAGACCTCGGCCTCTGAAAACATTTACTCATCTTCAAAACATGCAGTCACTCAGATTCGGCGATTATCAAGATTTTGCCACACTTGCTTCATCTCTCCCTTTTTTTTCTCTTGCCTATTTTTTCTTCACTGGAGATTTTAAAGTAAAATCACGCCCTTACACTTCAGCATGCATCTCTAAAAATATGGGCACTTCCTTACATAACCAAAATGCCATTATCACACCTAACAAAGCAACAATAGCTTCTTGGAATCATCTAGTAGAGTCCCTAATCTAACTTTCCTGAGTGTCTCGGTGAAACCATAAGAAGGTATGATAAGGAAGCTAACCAAGGAAATAGCAGATTCTCGCCCTCGACCTCACTGGTCACCCTGTGCTCCAGTACCCGTGGGAACACTGGACACTGGGTGCCTTCTGGCGGGATGCACTGGGAAGCCCACCTCACCAATAACCAAGCATTCCTGCCAAGAAAAACAGGCCTGAGGCTCAATCTAATAAACGCTCTGCGGATTTCTGATTATGAAAATAGAGGGGCAGGAGAGAAGTGCCCAGGGACACCACAGGGAAGCCATAGATACACCCAGAAGGCAGGACCTCCTACAGGATAAAGGACCCAGCGTCTGCAATGGGCCTGGGGCAGGTGCAAAGGGTGATCTTTCAGCTAGTGGTGCTGAAACAACCGGACATCCATATGCAAAAACGCAACGGGACACAGGCCTCTCATCTCAGAGAAAAATTGGTTCAAAACAGATCACACACCTACATGTGAAGCCTAAAACCATGAGACTTTTAAAAGTCTCAGATAAGCACATAAAAAGATGCTCAACATTTTTAACCATGGGGGAATTACAAATTAAAATCATAATGGGGCCAGGCACGGTAGCTCACACCTGTAATCCCAGCACTTTGGGAGGCCAAGGCAGGCAGATCACTTGAGGTCAGGAGTTCGAGACCAGCCTGGCCAACGTGGTGAAACCCCATCTCTATTAAAAATACAAAAATTAACCAGGCATGGTGGTGGGCACCTGTAATCCCAGCTACTCCGGAGGCTGAGGCAGGAGAACTGCTTGAACCCGGGAGGCAGGGGCTGCAGTGAGCCAAGATCATGCCACTGCACTCCAGCCGGGGCAACAGAGTGAGACTCTGTCTTAAAAGAAAAAGAAGAAGAAGAAGAAGAAGAAGTCATAATGGGGCACAACCACACCTGTTAGGATGGCTAACACTCAGCCTCTCTGAGCCTCCCGGTCCCCCACTGGTGGAATGAGATGGATGACAACCCACCTTCTCCACCTCCAAGCTTCCTGCTCCCATCCTCACAGCCACCAGCCGGCACATCCCAAAGCACAGACACAAGGGCTGATGAGGGTGCAGAGCGCCTGGAACCCTTGTGCGTGACATCTGTGGATGCAAAGACAGCACAGCGACTCCTGAAAACAGCCCTGTATTTGGATGCTGAGTCAGTTAGGAGTGAAGAGGTTTATTGGGAGGTCACACTTGTTAAAGGTAAAAGGTAGAAGAGCCAGTGTGGGCAGGTAGAGCTTCCCGACAGCCATGCAAGTGTGACTGACCCTCTCAGCCAACCGACAGCAAGCTCCAGGGCAAAGGCTGCCTGCCAGAGTCCTGGTGTGTGCAGAAATGGGCAGGCCCTAGAAATCCCTCCAGGGGGCAGTCATTGGCTGAGGGCTGCCAGAAAGAACAGCCTTGGTTCAGTGGGAGAGGCAGATCCTGAAGATGCCAAAATCCAGAGGCAGTCAAGCGACTGCCTGCCCTGAGGCTGGACAGCAAAGTCTTTCTTGAAGGGGGATCTGAGCCTCGCACCTCCTTCTGCCCACCTCCCTAAATGAACAGTGCCCGTCCCTTGGCAGCCCTCTCCCCGCCTTCCCTCTTAGCAGTACTGTCACCCCAACATGCTCTTGAATGTTTATGTGTTTGTCCCTTCACTGACAGATCCCCCATTGGCTCAGTTCCTCCCACGTGCAAGGTGTCTGGTAAATATCTGTTGAATAAATTGGTTAATCCTGTCCAGACCTCTGGAGCTAAGCCACTGGTCTAAGCCACCATCATTGCTCACTCCTACACTGCAGTAGCCTCCAAAGTCATCCCCTGGTTCTCACTTTGCCCCCCACAAAGTCCATGCCCCATACAGCAGGCAGACTGACGCTGTAAAAATGGAAATTGGACCACGTCGTTTTTCCACCTCCACCCCCACCCTTCCCACTCTCTGCTTTGGCCACACCAGCCTCCTTGCTGCCACAGAACACGCCAGGCTCATTTCATTCCAGAGCTTTGCACCTGGATCCAGTGACAGACAACTCCAGATGGAGGGTGGTCCGGGGAGGCCTCCCGGAGGAGGTGACTTTTCAGCTGGGACCTGAATAATGACAAAGATACAGGGAAGGGAGTCCCAGGCAGAATCACAGAAGGTGAGGCCCTCAGGAGTGAAATGCCCCTCACCTGTGCCTTCCTGGGCACGACCCTCCACTTCTCCACCTGCAGAGCCAGACTGATAACACCGGCTCCTTCCTGCTCCTGTAGAGTGGCCACAGGTTTGCAGCCCTGAGAGCAGTGGGCTCTGATGACACCTGCTGGCTGTGTGACCTCACGTAACCCCTCCTCATCCCTAGGGAGGATAACGGGAGGCACCTGCAGCACGGGCAGTAGCTGGAGCCCACGGATGAGCTTTAAGGTATGAGCTACTTTCCCACGTAGGGCCTGGCACACAGTAGGCACTTATTCAGTGGTGGCCACTATTGAGCCTGCCCTGACAGTCCTTATGGGACAGCAGCTGTAACGAACGTTATTTCTCGAGACTCAGTTCCCAGGTGAATATCTGGGGAGAAACATGCTCAACTGATGCTTGCAGAGAAGTATTTCTTTAAAGTGACATAACCAGCCCTCACCCTGTGCCAATAAAGGTCTGGCAGCACCACAGTGCTTTATTTTTAACCTGTCACCTTGTCACCGCAGCACGAGGTGCAGCTGAGGTCACAGCGGGGTAGGGGGACAGCCAATGGCTCATCCCACGGGCCTGGGCCCCAGTCTCACCTCCATGCTCACTGCCTGCATGACCTTGAGTGAGTCACTCAGCCTCTCTGAGCCTCCCCGTCCCCCACTGGTGGAATGAGATGGATGACAACCCACCTTCTCCACCTCCAAGCTTCCTGTTCCCCTCCTCACAGCCACCAGCCGGCACATCCCAAAGCACAGACACAATCAGCCCCCAGCCCAGTTACCAAGTCTGCCCCCTCCCCACAGTGCCCTCAGGCCAGCACATGAGACCCTTGCCAAGACACCCCCACTACCCTCTGCAGCCTCAGCTCTCACTGCTTCCTCCCGGGAAGGCTACGCCCAGCTGCACAGAACTTCACCCTTCACTAACAAGCCATGCACTCCTACAACGCCAACCCGAAACACGTGCTGTTTCCTCTGCCGGGAATGCTTTCCCCTCATTCTTCTAGCTTAATATCTTCTACTCTGGGAAGCACAGACAGACCTGGCCCCTCCTCACTCCCTGCATGAGGCTCCAGGGCAACCAGTCTACAATATTTCGCAGAGCATCTTAGGGGGACACTCTTTTTTATTTAGAGATGGAGTCTTGCTTGTTTGTTCCCCAGGCTGGAGTACAGCTCCACATCTGGCACTATCACAGCTCACTGCAGCCTCAAATTCCTGAGCTCAATGGATACTTCTGCCTTAGCCTCCTAAGTAGCTGGGACTACAGGTGCAGGCCACCATGCCCAGCTAATTTTCTTTAATATTTTATAGAGATAAGGGCTCACTGTTGCCCAGGCTGATCTTGAATTACTCACCTCAAGTGATCCTCCCACCTCAGCATCCCAAAGTGCTGGGGTTACAGGCATGAGCCACAGTGCCCAGCTAGAGCAACACTTTTGTTTTGGTCTCTCTCTAGAAAGAGAGTCCTCCTGGAGGTCAATTGCCATACCTTCCTCGCCTCCGGGGCCATGGAGCCTGGTGGTTATGCACAAGCCTCTCCAGTTAGGTTGCCCGAGCTCAAAGCCCACTCTCCCACAGGTTAGCTCAGCAGCCACAGGTGAGCCTCTTCCCCTTTTGTGCTGCAGTATCCACATGTGTAAGCTGGGGATAAGAAACATACCTGCCTTCCAGGGGGATTGGAGGCTACTTGGCCTCAGAAGGCACTTAGAAAGCCCCTGGCAAGTCACGAGTGCTCATGTATGTCACATGCTCCTAATGTGCTCTCTGGGTTTCCAGCACAGACCACAGCCTGCAGTGGGTGCTCAGGTGATATTTGTAGAATGAATGAACAAACACGTGGCATGGAGAACAAAGCCAATAGGAGTCCAGTGGGAGAAAAGTAACTGAAACTCCCAGCTGGAAAAGGAGAAAATAAAACTAGAGGTAAAGTGTTGTGGTATGGCCACAAGTCCCCCCATCAAGAGATGAGGTCTATGCCTCCTCCTCTTGAGTCTGGTGGGCCTGTGACCCACTCAACCAAGAGCCTAGCAGAAATGAAGCTCTGGGACACCAAAAGCTGGGCATCAAAGGCCACACAACTGCCATCTTGTTCCCTGGACATTGCACCAGGAAACTTGAGCACCATGGAAGGAGTCCCACCACCCTGGGCTGCCATGCTGGACAAGCCACATGTCAGGGCTCAGGTGACAGTCCCAGCTGAGCTCAGCCCCTGCTGTCCCCACCAAGGCACCATAAATTACAGGGAAGCCACTGTGGGCCACCCAGCCCAGTCCATCCTCCAGCTGAACACCAACAAGCGACCTCGGTGTAGGCAACATGCAGCAGAAGAATCACCCAGCTGAGCCCTTCCTCAGCTCCTGGCTCTTAAAACCATGAAACACAATGAAATGGCCATTCTCAGCTGGCACATCATGGGATCATTTGTTAGGAAGCCACAGATAACTGGAGAGAAAGTGGAGAGACTTTGGAAGTGGAAGGAAAAGATGATGTGAGTGAAGATGAGACAAGTGGCAGCAAAGGACCAGCAAAGACAGCAGGTGCTGTGTGTGCTACACATCTGAGCCTACAGGTCCACTTTTGCCACAAGGGGAGACCTGAGCCCACTGTTCCCAAATGCAGTAATCATTTCCATGGCACCTGCTCTGAAATGCAGGCAGTCTCCCTGCAATTTTTTCATTTGTTCTCATTGTGTAAGTTCCCTATGGCTGCTGTAACACATTTCCACAACCATAGTGGCTTAGAAAAACAGAAGCTTATTCTCTAACTGTTCTGGAGGTCAGAAGTCTGAAATCAGCCTCACTGGGCTAAAGTCAAGGTGTGGGCAGGGCTGGTTCCTGCTGGAGGCCCCAGGGGAGGATCCGTTTCCTTGATCTTCGAGCTTCTGGAGGTGTCCGCATTCCTTGGCTCATGACCCCTCCCTCCATCTTCAAAACCATCAGCTCAGCATCTTCAAATCTCTCTCCCTCTCTTCCTCTTTCTCTCCTCTTTCTTTCTCCCTCTCTTCTCTTCTCCCTCTCTTCCTCTTTCTCTCCTCTGCTTGTGTCATCCCATCTCCTTCTCTGATTCTGACCCTCCTACCTCCCTCTTATAAGGACCCCTGTGATGACATTGGGCCTACCCAGATAATCCAGGTCAACCTCCCCAACTCAAGAGCCTTAACTTAATCTCATCTGCAAACTTCCTTTTGCCATGTAAGGTAACAAATTCACAGGTCTGGGGATTAGAATGTGGACATCTTTGGGGGGCATTATTCTTTCCACTACACTCACAAACATCCTGCAAAAGTGGACTTTATTGTCCTAATTTGACAATAAGGCTCAGGAAGGTGGGGCCATTGCCTGATGTCATGTGAGTAGCAGAGGCAAGAGCCAGTTTCAGGATGAATGGCCACACACATGCCCCAGTTCCAATGGCCTCCATAGATGTTGGGGTCTCACTGGAGGCAGAATTCACCCCAGATAGTTCAACAGAAGAGAAGTAAACAAAGAGGTGACCTACAGGAAGTGACCAAGGAAGCATTTGGGGCACATAGGGACTAAGGGCAAGGACAGGAGGCTGTTACTCCCTGGGCTGAAAGGTGCAGGGGAAGAGAACTGGGACCATGAGACAGGATCCACTGGCACAAGCTGTGACCATGGAGAGCACAGCCGACCCTAGGATTGCAGCGCCACCGCAGGGAGAAGAACGGGGAGTGTTCCCCCTCTCCCTCCTGCCCTGCAAGCTCTGACTGGTGCCTCCCACTGGCCAAACTCCACGGGAGCCTTAGGGCAGGGACCACAGGTGATGCAGCCTCCAGGGCACCACACTGGACAGAGAGGTGAAAAATAGATCTACGGGTCAAGTGGAGAAATCCAGCGCAGTCCACTGTGGCCACTCAGCAAACATCCTCGTCCCCCTATCCGGGAAGAAACTCTCAGCCCAACACAGTAAGGCACGGGGTCCCACCAGCAACGGTATCATTGAGGGAGACGCCACTTCAGATGCCTGCCTTGAGCCTACAGCACCACACTGTCCACCACAGGTAGCCTTCATTCAAGGTGGCCAGGAGAGATGAGGGCAGGGGAAAAAGGGCCAATCAGCAGCGAGTCCTTCTTCCTCCACCCACCGATAGGCACCTTGCCTGTGCCAGAGCACCTGGTTCTTCACCTGGGGGAACGACCCAAGTTTTCACCCATGATCTGGGTCTGTCATGCTCCCATCTCTATGTTCAGGGCTGCCATGCTCAGTAGACCTTTTTTATCAGATGTCAGTGCTAAGAAGCATCCCCGTGGATCCTCTGGGCCCCAGATACCACCAAGAAGTGACCTCATTTATCCTTGGTAGCTAGGAGCAGTCACCCCTCATCCCAGTGCCCCCTTCTCTACCAGGCCACCCAGCAGCAGCAGGAGTCCAAATGGCCTCGGTCCCAGTGTCCACTTTCACAGACTGTGGCCCTGCTCCCTGATGGAAGCCTTCCTTCTTGGGGCACCAGGACCCCCAAACACACCACGCCTAATGAACTAGAAGCAAAATTAGTTCAAGGGGTTATCAGGGGGTGACTGCTATGGGTTGAACTGTGTGCTCTCCCCACAAAAAATTCACATTGAAGTCCAAACCCACAATACCTCAGCATGTGACCTTATTTGGAAATAGGGTCACTGCAGATGTCATTAGTTAAAATGAGGCCATGCTGGAGTAGGGTTTACCCCCAATCCAAAATGACGGGTGCCCTCATCAAAGAGGAAATTTGGACACAGAGACAGACAGGCACAGGGAGAAAGGCAGACACCACGGTGACACCATCTACAAGCCAAAGAATGCCAAAGATGGACAGCAAATCACAATAAGCTGGGAGAGGGGTACAGGACAGATTCCCCCTCTAATTCCTCCATAGAAACTGACCCAGCTATCGTCTTCGTCCCAGACTGCTGGCTGCCAGAACCATGAGACAATCAATTTCCTTTCTTCAAGCCACTCTGTGTGTAGTGCTTTGTTAAGGCAGCCTCAGTCTGTAGACGGCTACAACAAGATACCTTAGACTGAGTAGTTTATGAATAACAGAAATTGATTGCTCACTGGCCGGGCACAGTGGCTCACACCTGCAATCCCAGCACTTTGGGAGGCCAAGGCAGGCAGAGTACTTGAGGTCAGGAGTTCAAGACCAGCCTGGCCAGCATGGTGAAACCCTGTCTTTACTAAAAATACAAAAATCAGCCAGGCCTGGTGGTGCACACCTGTAATCCCAGCTACTGAGGAAGCTGAGGCACGAGAATCGCTTGAACCCAGGAAGCAGAGATTGCAGTGAGCCAAGATCATGCCACTGCACTCCAGCCTGGGTGACAGAGTGAGACTCCATCTCAAAAAAAAAAAAAAGAAAAAGAAAAAGAAAGGAAGGAAGGAAGGAAGGAAGGAAGGAAGGAAGGAAGGAAGGAAAGAAAGAAAGAAAGAAAGAAAGAAAGAAAGAAAGAGAAAGAAAGAAAAGAGAAGAGAAGAGAAGAGAAAAGAAAAGAAAAAGAAATTGCTCACAATTCTGGAGGCTGAGAAGTCCAAGATCAAGATGCCAGCAGATTCGATTCAGTGTCTGACAAGGGCTCTGTGCTTCAAGGATGGCGCCTTCTCACTGCGTCCTCACATGGTAGATATCTGCCTCGGCCTCTTTTATAAGGGCTCCACCCTCTTGACCTCTTGACCTAATCACCTCCCAAAGCCCCACCCTCAATACTCTGTTGGTGGGTAGATTTCAGCACAGGACTACTGGAGAGATGGGAACATTCAGACCACCACACAGCCCCAACACACTAACACAGTGGCCACGTCTGGGGCTGCCCTGTGCAATCATTCATAACACACCCTTTCATTCTCTAAGGTACCCCACTTTGGATGATAAATTATTTGACACCCTAGTGATTATAAGCCAGTGAAGGGCTCCTCCTAACTCCATCCACTGGTCCTCAAACCTGTGTATGTGGCTGTGCAGGTGACAGTCACAAAACAGTCAGCCGCTGATCTAAGGCATACAGGACAAGGCCCCACCTGCTGTGTGTTGTCTGGAGGCCGGTGTGGCAGCCAGGCCTGCAGCCGCAGGCCCTTCTCCCTGCTTCTGGGTGATGAGAGTGAACCCCACGGGCGAGGGCCCTTTGCCGCAGCTCTGCACCACCGCAGGAATCCTTTGAATGATGTGATGCTTGTGGGCGACGGTGACTGTGAATTAGGAATTCCACAATGACACTGCTGACAGAAGCGGGTGGGAAGGCGATTCTGTATCTGGCTTATGCATCCGCCCCCCTGAGAACAAGGGAACCAACCTGCCCCCCGGGTGCTTGCTGGTCTCCTCGGGTAATGCTGCCACACCCAAAGTCACTGTTGTCCCCTGATGTTGGAGACTGGGACCTCAGCTGTGGCAGTGGCCAGCTCAGCCCTGGAGAGTTGAAGGCCATATTTTCTGCCTGTGTGTTTCCCCATCTCTGCCCTATTTTGTGTGTGAGCCCAAGAGTGAGCCCTGGGGTGGCTGGAAAGAGTCTGCCCAGCACCCACAGGCAGGCTAGCGTGTCTATCCTGTGACCGAGAGCCTCCTGCGTGAAGGATGCCTCTGGGGAGCATCCGCATGGGGCACGTGGGGGTTCATTCCATGTGTCAACTTGACGGGGCCACGGGATGCCCAGATATCATGCTAAACATCATTTCCAGGTGTGTCTGTGAGGGTGTTTCCAGTAGAGATGAGCATTTGAATCAGTAGACTAAGTAATCCCACTGTGGATGGGCCTCCCCCAGTTTGTTCAGGGCCTGAATGGAACAAAAAGGCAGGAGAAGGGAGAATTCACTCTCTCTGTCTGTCTGCTGGAGCTGGGACATCAGTCTTCTCCTGCCCTGGGATTGGCACTCACACCATCGCAACATCAGCCTTCCTGGTTCTCAAACCTTCAAACTAGAACAACTAGTTCTCCAGCTTCCGGATGGAGCTCAGGGGACTTCTCAGCTCCATAACTGCCTGAGCCAATTCCGTGTGCGTGTGTGTGCGCACACGTGCAGTGATCCTATTGGCCCTGTTTCTCTGAAGAACCCTGACTACTACAGGGCACAAATACCTCATGCTCTGCAGTCATTTGAGAGGTCCATCCACACACCTCTTCCCCAGGCCACCTTGTCATCATCCTGCAACCTTGTTCTTTCCAGAGCCCTGCCCAGCTTGCCAACCCATGCATTAGTGTAGATCCCTACTCCAGGCTGTGGTTCCTCCCCAGCAACATGAGCAACCAGATTCTCCCCCTGAAGTTTTGCCTCCTGGGAGAATCTGCAAGCATCTCTCGGGGTGCCCCTGAGTTGGTTATTATCACAGAAGGATGCAGCCACTGCACCCTCCTCCAAAGGAGGGAAGGGGGAAGGAGGCGGCAACCCTACTTCTCTCTCCACCTGCCCTCCCAGCTCCTGGCAATGCCTCCTGTGGGCAAAACCCACCCAAAGACTCCCCGGCAGAGATCCAGGTGGTAAATTTGACAGGATCAGGTTCCAGGCACAGACCAGGGCAGAGAGAAGCTGGGGCTGGAAAGGAACAAGGGGTACAAGCCTCCTTAGAAGATACCGAGGAGGATTCAAGGTACCAGCCTTCAAGGAGGTCATTTTTAACTACACTGTACTTGCTAATAGGTTCCTTTCCTGAGAAAGAGTAGAAATAGTCACTTTAAATTCACTGTATTGTGGTCCTGCAGCACTGACATTAGAATCTGGGAAGAATATTTGAACCACTCATTGGTGTTATCCAAACACACCTGATGCATTAGGACAACAACATCTACAACAACAGGAACTATGAGCCAGGCTCCGAGAACACAGATGAGTTCTTACAGATCTTATAGTCAGGAGATGCTGGGTGCAAGGTCAGCAAAAAAAAAAGAAAGAAAGAAAGAAAAGAAAAGATGATGACGTTGGACCCGGAGTACAGTGATGGAGACTCCCTGGGTGGGACGTATTTAGCTGGGAGGCAAGGAAGGTCTCTGGAGAGAGGACATGGAAGCTGCGACCTGAAGGATGAGTTAGAGTGAGTGCTGGGTTAGCACCAGGAGCAGAGGGAATAGCAGGGGCAAAGGGCCCGGGACAGGAGAGAGCCCAGGATGTACCAAGGTCGGGAAAAAGGCTGCTGTGTAGTGAGCGCTGTGGAGATGGGCACAGCAGAGGTCAGCATGGTTATTTTAGGGAGTTGAAAGGGGAGTCTGGATTGGGAGGCCCTCAAGTAGTCCAGAAGAGGAGACAATGGCTTGACCTGGGGTAGTAGAGATGAAGAAGGAGAGGAGGCAGATCTGAGGGTGAGCTACTGCAGAATATTCCCCACCTGGGCACTGGAGACCCAGATGACATGGGCGGGCACAACGGACGCTGGCCTGGAGTGAGGTGCATCCCACAGGCCCTGGTTCTACTCTCACCTGCTGCGTGACTCCAGGCAAACCCTCCCCAGCCCCACCCCAGACCTCTCCTCCTCCCCTGTGGACAGGAAGGCAGGAGGAAGGAGGCGGCCAGGTGCTTCTGAGCAGCCTCAGCACCCATCCTCTTAAAGGTGCCCGAGCCCAGCAGGACAGCCCCTGGCGGTGAGACTTGGGGCAGTGACTTCTCCCAACCTCACCACATGTCACAGCATCACCTGCAAAGTGGCTGTGATGATCGCATCCCAACACCGAGTGAGCGCCTGATACACCTAACAGGCTCTGCCTGTGCCAAGCATGCAGCAAGTTCTCCATAAGTGCCAGCTAAGAAGATTAACACTACTCTCAGCTGCCATCTGTGACCTGGGGTGCTGGTGGGGCTGTCACTTAAGGGGCCCCATCCCCTTGCTTGGGAGAGCCATCCATGGGGACAGGGAAATTGTACCTGCAGTGGGAAGGCCACCCATGCAAGGTCAAGGAGAAGCCTTTCTCAGGGCTTACAAAGAGCCCTCTTCTCTCCTCCTGGGACCTGCAGGTGTGTGAGCCTTTACCTGCCACCTCTGGCTGCCTCCTAACAAGGAGAAGGCCACCTGTGCTCAGCCTCCTAAAATATCAGGGCATCCCCTGAACTTCCCAATACTCAGCCTGATCAACTCTGTGCTTGGGTCAAACTAGGTTGGATTTCAGATTCTTGCCGCAGAAAGATTCTTTGGCAGCCAGGAACTACACAATGGAAGAGGCTCTGATGGACACCATCCTCTGACCAGGAGTGCCAGCAAAGAGTGCAACAGTGTCCCCACCATGAAGCCACACCCCACTCAACATGGAGCCCTGCACCGAGCCAAGCTTGGAATGAAGACCTGGGCAACCGGTCCACTCCAGACCCAGGAAAGGATTTCCACAGTGTCTCCCTGCCTGGCCTCCCATCTAAAGATGCCCCACCCAGTGAGTCTCCATCACAGCCCCCAAAGCCCAGCGTCATCTTTTTTTCTGACCTTGCACCCTCACAGGTGCCCATCCTGGGAATTCACCACCCAGCCCTGCGGCTCTGATGGGACACCAGCCTCCAGCCAGGAGTGCACAGGAAAGACAGCAACAGTGGCTCCCAGCTCTGTGGCTCTGCAATGCCAGGGGAACACTGCGCTGAGACAGGGGCTCTGATGAGCAGGCAGCCCTGACAATAGCAGTTTCCTGAGAAGGAATCACAGAACAGAACCTAAATTTAAACACTGGGAGAGCAGCTCGCAGTCCAGCCAAGGCAGGAAGAACTAGGTTCAGATCCATCTCTCACTGCTAAGCAGCCTGGAGCACATCACTGGCACCTCAGTGTGCTCCTCTGTAAAACCGGGGGCAGTGGGCACGTCCACACCCTCACAAGTTGACTTGAGGATAAGTGAGATAGAGTGTATAGTGCATAGTGCCCGTGCAGTGCCAGGCTCACAGAAGTGCCCAATAAATGGCAGTTCTGAAAAAATACACAGCACACACACACACACACACACACACACACACACACAGAACAGAGGCAAAGAGATTAAACTTCACCCAGGGCTGCAAATTTGCAACACGCAGCATCTGTGATCACTGTGCCAACTACACTCCCAACACCTTAACCCAATTCTTGCCCCATGCATAACTTCCTCCAAAATCCCCCCTGCTGTGGACTGGATGCTTGTGTCCCCCTGAATTCCTATGTTGAAATCCTAACCCCCAATGTGAGATATGAGGAGCCGGGCCCTGGGGAAACAATTAGAAGGAAATTAGTGCCCTTCTAAAATAGACTCAAGGGAGCTCATTTGCCCCTTCCACCCTGAGAGGGTACTGCAAGAAGGCACCATCCGTGAACCAGAACGCAGGTCCTCACCAGACACTGAATCCGCCACGCCTTGATCTTGGACTTCCAGCCTCCAGAACGGTGAGAAATAAACCTGTGTTGTTCATAAGCTGCCCAGGCTATATGGTGTTTTGTTACGGCAGCCCCAACGGACTAAGACAGCTCCCTTCCTGAACTGTGTTCCATGTGCTAATCAGATTTCAGGCCATTTCATCCATTCACTCCTCAAACATGTGGTGTGTGACCCCAAGGGGCAACTCAAACCCTGGGGATTCCACGTCAAAATTGACATGTCCCTTAAGGTGTTGGGGGAACCACAGGGGAAGCCCACCAAGGAAGAGGCATCCTGGGGCCCTTGAAGGCTATGCAGGCGTTAGCCAGGCAAGGCAGGGGCAGGGGTGCCCCAGGGCAGGGAGCAGCCCCATGCAAGACCCATGCAAGACCCTCCTGGAGGAGGGCAAGCAGGGGACAGTGCACAGCCCCCCAGGCCCAGCCCACCCAGGCTCTTGGCTACCAGACTAAGGGCTGGAACTTCTATGTTCTTCTGGAAGCAACTCCAAGCCAGGGGCGTTTCCATACTGGCAAATGAAAAAAATAAGATTTGCTTTTTTTCTGACAGCAGCAGTGAGCTCCAGGCCCTTGTTGAGAGGTGGTGGGGTAGAGTGACCAAGGACAAGCCTTGGGGGAGGACTGAAAGGCTCTCCGCCACTAACAGCTGTGGGACCTCAGGCAGATCACTTAATCTCTCTGTGCCTCAGTAAAACGGAGCCAACAAGAGCACCCATTTCACCAGGTTGTGGCGGAAGGAAAGCAGCTCATACCTAGGAAGCACTGGAAGCGTCCCTGGATCCTACAAAGCACCTCTCAGTGTTGGCTGCTGTTACTGGAGCTCTGTGCCTATCCACAGCCATGGGGTTGGAGCTGCACCCGCTTCACAAGTGTGTGACCCAGGCAGCCACACAGGCCTCATGCTTGGAAGGGGCTCGTGCTTGGGGTTTAAGGCTCTGCAGAGTCATAAAATTCCTGACAGCTGAATCTTTGAATGTGTGTTTCCTAAGCAATGTCTGATGGAACAGCAGAGCCTGTGCTGTGAGCATGGAGCGTGTGCTCCTGCCTCCTGCCACCTCCCCAACCTGGGTTCTCAGCTGACTGCTCCCCTGGCCTCTGGCACCCTGGACCCCACCCTTCCTCCTCTTTGTGCCTTGTCTCAGTGTCACTGCTGCCCTCCTCCCCTGGCAGGGGTCTGGGTCTAGGAGTGTATGCACCCCAGTGCATCCTGGGGTGGATCATGGCGGTGACCGCCCTTCCCTGGGCTGGCAGTGCCACTGTGTGTTCGGTGGGCAGTTCAGCAGGAACATCAGGTACCAACTGTCTCAACCCCAAGGCTGCAATGCCCTGTGGGGTACCTGTCTGCCATGGATTGGGGCATCGACCTGTGGACCTGTGGGAAGGGGAAATGCCTGACTCGACACTCAACTTCCCTGTCCCTGGCCAGAAGACAGGCGTCTTGCAAGAGTCTGCACTCACCCTGCAAGCATCCCCATGCCCAAAGGAACACGATGTTACACAGGAAATAAAACCACCATGACAGGCGGAGAGAGAGTGCAGGAGAAAGTGAGCACTTTTAACCACACTTTCCCCTACTTTTTGAACACAGGGCCCTGCATTTTCATTTTGCACTGAGCCCCACAAATTATGTAGCTGGTCCTGGGTCGGAAGGAGGTGGGGGGAGGGGGAGGGGAGGACTTGCACCTTTTACTCCAACTATTTCCATATTGTTTCATGTTTTTCCAAGATGCTGGTGATCATGCATTCATTTTGCAATTTTTTTATTCCAAAAAGAGCTTAATGGCTACACACACGGAGAGAGACACAAACACACACACAGACACACCTATACAGACATAGAGCTACACAGACACACTTGGATACACACACAGATACACAGACACACCCACAGATACATACATGGATACATACACACACTGGCGTTTAGAACCCAGGGACTGACTCCCAGCCCAAAGATCTTCCGTGACCCATTGCCAGCCGCAAGCAGGCTCTAGGGAGTCCTAAGAGAGCTGAAGAAGGTTCTACATCGAGCCTGCCTACCCCTTTTCTGAAAAGCAGAGAAAGGCCATGTGGCATTCACTCACTCACGCACTCACTAATCGACAGTCAACAATTCCACACTGAGAAGCTGCGATTTGCCAAGCACAGTCAGTGTCCTGCAGACATGACCGGATATAGTCCCTGCCCTCAAGGGGTGAGGGTATTCCCAGGGGTGAGGACACCTGGGACAGAGAAGGCATCCCAGGTGGGCGGAAACCCTCACTCCACAGCAGGGAGGTAGGAAACAGACACATTCAGGGGCCTGGAGGGAGCTGAGCATGAGCAGGCGACCAGGGCGTGGTCAGAGTGCGGGGGACAATGAGACTGAGGAGGCAGCTGCAGCAGATTGTGGGGCACTGACAGCTGACAGAGGAGCTCACCTGTGGGCAACGGGCCCCACTCCCTGCCACAGCCCGTCCCCTCCATGTTGCTGACAGTGTCCCTGTGATGTCTTCCCGTGACAGTGTGAGCACATGCCAAAGAGGACTCGCCACAGCCTCTGGAGCTCTCCCACTGGCAGCTGTGTGGCCTCGGGCAAGTTACTTAACTTCTCTGCACCTCAGTTTCCTTATCCTATAATGGGGATAATGTGGGGAGGATTCAACGGAGTCGGGGGGGGGGGTTGGATATTTGAAAGCTCTTGGAACAGTGTGTTTGTTATATAAAGTGACAGAGACCAGCACCCTACCCCGGTCCACCAGCCCTCTGTACCTTCCATCACCCACCTCACTGGGCCCCTGAAGGGAGGAGGGAAGAAAGCAAAAACAGATTCCTGGGCCCTCACCAGTACCCCCCATAGGCCTCTTCTTTTATCTCTGCCACAACCTTGCCCGCTAAGCAACGTCATCCCCATTTCACAGAAGAGAAACTGAGGCCCTGAGAGAGTAAGCCACTTGCTGAAGGCCACCCGGCCGGTCAGGGCGAAGCTAGGATTCAATCCAGGCGGGGCAGCGTCTCGGGCCACAGAGTGTGTGGTCCCTGTCCCTGGGACCCTCCGCATAAAAGCCAACCCGGGTCACTTCCCAGGGTGCGAGAGCAGCTGTCCATCCCACCAACGCTCTTCGGGCTCTGGGCGCGCCACTGTCATGGACTGTCCCTGCCAGCCAAAAAAAAAAAAAAAAGGCTTCTCCAAACCAGAGCAGCAGCCGGGCCTGACTCAGCACCCACCGGCGCGGGCAGCGGGAGGAGCGCGTAGACGCTGCTGGATGGTACCCGCGGCCGGGACTGAACTCCGCCGCATTGGGTCTTACCCCGGACTCCGAGCCGGACCCCGCGCCCGCACCTTCAGCCGGGCAGCGAGGGGGGGCTCGAGCGCGCCGGTTCTCGGCCGAGACGCTGTGGCTGACACCGGTGGAGCGATCTGCCCTGGCTCGCGCGGCGAGCAAGTGCTGGAGGCAGGGTTCCAAGCCGGTTCTGTCGGGTTCCCTCAAGACCCCGAGAGCACGCGCTCCGGAGGGACCCCGGCACTTCGGACCCTAGCAGAGCCAGCCCTGCCCCAGGACCGCCCCGGGGTCGGTGCCCGGGCTCTCTGAGTCTCGCTTCTGGCCCGCGAAGACGCGCCCTCTCCTCCAGTCGCGGGAGTCCCGCACCCGAGGGCCGCGTCCCCGGGCAGGGTGAGGTCCTGCGGGGCTGGGGGTGAGGCGGGGTGGGCGCGAGGCGGCTCCGGAGCGGCGGGGCCGGGCGCCCTGCAGCCCGCGCTTACCTTCGGAAACTTCGAGGTCGGCGGCCCCATTGAGCTGGCACAGGCACCAGGAGCCCTGGTCGGCGGCGGGCGCGGCGGGCGCGGCGGGGGCGCGGTCAGCTGGCAAAACAGCAAGGGCGCGTGAGCGCGGGCCCGGGGCGGGGGGCGGGGGGCGGGGGCGCGCGGCGAGGCTAACCCGGCTGCTGGGCCATGGGCGGCTCCGCAGGCTGCGACCGCGACGGGCGTCCTCCGGGCGGCTGCGGGGGGCCGGGCGCGGCGGCCGCTCCTCCTCCGCCTCCTCCGGGCTCGGCTCCCTGCGCGGGCGGGCGGGCGGGGAGGCGCGCCCAGAAGGCTCCGCCCGGAGCGCGGGTGCGGGGCGCGGGGTGCGGCTGCGGGCGCCGAGGGTGGGCGCGGGGCGACGATCGCGAGGCGCGGATCGCAGGGCGCGGATCGCGGGGCGCGGGGCCGGGCACCGGGTAAGAGGCGCGGGGTGCGGGCGCGGGGCGGGGTGTGGGTGCGGGCGCTGGGGCTGTCGCCACGGACCGAAGCGTCCCTTTCTGCCCCACCCACCGGTCCAGCGGCAGCCGCCTCCGCCAGCCGTCACCGCGCGAGGGCCGCCTGCCTGATGGCGATGCCCATTTTACTGAGGAGAAACTGAGGCACGGAGAGGGAAAGGGACTCAGGCGGAGTAAGCGGCCAAGGCGGGGCTCAGCTCCAGATTGCGATTCTGGTTTGAGCCCCTTTGCATCCTGCCCTTCCCCAGACCCGCCCTGCTGGGAGCTGGGGTCGCTGCCCACCCCCGCCCCCCCACCGGGTGCGAAGGGGACAGCAATCAATGCCATGAGGAGGAACGGGAGCTTCACAGCCACGCCCTCCGACCTTCCACGTGCAACAGACGAAGGAGGAAGAGCAATCAGCCACGCCGAGAGGAGGAGGCTGGACGTCCCGCGGGAAGGGCCAGGGCTAGAGAAGCCCATCCAAGGAGGGAGGAGAGAGCGTGCTCCCACGGTGATCCTAAGGCACGAGGGGCCGCTGGCCCTCTTGGGGTCCCAGCTGCCTCACCCTAACTGAGCACAGAACCCCGTGATGCCAATGTGCACAAAGTGGAAGCAGACAGCCACAGGGACACACGTTAATCCCCCCACTCCCCCCTCTCCTACCCTCCCCTCCCAGGAAGGGAGAGGAGCAGGGATGGCTAAGGATAGGCTCTCCAGGGAGCAGAAGAAGGAGAGCAGAGGGAAGGAAAGAGTGCTGCAGGCCCCAGGCCAAAGGTCAGGCCACCCCACCCCACCTTAGCCCAGTTCTAGGCCCGTGAGCTGCACCCTAGCCCCTCTACACCTCACCTAGCAGGAGGGATCTGCCTTCTAAGCCTCTGACCCCCTCCCTCTTCCTTCTTGGCCTTGAAAGTCCAATTTCGTCACCTCCACCTCCAGGAAGGCCTCCAGGGTCCTCCCAGGAGCCCCAAAAGCCCCAGAGCAGCCTCTCCCCGGGGCAGTGCCTGTCTTCCAACACGAGGTCATCCTGCAGCAGCATCAGCCCCTGTTCTCTCAGTTCCCAGCCCTCTGCCTGGCACAGCGTCAGGGCATGGCGGGGTTTCCTGATAAATACATGTCCCACGGGTAGCCTTACAGCCTGAGGTGGGGTGGACCTGGGTCAGGTCCCGGGCAGTCACTTGGCATGGCCTAGTTTCATATTTACAACAACCCTATGAATAGGCATAAATATCCCCATTTTAAAGGTTAGAACCTGGAGGCTCTGGGTCAGGCTGCCAGGAGCCATGGGATGCATCGTCCCTGCCCCAGGGTTAAGTGACTTGCTCACACTGCAGGTGAGCTGTGGAGGTGGGATGAGCCCCTCAGCTGAGCTTTCTGCACACACCAGGGCATGGCCCATTTCCTTGAGTGTGCAAGGGAGACAGGCATGCAGGTAATAATACATTCATTTATTCTTTCGACGGAAGGTAGACAGCCCCTCCTTTCTCCCAGGTGCCAAATCTGGTAGTGAACAAAACGAAGTCTCACGGAGCGTATGGTGTAGCGGGTGAGGAAGATGTTAACCAAATGCACACGTTACTATTGAATTCTATACAGCCATCAATGCTGTAGAGAGGGGAGGTTCACAGACGCTCTCTTTGGCCTTCCATGTGCAAGACACAAAGGAGGAATAGCAGTCCACTGCACAGAGTGGAGGCAGTGCTTCCAGGCAGGAGGGTCAGCACGTGCAAAGGGCTTGAGGTAGGAAGGGACTTGAAGGATCCAGTCGTGCAAGGGTGGTGGCCAAAGGAAGCCAGCTCATTCTAGGCAGAAGAGACACACAGAGGAGGAAAGGGGGGTGAGGATGGGGAGCCATGGGGCCTGTTTGCAGTTGCTGGAAGGAATGTAGTACAAGCATGTGGGAGGTACGGCCAAAAAAGCAAGTTGGGGCTAAACCCTGAATTGTTTGCAATGCAGGCTGAGGATGAGGTTTCCTGAGAGACACTGGGTAGCCATAGAAGGTTTGGAGGTAGGAGTATGCCAGGGTCCATGCTGCTGATCGGGAAGACTGTTTGGCACTGGACGTAGTCTCAAGCAGTTCGCCCATTAAAGCAAGAGGAAGTCCCCCAGAACTGTCCCACTTGCTCAGGAGGACGAAGAGTGCTGATGTCACAGGGTGCAGACTGAATGGGAGATGGCGCTGGTGGGCCCCTATCGCAAACTCTCACACCTGCAGAGGTCAGGCTGTTGCTCCTTGTGAGTCACCTGGGACAAGTCTGATGAAGAAGGGCGAGGGCACACACTACACTTCGCAAGGGTAGCGATGGCCGTTTCGAGGAGCATCAATGCCAGAGAACACTAGCATGATCTGAAAGAGTCCACGTTGCTGTATAGGCCCCTCTGGAACCTGCGTTTTTCATGACAGAGCTTTGATTCAAATGAGAAGCATTTTGCAGAACATCTCTTCAGAGTGGGGGTTGGCGGGGGGATACACATTTGGCATCAGCTTTTTTTCTGACAACAATTTGCTACTAGTAACCAAAGTAACAGAACCCAAAACCTAAAATAGCCTCTTCGGGCTGGGCACGCCAGAGCCTGTTCTTAGAAAGAAATGTTTCTAGGCTGTAGTCTGTCCCTGCAGTGAAATGCCAACCCCCGTGAAGTGAAGCTGAACTTTCATCTGAGATTGTCACAGAAGCTGCCCAGACACTTCCCCCAACCCAGGAGACTCCCCCAACTTCACTGCAATGAGGAATCCCCTCCCCCAACCCTAGCCACAAAAGGGTGTGTCCCCAAGGCCAGGATGGACACTCTCAGTGCTGGTACAGCTCAGAAAACAGTTGAGGAGGAAAAAGAAACCAACTCAGACCAGCCATTAGAAGAGACCAAGGGGAAATGAAATAAATGCTTTGTATCAACACGGGCCTGTGCACATTGCACCTAGACCACATCATCATCCCTGACTCCCCACGGCTCAAACAGCACATCAAATTCATCAGCAGTTTCCGTCAGCTCTTCCTGCAAAACACATTCAAGCCCGACCATATGTCACCACCCCCACTGCTATTCCCAGGTCCCAGCCACCATCATGTCTCACCTGGACTATTGCACGCACCTCCTACTTGGTCTCCCCACTTCTGCCCCGGCCGGGGCTGGTGTGTTCTCCACCCAGCAACACAGCAGTCAGAGGGATCCTCTTACAACATAAGTCAGATCACCTCACTCTTTGCTCAAAATCCTGCAATGGCTCCCATCTCCTTCAGAGTAAATTCCAAAGCCCCATATCTGCCCACTGCCCCCCACTCTAGAACCTTCCCTCCTGTTGTTCTTCCCCTGGTTCCCTCCATTCCAGCTACAGGGATCTCCTTGCTGGCTCCTGAGCTTACCAGGTATGGTGCTGCCTCAGGGCCTTTGCACTTGCAGTGACTGCTGCCCAGTAAGTTTGGTAAGGTTGGTCCCCAGACATCCACACCGCCCTCTTCTGCACCTCCTGCTCAGATGTCACTTTCTCAATGTGGCTTTTGCTATTTAAAACTGCACCCCTTTAAATTGTACCCAGTTTAAAACTGTACCCCCTACCCTACCCTCCTGATGGAGTTTGGATATTTGTCCCCTCCAAATCTCATGTTGAAATGTGATCCCTGTCAGGTGTCATGGTTCACGCCTGTAATTCCAGCACTTTGGGAGACCGAGGCAGGCAGATCACCTGAGGTTAGGAGTTCAAGACCAGCTTGGCCAACAGGGTGAAACTCCATCTCTACTAAAAATACAAAAATTAGCTGGGTGTAGTGGCAGGCGCCTGTGATCCCAGCTACTCAGGAGGCTGAGGCAGGAGGATTGCTTGAACTCGGGAGGTGGAGGTTGCAGTGAGCCGAGATCGCGCCACTGCACTCCAGGCTGGGAGACAAGAGCAAAAACTCTGTCTCAAAAAAAAAAAAAAAAGCAAGAACCAGCCCAGGGCTGAGTTATGAAGAGGGGTGCTGCAGACTAGGCCAGGTCCCCAACCTTGTCAGGTCTGCAATGCCAAGCTTCCAGACCTGATCACAAAGGAGTGGGACTCCAAGAAGAGCGCGATGGGATGTCTGGGTGAATGCACAGTCTCCACCTGTGGTTCCCCAGATTTACCTGGACACTCTGGGCCTGCAGAATTGCCCAAGTCCTCCCTCAGAGGATAACAGGCTCTCTCCTTGCCTAAAGATGATACCGCGGCCTTCAACGTGGAAGACCAAACATCCTGCCCTCCGAATCCACCTATAACCTGTGCCGCCCACCAGATTCATCACTGGGGTTAAGCCACAACCACACCCACCTGGGGACATGCTGGGCCAGCCAGGGAGGACAAGACTACACCCCAAAGGAGCTATGGACCCAGCCAGCACGGAGCAGTGGGGGTGGGACAGTGCTCTTGGGACCGGATCAAGGGCAGGAGGAGCTCATGAAATGGGGGACTTCTCCCATTGTTATGGACTCAATTGTATTCCCCAAAAAAATTCATAGATGGAAGCTCTAACCTCCAATGTGACTGTATTTGGAGATAGGGCCTATAAGGACGTGATTAAGGTGAAATGAGGTCATCAGGGTGAGACCCTAACCTGATAAGCCTGGTATCCTTAGAAAACAAGGAAAAGACACCAGATCTCATTCTCTCTCTCTCTCTCTCCCTCCCTCCCTCTTCCTTCCCTCCCCCTTCCTCCTGCCTTACATGCACAGAGGAAAGGCTATATGAGGACACAGGGAGAAGAGAGCCATCTACAAGCCAAGAAGCGAGCCCTCTCCAGAAACCGATCCTGCTGGTACCTTGATCTTGGACTTCCAGCCTCCAGAACCAGGAGAAAATAAATGTCTGCTGTTTAAGCCGCTCAGTCTGTGGTTTCTTCTTATGGCAGCCCGAGATGACTAACACACCAGTCATGCCGGATTTAACAGCAGGAGACAGTGCTAACGCACTGCTGAAGTGGCTCTTGAAACTTGGAGAAAGATGGCAGATGACAGAAGAAGGGATCAAAAGACAGAGAAGTGGGCATGGACCGGAGCAGGCAGAAAACCCACTGGGTGACAGCGTTCCACAAGACACCACCAAGGACGTCCCACTGACCCAGCACCGGCTTCACCAGGTAGCTCAGGGATGGGGCTGTCCACCATAGGCCAGGGTGGGTGGTGGGAGGTGCCGTTACAGAACCAGGTTTGCTGAGAGAGCTGGGAATAAGAGGATCCAGAAATAAGGGGCTAGGAGCCTGCACCAAACCACTGGAAGCAAGGTCAGTGCAATCACTTTAACAAGCACCAAGGCTGGAACACAGTGAGGTCCACGGCGAGCCATGGAGATGCTTGATAGAAAACGGCACCTGGCCGGGTGTGGTGGCTCATGCCTATAATCCTAGCACTTTGAAAGTCTGAGGCAGGTAGATCACCTGAGGTCAGGAGTTCAAGACCAACCTGGCCGACATGGTGAAACCCCATCTCTACTTAAAAAAAAAAAAAAATTAGCCAGGCCGTGGTGGCTGGCTCCTGTAATCCCAGCTACTCGGGAGGCTGAGGCAGGAGAATTGCTTGAACACAGGAGGTGGAGGTTGCAGTGAGCCATGATCATGCCATTGCACTCCAGCCTGGGCAACAAGAGTAAAACTCCAAAAAAAAGAAAGAAGAAAGAGAGAAAGAGAGGAAAGAAAGAAAGAAAGAAAGAGAGAGAGAGAGAGAGAGAGAGAAAGAAAGAAAGAAAGAAAGAAAGAAAGAAAGGAAGAGAGAGAGAGAGAAAGAAAGAAAGAAAGAGAGAGAGAAAGAAAGAAAAGAAAAGAAGGAAGGAAGGAAAGAAGGAAGGAAGGAAGAAAGAAAAAGAAAGGAGGGAGGGAGGGAGGGAAGGAAGGAAGGAAGGAGATGGAAGGAAGGAGAAGGAAGAAAGGAAGGAGAAAGATAGAAAGAAAGAAAGCGAAAGAAAGGAAGGAAGGAGATGGAGGAAGGAAGGGAGGAAGAAAAGAGAGAGAGGAAGGAAGGAGAAAGAGAGACGAAAGAAAGGGAGGGAGGGAAGGGAAGGGAAGGAAGGAAGGAATGAGATGGAAGGAAGGAAAGAGAGAAAGGAAGGAAGGAGAAAGGAGAGAAAGAAAGAAAAAGAAGGAAAGAAAGAAAGAAAGAAAGAAAGAAAGAAAGAAAGAAAGAAAGAAAAAGAAAGAAAGAAGGAAGGAAAGAAAGAAAGAAAGAGGCAAGATAGATGGATGGCTGACACAGGTGAGACTTGGCCCATCCTCTCTGGACAAATCAAGGCAGATGGGGTTAGGAAGTTGAGGGTAGCCACCCAAAGATAAATCCTGATCCCTTGCCCAGTGTCCAGACCTGAGCCAGTTTTCAAGTCCAGATCCCATCCACTGAAAGGAAAAGCGTGTTTCCAGGAAGAAGGACTCTGCAACATCGTAACAAAGGCCTATGGGAATCCCCTACTCCTTCCCCAACAGGACTGATGCTCATTGACTCAGGTAACCAGACACTAGGGAAAAATACCCAAATATTTCAAGAAATGTGGCTGAAAGCAGCAATAGACGTTTATGATCATCCCGGTGTCTGCAGGTGAAGAATCCAGGGTGGCTTCGCTGTGTGTTGTGCCTTGTGGGCCTCCCTGAGGTTGCAGTCAGGATGTCCTCTGGAATGGCTGGGCCTGGGCTGGAGGGCCTGCTTCCAAGGCACTCACACCCGGGCTGGCAAGACAGTGCCGGCTGTTGGTGGGAGGCCTCTGTTCCTCTGTAGATGGGCCTCTCCACAGATGGCTTGAGAGTCCTCATGACATGGTGGCCGGCTTGCTCCAGTATTAGAGCCCCAAGCGAGGGTGTAACATCACATCAGGCCAAGGGCTCCACTTCACAGCAAAAGAGGTGCAACCGCAGGCACACCCATGGTGTCTAGTGGTCCTATTATGTGCTGTACAACCCAGAGGCTGCTGGCTGATGGGGAAATGGAGTGGCCAGTTGAAGGCTCAGCCACAGCACCAGCTTGGAGGTGCCACCTGTGAAGCAAGGGCACCATCCTCCAGGGTGTATGTACATCCCAAGTCAATGACCAGTACACGATGTCCCCAGTGGGTAAAATACCTGGGCCTAAGAACCAAAGAATGGAAGCAGGAATAGCCTAATTTAGCATCACTCTCAGTGACCTACTTGGAGAATATGTGCTTCCTGTCCACACAACTACAGATTCTGTAGGTTCAGAGGTTCTGGTTTCCAAAGGGGAATGCTTCCACCAAGCGACACCAGTCACGCCAGGCTACTCATGTCAAGACACCAGTAGGCAGGGGAAGAGTCACCCATCGAGCAGGGGCAGTTGACCTGAACCATCAGAGGAGGTAGGGTTGCTGTCACACAATGGAAGCAGAGAAGACTGTGTGCCACCCACATGGGTGTCCCTCAGGACTCTTTCACCTGATGTAGTCAGCAAATAGGCAAGTGAGCAGCTATGGCTCAAGAAGGGAATGGTCACCAGGGGCTCATCCTCGTTGGTGAGGATCTGGGGCAACCCACCAGGTAAGCTATCTAGTCCAGCATGGGTCTAGCTGAGGGTGAAAGGGATCTGAATGAATAATCCAGGAGGGGGTTGTGAGTATCACCTTCAAGCCTGAGACTAGCTGCAGCAAGAGCTCACGCAAGAGCCTTGAGGAAAGTACAAATGAAACCCTACACAGCTGTGATACAGTGGGCAGGAGAGAAAATGACATGAGGTCTCACATGTTGTTGTAGTCAGATGGGGGGCTGGAGCTGAAACAGCATGGTGATCTTGAGCTGCTCCCTGTGGTCTGCCCCATGTGGGCTGGTTGGGCTTCCTCACAGCATGGTGGCCTCAGGGTAGTTGGACTGCTGACAGGGCAACTCAGGCCTCCAGGCACGAGTGCTCCAGTGAACATGGATGTCATGGAAGTCACACAGTACAACTTTCACTACATTCTCTTTGTAACAAGTGTGTCACAAGCCCGCCCATGGGCCAGGCACAGTGGCTTATGCATGTAATCCCAACACTTTCGGAGAATCCCTTGAGGCTAGGAGTTTGAGACCAGCCTGGGCAACATAGAGAGATCTTGTCTACAAAAAAGAAAAGAAAAATTAGTTGGGCATGGTGGCATACACCTATAATTTCAGCACTTTGTGAGATGGTGGTGGGAGGATGCCTCGAGCCCAGGAGTTCAAGATCAGCCTGGGCAACATAACGGGATATTATATCTAAAAAAAAAAGAAAAAAAAAAGTTTTCATTAGCCAGGCATGATGGCACATACCTGTGGTCTCAGCTACTCAGGAGGCTGAAACAGGGGGATCACGTGAGCCTAGGAGTTTGAGGCTGAAGTAAGTTAGGAGTCCACCACTGCACTCTGGCCTGGGCAACAGAGCAAGACTCTATCTCTAAAAAACACAAAAATTAATAAAATAAAAAACAATAAATAAACAAGATTCAATGAGAGGAGACATAGACCCTATCTCCTAATAGGAAGAATGTCAAGATCATATTGTAAATCAAAAATAAAATTATAAGCCCCAGCTGAGAGAATGGACCCCCTGTCGGCCAAGGGGACCCCAAAGAAACCCAAAAAACTAGTTCAGGCCATGATGGGAAGTGGGAGGTCACACATGCCTCATCATAGCCTCCTCCCTTTAAGTTTCGGCACAGCTGACCAGCATTAACATTAACATAGAGATCCTCCTAAGACTGACAGAACACTTTTGTAGCAATCAGATACCCGATTCTAACATGACTCTGGTATAGCAACACACGACAGAGAGCAGGCCCTAAAGGAAATCAAAGTATTTTACCCCAAAATAAATTTTCTTTGACATATTTTGAAATGGACTTGCAAAGTCATCTCTTGTGGGGGAAACTTGCATTCTGTAGAGAATCTCCTTACTTACTAGCTCTTTTCCAGAGAGTCTGATACCTTTTAAGGTCCCCAGAGACATGCACATCTATTCTCTCTGAAGCCTGCTAACTGGAGGCTTCATCTATGTAACAAGAACCTTAGCTTCCACATCCCCATTGTCTTAACTCAAGCATTTCTTTCTGCCGACTCCAACTCTTCAGGTAAAGCTTAACTCTTTTAACCAATTGCCAATCAGGAAATCTTTGAATCCTCCTCTGACCTGGAAGCACCACCCACCCACTTCAAGATGTCCCACCTTTCTGGGCCAAACCAATGTATACTTTACATATATTGATTCATGTCTTTGCCTGTAACTTCTGTCCCCATAAAATGTATAAAGCTATAGCCCAACCACCTTGGGCACCTGTTCTCAGGACCTCCTGAGGCTGTGTCACAGGCCATGGTCACTCCTATTTGGCTTAGAATAAACGTTCTGAGATATTTTAGAGTGTGGCTTTTCTCGTCAACCAAATTCTACAAAGAGCTTGGGGGGTGGGTAATGTTGTGGAGCCCATCTTTGGCAGATACAGTCTGCCAAAGATTGTGACACTGCCTTATCGATAAACTCAGTGGCTTAACACAATTAAAGCTTATTTCTCCCTCTTGTCACAGCTCTTTGGGTTCCTCATGGTTCCATGTGGTTCTTCAGAGCCTCCATTGGTGGCTCTAACCTCCCTGAGGTCCTCGGAGTGCCCTCCACTGGAGCAGTGGGTGAGTAAGAGAGCAGGGCTCACCCACAGGAGGTTGTTAGGGGCCAGCCTGGAAGAGGAGCACAGTGCCCGCCCCCACCCATCCCATTGACTAGCACTTAGCCACGTGGCCGCACCTGGTTGCAGAGGCTGGAGAGTGGAGCCCAGCTGTGAGCCTGGCCGGTCATGGGGACATGTGTTAGTGAGTACTGTCCACGTCAGGCTCAGACCATCTGACCTGAGGCTATGGGGATGCAGGGGTCCCCAGGGGGTGGACAGGACAGAAGGAGGAGGGAGACCTGCTTGGAGAACCTGTTCTCAGTTTCCATTTGTTACATAATGGACAAGAGGACCAGCACTTTTGCTCAGAGCTGCAGCTCTGGTTCCGCTAGGAAATGCCAGGCAGGGGCACAGCCAAGTGGTTCTCAGACAGTAAACCCCAAGCCACAGACCCTTGCTTTCTTGGGCAGGGAGTAGTGGACAGGGCTGACTCCAGGCAACAGTCCCAAACAGGCTGCACCAATGTGACCGCACCTCCCCTGAGTGCAGGCAAGGGGTGCTGTGCTCACGCTCTCAGCCTGGGTGCATCCTTACTTTGTTCACAGCTCCTCTATCGGACCCATTTCACTGAGGCTCAGCGAGGTTACCTATGTCGCCCCAGGTCACCATCCAGTAACCCAGAAAGCTTCTCTTGGCTCCTCCACTAACTGCGTGATCTTGGACAAGTCAGTTACTGTCTCTGAAAGCCAGTTCTCCTCCTTAAAATGGAGACAGTTGAGCCAGGCATGCTGGTTTATGCCTGTAATCCCAGCACTTTGAGAGGCGGAGGCAGGAGGATCGCTTGAGCTCAGGAGTTTGGGACCAGCCTGGGCAACATAGTGAGGCCCCCATCTCTATAAATTTTTTTTTTAATTAGCTGGGTGTGGCAGTGTGCCCCTGTGGTCCCAGCTACTCAGGAGGCTGAGGTGGGAGGATCACTTGGGCCCGGGAGGTCAAGGCTGCAGTGAGCCCTGATCGCGCCACTGCACTCCGGCCTGGGAGACAGAGTGAGATCCTGTCCAAAAAAAAAAAAAGGAGACAGTCCCATAACAAGCCCCCCATGGCGCCGCCCAGATGGGGTTTCGACGCCAGGGAGAGGAGGGAAAGGGTTATCAGGGAAGGTTCCTGGTGGCAGAGCTCACAGGGTCCGTGCTGAGCCGAATTTTGCACGGTAGCCTCAGAGTCCCGGAGCCGAGTCCAGAGGGCGGGATGCAGGTATTGCGAAGAGGCACACGCTCCGAGAGGAACCACCAGAGCGTGGGCTTTGGGCGAGGAGGGGTCTCCTCTGGTTGGGGGAGATCTGGCAGGCTTGGGGGAGATGGGGCTGAAAGGATGGACAGGGAGGGAAGGCCAGAAAGCTGGAGACGGGGATGGAGAGCTAAACCGCAAAGAGCAGGCGCCCTGCCCCGCTGAGGGCCCCGCGCCTCCAGCTCCTCCTTCCCGAGCTTCCCGGGGTCGGCGTCCAGCCGGCAACCAATGGGCCCCGCCCCCGCCCGCAGCCAATGGGCCGCGTCCCCGCCCGCGCGGCCGCCCCGCCCCTCGCGGACCCGGAAGTGGGCCTGGCACCTTCCCGGCCTGCCGCAGGGATGGGGCAGCTGTGCTGGCTGCCGCTGCTGGCACCGCTCCTGTTGCTGCGACCGCCAGGGGTCCAGTCCGCCGGCCCCATCCGGGCCTTCGTGGTGCCCCACAGCCACATGGACGTGGGCTGGGTCTACACTGTGCAGGTAGGTGCCGACCACGCCCCGCGCGCCCCTGAGGCTGCAGCTTCCCTCTCCCCGCGGGATCTGAGTGTGGGTTTGCGTCCCGGGGCCCGATGCCGGCGCAGAAGGAGGCTCAGTGGGTTCAGGACCCCACGCTGCCATTGACTGGTTGCGTCGCTAACTTCGGGCCAGTCACTTCCTGCCTCTGAACCCCCATTTCCCCTTCTGGAGGGTGGTGCAGATTGGAGGGACCCCTGCATTCCCGGCTGGGGAGGGGCTTGGGGGTTGACAGTGGTAACCCATTTTCCAGGGAAGCCTGGAGCAGGAGAGGGTGGGGCTGGCTTCAGAGCAGGTGGATGTCAGGTGCCCGCTGGGAAGGGGCCGGGCTGGTCCCCTGCGGGGCTGAATATTGGAGGCCAGCTCAGCGTCCTCCGCCCCCCAGGACAGGGGTGAAGGTGGACCTGTGGTCACCTCCTGGTTCTGCTCAGGACCTTGGGCGAGGGGCTTTGGTCCCTAAGCCTCAGTTTCCCCATCTGTAAAGGGTAGGGGAAGCATGCCCACTACAGCCAGTTTCCAGAGGAGAAAACCGAGGCCCAGAGAGGGTTGCTGCCTTGCCCAAGGTCGCTCGGGAATAACCCTCATGCCTCCTGACTCCCTGCTCGGTGCTCCTTCCATTCATGTAAGCACTCTGTGGGCACCCTGTGTGCAGGGCCCTCGGGACTCGGATGGGAACACACTACAGCTGTGGTCCTTGGAGCTCCCAGCCTTGGGGAGGCAGACGCCTAGACGCCAGGGACAGCCTGGGGAGCTCTTCCTCTCAGCACCAGCTTTCCTCATTTCAGCCCCAGCAGGCCCCTTTGGGGTCACTGGACCACACCCCGACTGAGGCCTAAGACTTTCCTGTGCTGCCCCTCAATGGCACACTCAGGGCCCAGCCCCCCAAATTGCACACTCAAGGCCCAGCTTGCTCACCCCTCTGAGAAACTGTCCCTGACCCCTGGGCTGGGAGGGCACCTGTCTCTGCCCATGTAGGGTGTCTGTTTCCCCGTCCCTCTCCCCCAGGAGAGCACGATCCCATCCAGTGGGGAGAGCCTGGTATGGAGCGAGTGCCTAATAGCTGTGTGGGGGGTGAGCAGCAGGGAAGGAAGGGCAGAGCCCCCAACCCCATGCAGACACACCTGGCGAATGGCAGGGGCCCCAGGGACACTTGGTCTTGTTGGACCGGGGCTGGCATGATGCTGTCCCCTCCCCAGGAAAGCATGCGGGCGTACGCCGCCAATGTCTACACCTCAGTGGTGGAAGAGCTGGCCCGCGGCCAGCAGCGCCGGTTCATCGCTGTGGAGCAGGAGTTTTTCCGGCTGTGGTGGGATGGCGTCGCCTCGGACCAGCAGAAATACCAGGTAATGAGGTCACCAGGTGACACAGTTGGCCCAGTATCCTGGCAAAGACCCAGGTGGAAAACTCAATGGGGCAGTTCTAGCCAGGGCCAGGGCCAGGCTGGCATAAACCACAGGGCCAAAACCCCACCGGGCTATTCACAGCCTTGTTTAGATCAAGGTTCACGGTGAGTTCCATGCCTGGGAGAGATTGCTTTCAATTTAATCCTGAATTTCTGTCTATTCTTGAAAAAACTGCCAGCTCTGGCAACCCAGCTGTGCACTTCCGTGCCAGCTGGCACTAAGTCAGCAGTGCCCCCTGACACCAGGCATCCCAGGTGTCCCCAAGCCCTCACCCTCTTCTCTCATTTGTGTTATCTGCCTGGCCCCCGGGCCCAGGGTCTGGTGACCCTTGATGAGGGTGCGATAGTCCCTGTGGTTTGAGGGTAGGCAGCAGGTTGCTTCATACAGCATGGAGAGTCAGAGTCCCCGCTGCACAGTGAGGCAGCCTGGGTCCCATCCTGCTCCCGCACCAGGGGACACGACTAGCCCCTGCGAGCCACAGATTCCACTTCTATTAAACGGGGGTGACCGCCCCATTGCAGAAAAGTCATGCCAAGAATGAAGCCCTGGCGTGAGCACCCAGGACGATACTCGGGGGTTCTTAGTTTCCTCCCAGGTATCCACCTGCCTTCAGAATAGTTGCTGAACATAAAGTTCAGGGACGCCAAGTGACTTGCTCAAGGGAGTGAAGCGGAGAAGGGAGAGCAGGGCGTCCACCAGGCCCCGCCAGAGTCACGGGAAGGAGCCGGACATCCAATGGCCACTTGATGCTGCCAGATAGTGGGGTTCTTACCTCAAGTTAAAGAGACATTCCAGGTTCAGAGAGGGCACGCCACTGGCCTGCAGTCACACAGCTTGTAAGCGGCAGGTGGGATTCTGAGCCAGGCATGCCTGACTCGAGGCAGGCCTTTCCAGGATATCCTGTGAGCGTCCCATGCTTCTTCAGGTGGACCCCACCAAACCCAGTGGTCTGTCTCCTAGCCCTCAAAGAGAAGCATGGCCTGCATGGCCCAGTGAAGACCTGGACAGGAAACTTGTGGCAGAGCTCCCTGGAGGCAGGAATTGTTGCCTGCTTCATTCACTGCTGAACCCCCAGTGCCTGAACAGTGCTGGTTGTGTAGTAGGTGCTCACTTAACATTTGTTGAGTGAATGATCTACATATAGTGCACCTTAAGAAACAAACCAAAGGCACAGCCTATAAACAGCTGTGTGTACACATACTGAGGTGTGTAGTGTCTAGGGCAACAAAGGTGTTATGTGTGTAGAGACGGGGATGTTAAGCAAATAGGTTAAAAATGGTAGTGATGAGTGAACCTTGGGAAAGGATATGGGAGCTCTTTGTTCTATTCCTGAAACTTTTCTAAAGTTTAGAATTAGTTAATAAAATAAGATTTAAGAAAATCTTATATATACAAATATATATCTCAAATACCACCTGAGGGCTGCATGATTTCTAGGTGGTGGGAACACAGTGTGGACCAGGACAGACAGTGCCCTGCTTTTATAGAGTAAGCAAGGGTGGGGAGTTTTATGCAGGGCGTGTGTGGCGCTGTAGGTGTGTTCCCCACAGACCCAGCCATGCTCAGGAGCCGTAACTGGCTTTTTTCTCTCTGCCTGCCCATGTCAAGGTCCGCCAGCTCCTGGAGGAAGGACGCCTGGAATTTGTCATCGGAGGCCAGGTCATGCATGACGAGGCTGTGACGCACCTTGATGACCAGATCCTGCAGCTCACAGGTTTGGCCACCCTACCCTGCACCCAGGGTCCCTCAGGACCTCCAGTGGGGCTGGGACATGGTATCAGAACCCCCAGGTTCTGAGCTCTGTCTGCCCCTCTTAGTGGGGTCGGGGACCTTAACCAGTGAAAGCAGTGATTTGCTAGTGCCATATTCATGCCTCACCAAGGAAGTTGAATGTAGGGGTTAAGAGCATGGATGCTAGAGTCAGATGGTCTCAATATATCCTGGCTCTGCCAATTCCCTCCTCTGTGACCCTGGAAAGGAATGTAACTTCAGTTTCCTCATAGATAAAATGAGTTTGATGGTAATACCTACCTCAAAGGGTTGTTGTGAGTATTAAATGGGATAATTCAAATAAAGCACTTTAGTAGGATGTGGGTTCCCTAGTAAATGCTCAGTAAGTGTTTGCTGCCTTCCATCACAATTACCACCTTCAGCACCATAATGACCATGACTACTACCATCACCACCACCACCACGATGACCATCACTACCACTACCATCACCACCACCACCACCATCACCATCACCACTACCACCATCACCACCATCACCACCACCATCACCATCACCACCACCACCACCATCACCATCACCAGCACCACCACCATCACCATCACCACTACCACCACCACCACCATCACCACCACCATCACCATCACCACCACCACCACCACCATCACCATCACCAGCACCACCACCATCACCATCACCACCACCACCACCACCATCACCACCACCACCCTTCACCACCATCACCACCACCACCATCACCACCACCATCACCATCACCACCACCATCACCACCACCACCACCATCACCACCACCACCACCACCACCATCACCATCACCACCACCATCACCATCACCACCACCACCACTACCCTTCACCATCACCACCACCACCATCACCATCACCACCACCATCACCACCACCCTTCACCATCACCACCACCCTTCACCACCACAATGACCATCACTACCACTACCATCACCACCACCATCATAACTACCATCACCACCACCCTTCACCACTGCTATGACCACCACTACCACTACCATTACTACCACTACCATCACCACCATCACCACTACCACCATCATCTTCACCACTACAATGACCATTACTACCACTACCATCACCACCACCCCCTAAACACTATCACCATGATCACCACCCATCACTGTCGCCACCACCATCACCACATCCATTACTACCATCCCCTCCACAATCATCATCACCACCACC
The DNA here is from genome assembly GCF_000001405.40 of Homo sapiens. Classification (NCBI taxonomy): domain Eukaryota; kingdom Metazoa; phylum Chordata; class Mammalia; order Primates; family Hominidae; genus Homo; species Homo sapiens. The sequence goes on from NC_000004.12 coordinate 6,579,751, forward strand.
ATGACCATCTCCCTCACCATTGTGTCCACTGTCCTCAGCACCATCACCCACAGTGCCGTGGGGCACTCTACTCACCATTTACCAAATGCCTTTCACAGTGACACCCCAGCCAATCCTAATGGCGGGCTGATGGTGAGGCATGGTGATGCCCAGTTTCATTTTGCAGATGTAGAAACTGAGATCCAAAGAAATGCAGTAACTCTCTCCAGGGTAGATGGCCAGGACTTGAGTCCAGGCCTAGGGACTGAAGCTCCGAGTCCACAGTCACTCCACTACAGCATGGGCCCTGATTTCCCCATTTGTAAAACATCCAGGCAGAGAGCAATGTTGTCAAAGGATGTTTTTGGCACTCTCCCTTTTCTCATCTGTAATCTGGAGTGTTCCCCTGTCTCAGTTTCTTACTGCCTTACATCTGGACTTTGCTCAAACCCTAGACTTGCCCTTCCATGAGAAGGAGGCGTGATGGACACAGCCCTACAGACAGAGCTCCTCCTGTGGCCAGGAGCTCAGCCCCTGCTTGTCCCCCTGCATCCCCACAGGCCCAGAGGTAACAGGGGAGGACAGCAAGGCTCAGAGGGAGCACCTTGCCCTCAGCCGCCTGCTGTGGCTCCCTGACTCCAGAGCCCCTGCTCTTTCACTCCCCCATGTGAAGTGTGGGCAAGGGATCTATCCCAACAGACTTCCCCCACACCCCTTCACAAGCCCACTGCCAGGGAATGTGTGACACTGTAGGCGTGTCCCCCACCTGCCTCCTGCCCCGTGCCAGCGAGGAGGCTCTGGGGCTGTTTCTCACCTGTGCCATTTCACGCAGTGCTCCCCCTCATTCTCCACCCTCCTCCTCAAGATGCAGCTGAGAAGCCCCTCCCGCAGGAAATCTCTGAGTCTCTGCAGTTCTGTGTCACCTCCCCACTTAACCGCTGAACCTCAAGATGCCCCTGGCAGGGACCCCCATCTGACTCATCTCAGCACCCAGCATAGGGTCTGGCCCAGACCACTGCTTACTGGGCAAGGCTGGGCAAGGGGTGGGCGCTGAACTGCCCTGCCCTGAGGGTACCCACCACTGGGGTACCTCGCCTCTGGCCTCAGCCCACCGTGCCTAAGTGCTGATACCCCAGCGCTGACCCTGCAGGTCTGACCTGGCAACTGGAAGCCTCAGGGAAGCTGAGGCTGTGTCGCTCTGGGGCAGGAAGAGCCTCCAGAGACACAAGAGACAGCGGCTGTTGTGAGGCTCCATTTCCAAACCTGTCCAAGCTCATGGGGCCCTCAGGGTACAGACATGTGGGTTTCTTTCATGATAACCACCTTGTTCTAGGTACAAGATGTACACGTATTTTTTTTTCAGTCCTCAGGGCAATCTGGTAGATGGGTAATCTTACAAATGCTTATTTGTAGAGAAGTTTGAGGCTCAAATGCTATCCAAATGTGCCCACCACCAGCTAAGTGATGGGACCCAGATCCAACCCTAGCCCGGCCGAGTCAGGAAGGTTACTTGTGGCTGAGCCCCTCTCACTGGCGGCTGAGCCAAGCCCTTTCCCATCTGCTATCTCTTAGTTGCCTCAGAACAGCCTGGTAGCAAGTGGTACTGTTCACAGCCCCATTTGACAGATGAGGAAACTGAGGTACTGAGAGATGCGGGATTTATATATATGCAGTAGGTAACAGAACTGGCGCTCAAGCCCATGTGTGCCTGGCCTGGGCTCTTTCCTTAACTTGTAGTCCCTAGGGCGGGGGCAGAGTGTGTGTATCAGACCACCCATCTCAGATGTCCCAGGCATTCTGGCTGTGAATTATGTCCACATTGGGCTGGTTTTCTCAGATATGTTGGGGTAAGAGGGGCTGGATCACCCCTCACTGCTTCCGGGCCCTTTATCCTCCATCTCACCTTGGTGGAGCCCCTGCCTCGAGGCAGGCCCTGGACAGCAAAGGAAGACAGGAGCAGGCTGGTGCAGCCTCTAGACCTCTGACCTTCTTCTTCGGGTATCTAGGGTGCCAAAGCATCTCCTCAACCAAGACCCACTCCTGGCTGCCCGCCAGGGCCTGGGGCACTGGGCCTGCCCGTAAGCTCACCTTTCCAGCCTTTACCTCCCCAACTCCTGCTCCCGGCAGTCACGCCAACACCACCTTAATTTTAGATGTGACATTTCTAGTGAGGGGAAAAGCATTTGTTCCCAGCACTGCAGTGTCAGGGAAAGGCTGGGTGTGGGCAGCGGCCCCCGGGGGTAAGAGCTTTCATGCCCCTCCCTGAGGGGACACTTTCCCAGCTGGGATGTTTAGCGGAGGCCCAGCAGAGTGGCAGGTGCCAGAGGGAAAGAACCCCTCACCCCTATCCTGAGGGGAGAGAGCCCAGCTCCCGCCTCAGAGGTGCTGAGAGGCAAAGGGTCCAGGTGAGAGTCAAGGAGACACCTTGGGCCATCCTGGATGACCACTGCTGTCCTGGCCATTCAAACCCAAGCTCTCAGCCCTGTCCCCCAACCCCACTCCCTTCCCACTGAATCCGCGATCCCTCTCCTGTGTCACAGACTCTCTTCCACCTTCTCTTGTCTCTCTGACTCCTTCCAGCAGTATTTAGTTGTTGTTGTTGCCGTTGCTGCTGTTGTTGTTGTTGTTAGACAGAGCCTCACTCTGTCACTCAGGCTGGAGTGCAGTGGCGCAATCTCGGCTCACTGCAATCTCTACCTCGCAGGTTCAAGCAATTCTTATGCCTCAGCATCCTGAGTAGCTGGGAGTACAGGCGTGCACCACCATGCCCAGCTAATTTTCATATTTTTAGTAAAGACAGGGATCTCACCATGTTGGCCAGGCTGGTCTTGAACTCCTGACCTCAAGTGATCCGCCCACCTTGGCCTCCCAAAATGCTGGGATTACAGACCTGAGCCACCAAGCCCGGCCCCCAGCAGTATTGAAAACACACTTAAATTGTCTCTCTTCAAAAAAAAATTTTTTTTAACATGGGGTCCACTGTGTTGCCCAGGCTGGTCTTGAACTCCTGACCTCAACATCATAAAGCAAGACCCTCCAGCTCAGGCTGTAATGGCATTTATTCCCACCACCCCCTCACCCCCCACCACCTCCCACTACTTCACCCTCAGCCCCTGCATCCTGGCCTCTGCCCTGCATGTGCTAGTGAGCTTGCTTGTGGCCTGGTCATTATACTGGTGAGGATACTGGTTCAGCAGCTTGAACAGAGACCAAGTGACTCCAACAAGAAGGAAGGTGTGTTTCTCTCCTGTGGAAGTCTGCAGTGCAGGCCACTCTGGTGATTGGGTGGCTCTGCTCCATGGAGTGACCCAGGGATCCACGTTGCTTCCATCTTGATGTTCAGCCATCCCCCACAGTGTTGCCTGCCTGAGTTGCAGTCTAGACTGGCTCACCCCACTGAGTTGTCCTTCCAGCAGCTAGGGGATAGGGAATGGTGGAGCCAGGGCAGGCAGCTTCCTTGTAAAAGGCGACCTAGAACCTGCCCACATCACTCCTCACATTTCCATTGGCCAGAACTTAATCATATGGCCTCCCTCAACTGCAGGGACTGCTGGGGAATAGAGTCTATTTTGCTCCCAGTCCATTGGCCAGAGTGGTGTCATGTGACCTCTACCAGTTGCAAAGGAGGCTGGGGAATGTAGTCTCTGGCTGGGAGTCCATTTGCCCTGCTAAAACCAAGAAGGAGTGTGTGGTTCTGTTACTAAAAGGAAGAAGGACAGAATGTATATCGGACGCCAATTAACAGTTTTGGTCATGAATCACCCTGAAGTCTCAGGAATGCTTTCTGCTGGACGGCCAGAAAACCTAAGTAAAGCTGTTAGTGGTGGAAGGTATCCAAGTTACCAGCAGCTAATCCGTACGGGTCTGCAGCAACCCCAGTTCTTGCCTCCTCGGAAGAAAGAATTCGACTGAGGGGCATAAGGCAGAAAAAGAGACTGAGGCATGTTTCAGAGCAGAAGTGGAAGTTTATTTAAAAAGGCTTTAAAATGAGAAAGAAAGGAAAATATGCTTGAAAGAGTCCCAAGTGGGCACGTGAAGGTCAAGTGCTGTATTGATCCTTGATCCTAGGACTTTATAGGCTGGTCCCCTTTCCCATGATTCTTCCCTTAGGCTGGGCTACCCGCACTCACAGTGCCCTCCTTACCCTTGGGAGGTGAGCACACGCACTGTGTTTAGGAAGTTGCACACATGCCCATCTGACGCTTTCTTCCCTTTTCCAGTGGAGTGTCCCTGGAAGGTCAAACTCCGCCATTTTGTCTCTTAATGCACCTGCTCGGGAAGTCACGTCTCCCTGGCACCTGCATTCAATTAACATGTTAGTGCAACAGGTGTGGACCATCAGGAAATGCCCTCTCCCTAGTGCTGGCTGCCAATTTCTCACTTCTAGAGAGGCAATGTGATAATTGCCAAACCATCACCCAACATTCCTAGTGGGTGGGGGAAGAGCCCTCCCCTGCCCCACTCATGCTTGTCTAACTACCTGTAACAAAGCGACTTGAGTCTTAAGAACATTTACTTAACAAGATGGGGATAGTTTGGGACTGGTTCTGCAGTACCTTGATATCTGTGATTCTCATGTCCTTACCCTTGTGGTCACGATATGGCTGCCATAGCTCCAGCCATCATGTTACCAGACACCACATTCAAGGCAGTAAAAGGAAGAGAGGGGGCTTTCTATACCCATAGTCTATTCTGTTGGATAAACTTAGACACACTAAAATGTTAGCATTTATTTGAACAAACAGTGATTCCTGAATCAGGAAGTACTAGACTGTGAGCAGTTCATGGCTCCACTAAGGGAATATGAGAGGGAAACGTCTATAAGGTGCTCCTGAAAGCAAGACAAAGAAAACATTTGCCTACAGTGAACAGTCCCTAGTTAGAGGTTGGTTGGCAGTTTCCGATGGGTCAAGCTTAAGTTCTCTTTTCCTGTTTCCACCAAGTTAGATTTGGGTTTGCTGACAGAGGAACTCGAGGCCTGGAGCCGGCTCAGCCTGATGGCCTCCCAGTTCATTACTTAACAATGCCCCTCCAGCTGCCAGACAGAGAGAACCAATATCTGACAGGAGGGAGTAAGCGTGCCACATTTGGCTTAGATCAACTGTGATTCGTCCCTTGAGGCTGGGCATGGTGCACCCTGAACAGAGGGAAGGTTCTGCGAGTGAAAAAGGGGTGCTGACTTGGCAGCCTTCAGCCTGCCCCCACCGGCTGCCCTGTCTGGTGCGAGGCCGTACCCTCCAGAGCTCCTGGCTCCTCTCAGTGCGGTGCTGTTGCCCACTCCCTCCTTCATCCTGCAGCTGGCACTCCCCCTGTGCTCCCCCCACCCTCTGGCTGCTCCTTCTCCATCCTCTCTGCTTACATATGCACAGCCTCCACCCACACTCCTAGTCCACGCTCCCCCTGATCCCCTCTCACCTCTGCTGTGCACCTGATGCCAGCCCCACTCCTCACCTCCCACAGTCATCCCCTGCCCTGTCTTGCTTGGCCTTGCTCATAGGTCTGACTGCTGCTCGGTCCCAGCATCCCAGGCCTCATCTGAGGCTCAGCCAGGGTCCCCAGGACTGCAAGTTCATCAGTGAAAGGCAGTTTGACTCTAGATCAGTTATGAGAGTTCTCTGAGGCACTGTTCACCAATCTTAAAGTGCAGATTATAACACCCATCTCTCAAGGTGTTAGAAAGATTATATTTGGGGCAAGGACTTGGGGAATGTTAATCAATGCCTTATACAAGTCTGGGGTTTTCTTTTTCCCTGCAGCACTGAACCCAATATCTGGTTCACTATGGTGACTCTTAAGTAATAAATGAATAAATGAATGGTTGGGTGATTCTGGCATGGAGTCCTTTGTATTCATGATCTATTTCCGTGTAGCAAATTGCCCCCAAACTTCTGAGAACAAACATTTCATATCTACAGCTCCTGTGGGTGAAGAGCTCAGGAGTGACTTAGCCAGGGGGTTCTGGCTCAGGACCTCTTGAAAAGTTGCCATCTGGGAGTCAGGTGGGGCAGTGTCATCTGAAGGCTGGACTGGGGCTGGAGGGTCTACTCCAGGCTGGCTCTCGCGGCTGTGAGAGGAAGCCTCAGTTCCTCGCCATGTGACTGGTCATGGCACAGCAGCTGGCCCCCAGAGCAGCGACCCAGGAGAGCAGGCAAGGGCAGCCACAGTAGAAGCTGTGTGCCCTTCACCTTCTCTCCTCAAGGGTACACAGGTACTTCTGCTTCACTGTGTTTGTTAGAAGTGAGTCACTGAGTCTGGCCACCCTCTAGGCCCTAAGCCTCACCTGTTGAAGACGCAGCAATAATTTATGGACATCTTTTCTTGTGGTTTTTTTTTTTTTGAGACAGAGTCTCACTCTGTCACCCAGGCTGAAGTGCAGTGGCAGGATCATGGCTCACTGCAGCCTCAACCTCCTGAGCTCAAGTGATCCTCCCACCTCCACCTCCCAAGTACCTGGGACTACAGGCATGTGCCACCACCACGCCTGGCTAATTTTTTAAATTTTGTGTGCATGTGTAGAGATGGGGTCTCACTATATTGCCCAGGCTGGTCTCAAACTCCTGGGCTCAAGCGATCCTCCCACCTCAGCCTCCCAAAGTGCCAGGATGACAGGCGTGAGCCACATTGCTGGCCTTGGACGTCTTTTGAACCACCGCACACTTAGGTTTGAAGTTCACCTTTAACCTTTTATTGTTGGTGATGTCCAAGACCTCCATAGCATCATCAAAATCAGTGCTCTATCCAAGTTCACACAAAAATCCTCACCCCTGCACGTGCTGTAACATGCAGGAACCTTAAGGACATTACGCAGAGTGAAATACGCCAGTCACAGAAGGACTGATGCTGTGTGATTCCGCTGATATCTACAGGCATCAAATTCATGCAGTCAGGGAGTAGAATGGGGGTGCTAGGGGCTGGGGGAGGGGCATAGGGAGTTAGTGTTTAATGAGGCCAAGAGCTTCAACTTGGGAAGAGGAGAACATTCTGGAAAGGGATGGTGGTGGTGGTTGTATAACAGTGTGAATGTAGTAACACTACTTAACTATACACTCACAAATTATTAAGGTGGTAAATTGTATGTTATATGTACTTCACCATGATTAAAAGTTAATAATTAACACCCTCACCTCTGCAGTTCTGCATGACCCTGCCTGGCCCAGTAGCTGGCACTGCAACCCACTGGATAGGCAGGGTCCCCTGGGGTGAGGATGGGGCCGGGAGGCACAGGCCCGCCCTCCAGGCACCAGCAGGGTGTTGCTGTCTTTGCAGAAGGACACGGGTTTCTCTATGAAACATTTGGGATCCGGCCACAGTTCTCCTGGCACGTTGACCCGTTTGGCGCCTCTGCCACGACGCCCACCCTATTTGCGCTGGCGGGCTTCAATGCCCACCTCGGCTCCCGGATCGACTACGACCTGAAGGCAGCCATGCAGGAGGCCCGGGTGAGTGGTGTGCCGCGTCTGCTGCCGCCCAGCGACCGCTCCTCCCTTCCTTCCTTGAATCAGAGCACGGTAGAAAGCTGCTGCTCTATGCCGAAGTGTTCGGAAATTCTTGGCAGCTGCATAGACCGCGGGGCTGTCCCCTAACCTTTGCTCTTGTCGCCTCCTCCACCAGGAGGGCCCCCCTCCCTGTACCCCAGCTTCTCACAGAGCTGCAGGCACAGCTTGGCTGCCTCCCGCTTCCAGACCCCTATCTCCATCAGCTGGGCCTGAGGCGGGGCTGACTCTTTCTTTAGGCCCCTCACAGGGACTAGAGCAGAATGGCACTCAGTAAGCAGGGGTGACAACTAGAGGAATGGCAGGGTGTGTTCAGCTGGGAGAACAGTTACCAGAGACGCTGTGATTCTTCAGGTGTGAGGGCAACTGTTACAAGACTTAAGTAGCAACAACAACCATGGTAGACGCTGCCTTCGATTGTGCCCTTGGGAGTCCCAGGCCTGGTACCAGGCCCTACTCATCCTTCATTTCTTTTTCTTTTCTTTTGTTTTTTGTTTTTTGGGTTTTTTGGGGTCTTTTGGGTTGTTGTTTTTTTTTTTTTTTTTTTTTTGAGACAGGGTCTTGCTCTGTCACCCAGGCTGGAATGCAGTAGCACAATCTTGGCCCACTGTAAACTCTGCCTCCCGGGTTCAAGCGATTATTGTGCCTCAGCCTCTCAAGTAGCTGGGATTACAGGTGAGTGCCACCACGCCCAGCTAAATTTTTTGTGTGTTTTTTGTAGAGACGGGGTTTCACCATGTTGGCCAGGCTGGTCTCGAACTCCTGTCCTCAAGCGATCCGCCCACCTCAGCCTCCCAAAGTGCTGGTATTACAGGCGGGAGCCACTGGTGCCCAGCTTCATCCTGCATTTCTTTTAACCCTCACAGCAACCTTATGGGACGGTGTCATCATTTGCTAGGGCTGCCATAACAAAGGACCACAGACTGGTGACTCAAGCAATAGAAACATATTGTCCCATGGTTCTGGAGGCTGGAAGTCCAGGGTCAAGGTGTCAGCAGGGCCACGCTCCCTCTGAAGGTGTGAGGGAAGGGGCTGCTCCAGGCCTCTCTCCTTGGCTTGTGGATGCCCCGCTTCTTTCAGTGCCCCCGTATCATCTTCCCTGGGTGCATGTTTGTGTCTCAATTTTCCTTTTTTCTGAGGACACCCATCCTATTGTATTAGGGCCCACCCTAATGACCTCATTTTAACTTGATTACTTCTGTAAAGACCCCATTTCCAGTGGGCACAGTGGCTCACGCCTGTAATCCCAGCCCTTTGGGAGGTGGGCAGATCACATGAAGTCAAGAGTTCGAAACCAGCCTGGCCAACATGGCAAAACCCCGTCTCTACTAAAAATACAAAAATTAGCCGGGCGTGGTAGCAAGTGGCTGAAATCCCAGCTACTCAGGAGGCTGAGGCAGGACAATCGCTTGAACCAGGGAGGTGAAGGTTTCAGTGAGCTGAGATCGTGACACTGCACTCCTGGGTGACAGAGTGAGACTCTGTAAAAAATAAAAAATAAAAAAATAAACTGCACACTTGGTGAGAAGTAATGAGCTTCCTGCACCTGGGGGCATTCAAGCAGAGTTAGAAGGTGCTAATTCTACAGGGTTTGGCAGAGAAAAGCCTGCATCGAGGAGTGGGTGGGGTGAATGAGCACTCCTTCCGGAGGGCAAATCCCACAACCAGTCTTAGACGGAAACGGCAGGGGAGAGCTCATCCTTGAACCACTGAGGGAGGGCCAAGGTGAGGGCAGGCGGGAGACACCCAGATGGGGCTGAGGGAAGTGGAGCTGGGGCAGCCATGTGGCCCCTCCAGCCTCATTCTTCTCCTCGGTTTGCAGGGGCTGCAGTTCGTGTGGCGAGGGTCCCCATCCCTCTCAGAGCGGCAGGAAATCTTCACGCACATCATGGACCAGTACAGCTACTGCACCCCGTCCCACATCCCTTTCTCCAACAGGTACGTGCCCTTCCGCAGTGCCTTTGGGATCTCAGACAGCAGGGTCTGCCCAGCCCCTGCAGCTGTTCTGCAGTTTTGTTTTTGTTTATTGGTTTTAAGACAAGAGCTTCTGCTCTGTTGCCCAGGCCGGAGTGCAGTAGCGCAATCTTGGCTCACTGCAACCTCCGCCTCCTGGGTTCAAGCGATTCTTCTGCCTTAGCCTCCTGAGTAGCTAGGATTATAGGCACCCACCACCACACCCAGCTAATTTTTGTCTTTTTAGTAGAGAGGGAGTTTCACCATGTTATCTAGGCTGGTCTCAAACTCCTGACCTGAGATGATCCACCTGCCTTGGCCTCCCAAAGTGCTAGGATTATAGGCATGAGCCGCCGCGCCCAGCCCTATTCTGCAGTTTTTGACAAGAGCTCCTTAAGCACATGGTGTCCCATTCTTCAGCCTCCCCAGCAGAGTGGGTGGGGTTATCAACCCCATTTTACAGATGTGGAAACTGAGGTTCAGAGAGGGTAAGTGACCAGATCAGGGTCACCCAGCTGGTAAGTAGGGGAGGCAGGATTTGACTCCAGTTCTGTGTGACTCTGAATTGCTTCTTGTTATGAGTCCCTGTCCCAAAAGAGGATTGTTTAAAGGATGAGATCTTGGCTGGGTGCGGTGCCTCATGCCTGTAATCCCAGCACTTTGGGAGGCTGAGGCAGGACAATCACTTGAGTCCAGGAGTTCAAAACCAGCCTGGGCTTCCTAGTGAGAACCTATCTCTACAAAAACTTAAAAATTAGCTGGGTGCATGCAGTCCTAGATGCTTAGGAGGTTGAGGCAGAAGGGTCGCCTGAATCCAGGAGTTGGAGGCTACAGTGAGCTCTGATGGTACCACTGCACTCCAGCCTGGGCAACAGAGTGAGAACCTGTCTCTATTTAAAATAAAAAAAAAAATAGGCCGGGCACAGTAGCTCATGCCTGTAATCCCAGCGCTTTGGGAAGCCAAGGCAGGTGGATCACTTCAGGTCAGGAATTTGAGACCAGCCTGGCCAACATGGCAAAACCCCGTCTCTACTGAAAATACAAAAAAAGAAAAAAAAAATTAGCTGGGTGTTGTGGCGCATCCCTGTAATCCCAACTACTTGGGAGGCTGAGGCAGGAGAATCACTTGAACCCGGGAGGCACAGGTTGCAGTAAGCCAATATTGCACCACTTGCACTCCAGCCTGGGCCACAGAGCAAGACTCTGTCTCAATCAATCAATCAATCAATCAATGATGAGGTCTTTACATCAGTGTTCCCAAGAACCTCCTTCCTGGCCATGACAGGTCCCCTTCTGCTCTCGCCTCGCCTGTCCGTACCTGCCAGGTGAGGAAGTTGAATGTGCTGACTTCCAGGAGCCATCCATCGGCACCCCATCCCGTCCACGGTCCTCCAGGGCACTGTCCAGTGTCTCTCTAACACCCTCCAAGCTCACCTGCCCTCAACCCCAGTGATCTCCCTGCCTCTATCCCGCCTGGGCCTGGAGAGCAAGCTGGGTTCCAGGCTGCAGGTGCAGGGATAGGGGTGCTGTGGATGCAGGGGGAAGGCCCCCGGACATGGGTGTTTCCCCACCCGTTCCTGACGTGGCCTGGCTTTGTTGTTGGGGCTTTGGCACAAGGCTTCGTCCCCACCCACCCTTTCCCCTCCTCATCCTTGTCCCTATCAGGGATCACAATGAAGAAGGCCGGAGGAGGCCAGGCGCAGTGGCTCACACCTGTAATCCCAGCACTTTGGGAGGCCGAGGCAGGTGGGTCACTTGAGGTTAGGAGTTTGAGACCAGCCTGGCCAACCTGGTAAAACTCTGTCTGTAGTCAAAATACAAAAATTAGCCAGGCATGGCAGCATTGCCTGTAATCTCAGCTACCTGGGAGGCTGAGGCAGGAGAATCACTTGAGCCCACAAGATGGAGGTTGCAGTAAGCCAAGATCATGACTGCACTCCAGCCTGGGTGACAGAATCAGACTCTATCTCAAAACAAAAAAAAAAGAAGGCTGGAGGAGTGGGAGAGGGAAGGGGCCTGGAGACCCTTGGGAATAAATCGCTCCTCATCCTTGTCTTGCGGAGCTGCCTCTTGTCCAATCACCTCCCGTTCACCCCGTGGTGAGGGAGGGGTCCTCACCCTAAATGGTAGATGGTTGAATACACACCACCCTACCCAGCACAGGTGACGTCCATAGCAGCTTCTGTTTATCACATACAATCACAGCTCACACCTTACTCGCCAAGGCCCCGTGGGAGTGCACTGTGGAGCGGACTGAACACGCAGGGGCAGCTGGGTAGCAGCAAGGGGGCGGGTGCCCTCCGACTCCTGCAGAGGACGTGAGTGGCTCATTTGAATAATTTCACCAGCTGGCAGGGAGGTGGAAACTGTTGGGTGGAGGACCAGGTGGGGTGCAGCTGGTCTGACTGATAGTGGAAGAGCTAGACAAGAGGACTTTTCTGCTGGTGGGGGCTATCAGGTGACAGCAGGGGACTCCTAGGCCCCTGGGGGCCTTCAAGGCTCAGATGTCAAGAAGCACATGGGATTTTAGCCTCGCTGTACACCTTCTTCCCCAGAAGGCTTTGGGTGAAGACTCAGTGGGGACCAGGAGTGTGGAGCCATGGACCAGGACCCCCCGGGGGCAGAGAGGATAGGCAGTGAACCCACATTCACATTCCTGGCTTGCTGTTCCAAGCACCCACCATGAGCCAGGCCCTGTTCCAAGCATTCTCCCTGTGATACCTCACAGACCCTCGCAGCAGCCCACTGACGGAGATGCTGTGAGTGCCCCATCTTACAGAAGGAAAAACTGAGGCACAGCAGCCCGCCCCAGGTCCCACAGCTGGCAGACGTGGTGGAGCCAGCGTTGGATTCAGGCCACCAGCTCTGCAGCCTCCACGTGGTGGCAGCAGTCAGCCTTGGTCTCTGTGCAGTCAGACGGCCCTGGGTTCAAATCCGCACTCTGCCCTGGCCAGGTGCTTAGCCTCTCTTGGAAGAGGAAAGACAACAGGCAAGGCAGAGGGGGTGAAGAACACTGGCCGGGATTAATTAGCGGTCACTGCCATTTGTCAGCCCTCCTTTGTGCCCAGCACTGTTTCTAGCTCCTTTCCATAAATGACTTTCATTTAATCCTCACAACAACCTGCTCCACATTCTACCAGGGAGCTTGGTGAGGCTAGAGGTGGCAGTGCTGGTGGCTGATGACTGTGATCCCAATGCTTTGGGAGGCTGAGGTGGGAGGATTGCTTGAGCCCAGGAATTCGAGACCAGCCTGGGCCACAGAGCAAGACCTCGTCTCTACATAAAATTCAAAAACAAGTCGAGCATGGTGGTAGTCCCAGCTCCTGGGGAGGCTGAGGCGATGGCTTGAGCCCGGGAGTTCGAGGCTGCAGTGAGCCGTGATCATATCACTGCACTCCAGCCTGATCAACAGAGCAAGACCCTGTCTGTAAAAGAAACAGAGGTGGGAATGCTGGAAGGGGCTGCCCAGGTTGGAGAGCTCCAGACAAGGGTTCCATGGCTGCTACCCCGAGGCTGCACAGTGTGAGCAAGGAAGGCACTTAACTGGGGGTTCTCCACACCCCCAGCCTAAGGCAAACAGAGAAAGATGTTAAATACTGAGCCTGTCTTTATTTAAAACTCTGACATTTTGTTCCTCATGGGTTTTTTGCATTAATTTTCATTTTTTAAAGTACTGCATTAAAATATCATTTATCTCAACTACTAAGAATTGAGGCACCCCCATAAATTTTGTGCCCTAGGCCAGGGCCTCACTTGCCTCACCAAGCCCCCGGCCTCTTTGGGGTCCTGAGACCCGGGGTCTGATGGGCGAGAAGTTGGCCTGCGTGAATGAGCAAACAAATCTGTGACCCACCGTCGGTCATGGAGTGGGAGAATTCAGTCTCAGGGTGAAATGATGTGCCAAGGTCCCAAGGCTGGGAGAACATGGCACTTGGGTGTGAGCCCTGGCTGTCCACAGAGTTCGTGTCTTCTGCCCTAACCTTCTGCCCTCGCACAGGTCAGGATTTTACTGGAATGGCGTGGCTGTCTTCCCCAAGCCTCCCCAAGATGGGGTGTACCCCAACATGAGTGAGCCTGTCACCCCAGCCAACATCAACCTCTATGCCGAGGCCCTGGTGGCCAACGTGAAGCAGAGGGCCGCCTGGTTCCGGACACCGCACGTCCTCTGGCCCTGGGTAAGGCAGAGTCCCAGGTGCTGTGCCCTCAACACAGCCCAAGGAGCACTATGCAAGCCCTGGTCCCTGCACCCAGGGCCACCCTATCCAGACCCAGCTAGGCAGCCATGCTCAGCCCAGTGGCTCCATCCTCCTTCCCTGCAGACCCCTGGGCCTCTCCCACTCTACCAGCCCCTCCCCCACCTGGAAAAGCACCCTCACCCACGCTGGCCTCTCCAGCTCCCACTCAGCTCTCTTCCCTGCCTGGGCCGGGCTGGCTCCCGGCTCGGGCACTGCGTGCCTTAGAGTCCATTGAGCTTCAGTTGCCTCCGCTGTAAAATGGGGATGGTGGCAGCAGGCTTCATAGGCTTGGTGAGAGGTGAAGCGTTCCCGGGAAGCCAGTGCCCGGCACGTCGTGGCCATCGTCACAGCTAACCTTTAGTGAGCACCTGCTGTGTGCTGGGCACTGCCCCGTGGGATATATTTGTCTCAGCCATCTAATTTGCACCACTGGGCCTAGGAAGCAGGCTGGTATCCATTTCACAGTTGAGGAAACCAAGGCCCAGAGAGGTTAAGGAATTTTCCTGAGGCCACAGAGTTCCTTAGGGTGGCTAGGAAGGGGTGGAATTTGTGTTCAGACCCAGTCAGGCGGGCCCCAGAGCCTGCCTTCTTCATCCGTGACTGCCCTTGTGAAGGCAAGCTTAAGATCAGTAACTCAGTCATGGTTATTATTGCTGTTATTAATCATTATATTAATTATAATAATTAATAATCATTAATTATAATGATTTGGATAAGTAGTAACACTGATGGGCCTTAAGAGATGCCCAGGGCCGGGCGCTGTGGCTCACACCTATAATCCCAGCACTTTGGGAGGCCAAGGCAGGCAGATCACCTGAGGTCAGGAGTTCGGGACCAGCCTGGCCAACATGGTAAAACCCTGTCTCTACTAAAAATATAAAAATTAGCCAGGTGTGGTGGCGCCTGCAGCCTCAGGGAGGCTGAGGCAGAAGAATCACTTGAACCCGGGAGGCGGAGGTTGCATGAGCCGAGATCAAGCCACTGCTATGGGAGCTGGTTTGGGGCCCCTGTTGGCCGCCTTGGAGACTGGGAGGGCAGCTGGTGGAGGGCAGCGATCGGCCCACCCCCACTGGGCGAGCGCCCTGCTCCCACGGCACAGGATGTTGCTCCCATGTCCCTGCAGGGATGTGACAAGCAGTTCTTCAATGCCTCGGTGCAGTTTGCCAACATGGACCCGCTGCTGGACCACATCAACAGCCATGCTGCCGAGCTCGGTGTCTCGGTGCAGTATGCCACGCTGGGCGACTACTTCCGTGCCCTGCACGCTCTCAATGTCACCTGGCGTGTCCGCGACCACCACGACTTCCTGCCCTATTCCACAGGTACAGGCTTCCAGGGGCTGGGGTGGTAGTTTGGTGGCAGGGAGGGTATAGTCCACGTACCCTCTGCCCACTTCAGTGGCTGCTCGGCACTGCTCTCCAAGCCCTGGAGGGGTTCCAGGCAGGTTCTGTGTGGGGCGCAGGGGCAGAGACTGACCCTCTCTGCTCACTCCACCTGGACGTCCTGGCCACCACATGCACCACCTGATTCCCACAGGGTTCAGCCTCTCACCATTGCCCACCACATGCAGTTTCCTGCCTCTGGCCTTTGCACAGGTGGTGCCTCCTGCTGGGAGCGGCCTCCATCACCTTCTCTTCCTGCATGAGTTCCACATAAACCTCTTCTACGAGCCCTTTCCTGATGCTGAGGCTGACTCGGGCTTCCTTTCACTGCACAGTCATTACTGGGCACCTCCTGTGCATCATGCCTGTGTCCTCAGGCCAGAACTGGGTTGGCCACCAGCAGCACAGCCTGAGAGCTAAGAGGGCTGGCTGTGAGTAAGCCTCTACTCGCTGCCTGTGTGCAAGTCATGAAACCACCCTGTCTCCAAAGGGGGACATTTGTGGTGCCTCGTGCATAGATAGGGTTGCTGTGAAAATTCAATGAGAAGAAGTGCTCTCAGCCTCCTGCCCAGCACAGAGGCAGGGCTCAGCAGATGTCCTAGACCTCTGGGTGCTGCTGTAACAGTATACCACAGAATGGGTCATTGATTAGGAAACGAAGTTTCTTTGGCTCACAGATGTAGAGGCCGGGAAGTCCAAGGTGGAGGGCTGGTGTCTAGAGAGGGCCTTCTTTCTGCATCACCCATGGCTGAAGGCTGAGTGCAAAAGAACAGCCGGACAAGGGGGTTGAACTTGCTTTTCTAACAATCCCAGTCCCATGACAATGACATTAATCTGTTCACGAGGGCAGAGCCTTCATGGCCTAATCTCCTCTTAAGCATCCCACCTCTTAATACAGTCACAATGGCAATTAAATTTTAACATGGGTTTTGGAGGGGCATTCAAACCATAACATTTCCCTTCCAAAGAGATGCCACAGATGAACTCCAGCTGCAGGGCTCATTCTGGCCTGGGCACTGCCTTGACTCACCCATGACCTGGCTTAGTCCTGCCTCTCTGGGCCCCAGCCTCTGGGTCTGCATGGTGACCAGTGGGGCTGCATAGTCCCCGGCTCCTGCTGTTGACACCACATTGGAGGCAGGTGGGGCTGCACACACGGGTTGGGGGATGTCCGTGGATGTGGGTGTGGTTATAGTCAAGGCAGGAGGAGATATGTTAATGTGGGCATGGCTAATGGTGAGGTGGGTGGGGTAGTGACTGTGGGTGTGGCCACATCTAGCAGGTAGGGATATACCCGAGTCAAGTTGGGTGTGGCTCTGTCCAGGTGGGCGTGGTGTCCAGGTGGGCGTGGTATCCAGGTGGGCGTGGTATCCAGGCGGGTGTGGGTGGGCGTGGCGTCCAGGTGGGCGTGGTATCCAGGCGGGCATGGTATCGTGATGACCACTGAGGATGTGGAGCCCCTGCCAGACTGAATGGAATCGGGCCTCACCACCCACTCTCAACATGGCTGCAAAGCTGTGGAGGACCCCATCTGACCCACAGGGTGTGGCCTGTCCCCTGGGCCATGTGACCACCCCTCCCAGTCTGGTTCAGGACCAGTGGGGGAAGAACAGGGAATCAAGGCAAATCTGGGCACATCCCAGACGCCGAGGAGCAGGAAAGCAAAAGCAATAGGAAGCTCCCTTCTGAGACAGACAGCCACTCCCTGGGAGGGTTCAGCCCTCCTGCCTCCTGCATGGGCCCTGGGCATCCTCATCCTCTCTGTCTTGCATCAGGACACTGGCTCCCTGGGGTCTCTGAGCCCTTGCTGCCTCCTACCATCCATCCTCCCTGGACGCCCAGAGAATCCCTGCTGAAACGCATGCCTGTCCTGGCCTCCCCATGCCCACGTCACACATGAAGGCCTCTGTGCAGTCTAGGCCCTTCTCAGTGGGGTCCTGCCCACCTGGCTCCTCCTCTTCCCCTCTGGGTCTCCCAGGCCCTTTGCTCACACAGCTGTTCTGTGTTTCCTAGGCACCCTGGGCTTGCCTCCGATCAGGATCCTTCAGCACCCCACCCCACCTGCCCCAGTGCAGCCTGTCTCTCCCACCCTGCCCAAGGCCCATCCAGGGTTTTCTGGGCAGTTCCTAGTCTGGCTATGGGAGGAGGCCTGAGTTGGGAGCCGTAAGCCCTGGGCTCGCTGCCTGCCCGGCCTGCCTCCTTGGGTGACCCTGGCAGAGGCTGCCTCTGCAGCCCCAGCTTCTCAGCTCTTCCAGGGCTGGAGCTTAGCAGACTTCTGGGTCATGCCGTCTCAAGCTCACCATCTTCCCTTGTCTCCCAGAACCATTCCAGGCCTGGACGGGCTTCTACACGTCCCGCAGCTCACTGAAGGGGCTGGCCCGGCGAGCCAGCGCCTTGTTGTATGCCGGGGAGTCCATGTTCACACGCTACCTGTGGCCGGCCCCCCGTGGGCATCTGGACCCCACCTGGGCCCTGCAGCAGCTCCAGCAGCTTCGCTGGGCCGTCTCCGAGGTAACACCACATTTAGCCACAGTGGCAGGATTGGAACCTCCCATGCTGCGCACCTCCCCTCCCTTGTCCTAGCCAATCCTTCCAGCCCTGGGGCACTAGAGGCCCCACTTTACAGAGGGGAAACTGAGGTTCCCTTTGGTTACAAGGCCAGTGCATGGTGAACCCAGGCCAAGGCTGAGACCACAGCCTGATCCATCCAGCTGGTGGCCTCATTAAGCTTTGTAGCAGTTTAGCAAAAGGGATAAAGGACAAGGTGGAGTGGCATTTGTGTCCGACAGCCCTGCCTGCATCCATATCTCGGCTCAGCTGTGTGATGTCAGGCACATGATTCCCACACCCACCCAAGACCTAATTCCCTCCTGTACAATGAGAACAACGAGCTTGCCCAGGAGGACGGTGGGGCAATTGGATGTGCTGGTGTGCACAGCCTGCTTGGTGCAGTGGCTGCTGAATAGCCAGTTCATGAGTTTCCGTCTCCACCCATCCCCTACTGTACTGATGGGAAAACAGACCCAAGACAGCCTGTAACTTGTCCTCAGTCACCTATCCAAAAAAGGGTCACACCAGCCATGACACTGTAACAGTTCCCCAAAAGGAGCTGCTGGCAGAACATGTCATTATGTTGTGGGAGAAATGAGGTGACTTCAGGGTCCTTCAGAGCAGGGGGTCCAGAGATGGGGGACAATGAGTTCCCACAAGGGCAGGAAAAGTTGGGCGAGCTCCTCAGCTTCTCTTGGCCTCAGTTCCTCCTTCTGTAAAATGGCGGGGACTGCCCCCTTCTCCACTGGCACCTGGCAAGCCAGAATGAGAGCCAGCGCCTAGTAGGTGCCTTGTAGGTGCTTTGCAGAGTCAGGTCCTGATCCTGTTCTTCCTCCCCTCTGGGGGTTGCTGCAGGTCCAGCACCATGATGCCATCACTGGGACTGAGTCCCCCAAGGTGAGAGACATGTACGCAACGCACCTGGCCTCGGGGATGCTGGGCATGCGCAAGCTGATGGCCTCCATCGTCCTAGATGAGCTCCAGCCCCAGGCACCCATGGCGGCCAGCTCCGGTGAGCAGGGCCCTGCAGGGAGGCTGTGGCCCCTTTATGAAGGGAGAGCCTGAGGAGGTCAGGGGAGGGGCTCAACGACCCCAGCTTCAGACTCTGAGTCCACATCACCCATATCGCCCTTCCCCATGGTGAGAGCTCGGACAGGTGGCTTCAGTCCTCCCAGCCTCTGTTTGCTCATCCGTGCAATGAGGAAGGGTTGCTGATGTTACAAGAAGAGCCAGAAATAGCAGCTAACATGTTTTGAGCATTTACTAAGCTCAAAATACCCTTCATGCAGTATTGAATTTAATGCCTCACAAAATCTGTACAAAATAGGAATGGTTACTGTCCTCATTTTACAGCCGAGGAAACGGACTCAAGTTATATGCTAGCCCAGGGCCACTCGGGTAGGAAGGAGCAGAGCAGGGATTGAACCTGAACACGGTGCTGCCCAGCCTTGGCAGAGAGTACGCCGGTGTCCTCAGGGGCCCGGTCCCTTCCTGGCTCCTGGCACTCCCTCCCGAACTCCACTTGGCTGACATCACAGCAGGGCAGCCGTGGGACCAGCCTCTTTGACTGTGAGTTTTCCCACGTGTAGAGTGACTGATCACATGCCAGTGTGCCTGGGACTGAGGGGTTTCCAAACTGGGAAGATCCTGGACAAATGAAGACAGGTTGGCGGCCCTCCGCCCGCATGAGACTTTTGTGTGCATAGGCCGCCAGGTCCCACCCACAGCCTGCACCTGGTCATCTTGCACTTCCTTCTTGTTTTTTGTTTTTTGAGACAGGGTCTCGCTGTGTCACCTAGGCTGGAGTGCAGTGGTGCCAGTCATAGGTCACTGCTGCCTTAGACTCCTGGGCTTGAGCGATCCTCCTGCCTCAGCCTCCCAAGTAGCTGGGACTACAGGCATGCACTACCACACCTGGCTTATTGTTTTATTTTTATTTTTTTTGGAGAGACAGGGTCTCACCATGTTGCCAGGATGGTCTCCTAACTCCTGGGCTCAAGTGGTCCTCCCACCTTGGTCTGTCAAAATGCTGCTATCTGGCCAGGCATGGTGGCTCACACCTGTAATCCCAGCACTTTGGGAGGCCGAGGCGGGTGGATTACGAGGTCAGGAGATCGAGACCATCCTGGCTAACACGGTGAAAACCTGTCTCTACTAAAAATACCAAAAAAATGAGCCGGGTGTGGTGGCGGGCGCCTGTAGTCCCAGCTACTCAGGGGCTGAGGCAGGAGAATGGCGTGAACCCAGGAGGCGGAGCTTGCAGTGAGCCGAGATCGCACCACTGCACTCCAGCCTGGGCGACAGAGCGAGACTCCGTCTCAAAAAAAAAAAAAAAAAAAAAGTTCTGGGATCACAGGCAAGAGCCACCATGCCTGGCTGCCTTGTACTTCTTGGTGTCCCAGCTGTGGCCTGCCCACTGCCCTAGCATCTAACATGCCCTTCCCCTCCCATCTCTGTCTGTGTGTAATCCCATCCAACCTGCAGGCTCTGGAAGGCCCCCTGGCCTCAGGAACACCAGCCAGGTGGAAGAGACAGTGGCAGAACGGGAGCTCTCAGCTGGGGTCTGGCTTCACTGCCAGGTGGGGACTTTTGAGGAGCTGTCATTCCAATGAACACACAGGAGAGGCTTCCCCAAGCTGTGAATAGGTAGAGAAGACCAGGAAAGTGTCCCCAGCAGAGGGAACAGCCCAGGCAGAGGCAGGGAGGCTGGAAGTATGTGCTGGGTTCAGGGATCCAGGAGTTCTCAGGTGTGGCCAGACCTCACACACATGGGCTGGTAGGATGCAACAGAAAGAGAGGCCAGGTCCTCATCACAGGGACCTAAAATGCCAGGCTAGGCAATGGACTTGACCCTCTGGGCTCCAGAGAATTCTCTGGTGGCTCACAGTGCCCAGCACTCAAAGCTTTGCAGCCAGGCCTTAGAAGCTGGGTCACCTTGGGCAAGTGGCTGTACTTCTCTGGACCTGTTTCCTCATCAGTAAAATGGGCTGACAGAGATGTGTGAGGAGCGAATAGAACCTCAGTTCTCCAGGGCGACACGGACACCTTATGTTCCGAGCCCCTCCGCCTGCCCTGCCCTGGAAGCCAGACTGCAGAATGTAGCCCACGCTGTGTCTGTGGGAAACACCTGTTGGCCTGCCCCCTTCCTGGCTCCCCTGGGAGTTCTGGAGGGCTGCATCTCACCTACCTCAGTTTCCCTCATACTGAGGTGCAGCCAGTGAGCACCCCATTCCAGAAGGTGAGTCACATGGCACAAGCAAAGCCTCTTCTCTGTGTGCAGATGCAGGACCTGCAGGACATTTTGCCTCGGTCTACAACCCGCTGGCCTGGACGGTCACCACCATCGTCACCCTGACTGTTGGTTTCCCTGGAGTCCGCGTCACAGATGAGGCGGGCCACCCAGTGCCCTCGCAGGTATGGACACAAAATCCTGCTGGAGGGGCCTTAGCTGCTTGCTGAACCTGCTCTGGGCCGGGCACATTGTCTCTTCTGACCCTGCAAGGGAGGCCTTATCACCTTTGTTTTACAGAAGAGGAAACTGAGGCTCAGAGAAGCAAAGTGGGGTTTTTTTCCCAACACCACCCAATTCTCCACTTTTCTGACACCAACTGAGTGTCCTAAAATCAATTCATTCCTGAATTGAGTACCTGGAGTGAGCACAGACCCCACGAGTTAGGGGCCCAAAATCTCACAAGACCCCTAATTTCAGACACCAGCCACAAATGGGGTTCCTGGGCTACCACACTTGTGTCCTGCTGACTGAATTCTGGGGTTCCCATGATACACACACACACAAGTTTGATAATTCATTAGAACAGCTCACAGAACTCAGGCAAGTGCCATACTTACCATGACAGTTTTGTTAGAAAAGTTACAACTGGCTGGGTGTGGTGGCTCACGCCTGTAATCCAAACACTTTCGGAGGCTGAAGCGGGTGGATCACCCGAGGTCAGGAGTTCGAGACCATCCTGGCCAACATGGGGAAACCTCGTCTCTAACTAAAAGTACAAAAATTAGCCAGGCGTGGTAGCATGCACTGGTATAATAATTGGGAGGCTGAGGCAGGAGAATCGCTTTAACCTGGAAGGCAGAGGTTGCAGTGAGCTGAGATTGCGCCACTGCACTCCAGCCTGGGCAACAAGAGTGAGACTCCATCTCAAAAAAAAAAAAAAAAGAAAGGGTACAACTCAGGGACAGCTGCAGGGAGCACTGGTGAGGTGGAAGCAGGGAGGGCCTAGCATCCCAGCCCTCTAACCCGGGCTCGCTTCCTTGGGAGCAGCCCCATCCTGAAGCCACCTATGGGCCTTGCCAGAAGGCACCTCCACAGCATAAGCTCAGATAAGGTTGGAAGGGGCTTGTTATGAACTTTAGAAGACACTCCTATCACTCAGGAAGTTCCAATGGTTTTAGGAGCTCTGTGGCAAGAGCTGCAGACAAAGACCAAATCTATCTATGTTTACTGTACCACACAGAGTCCCTGAGGTCACACAGCTGCGAGGTGGCAAACTCCCAACCTCCAAACCTTCCTTGGTCAATCAAAGCCGTGGTTCGAGTGAAAGTGTGACAGTCTGCCCTTGTAGGAAGACATCACCCAGGGACACACAGCCGTTGAGGGGAGTTGGATCTACCCAGCGGACTGATACTGGGCTTGGGGCATCCAATGTGGCCAGAAGCCGAGGGCCATCTGTGTCATCATCCCTGTCATCCCCTCATGCACTCGGAGGCCTGCTGAGACTAAGGGACTGGTCAAAGTCCCCCAGTGAGGAAGAGGTGGAGCAGGCTCCATATTCAAGCACCACCAGCCGTGAGCTGAGCCTTCCCCTGCACCCAGGCCTTGCACTGTGCCCAGCACTAATGGGGTCACGCTATGGGAGATAAGGGCCTCATCTGTCGCAGCCTGCTTGGGCTGCTATGACAAAGTCTCATAGGCTACATGGCTTAAATGACATACATTTATTTCTCACAGTTCTGGAGGCAGGAAGTCCAAGATCAAGGTGCCAGCATGGCCGGGTTCTGGTGAGGGCCTCTTCCTGCTTGCCATCTTCCTGTGTGTCCTCACATGGCACAAGAGGCCAAGGGAACTCTCTGAGGTCTTTTTTACGAGGGCACTAATCCCATTCTTGAGGGCAGCACCCTCCGACCTAATCACCTCCCCAAGGCCCCACTCCTAAGTGATGACTTGGAATCCGGACGTCAGCCATTTGAGGGGACACAGACATTCAGTCCGTGGCATCACTCATGCCAAGTGGGAGTTAGGAGGTGGCATTAGCCTTTCAACTGTTGTGCCCTGCTTACACTTTTTAAAACAATTTTTACTGTCAGTTTTCCTTTTTTTTTTTTTTTTTGAGACAAAGTCTCACCCTGTCATGCAGGCTGGAGTGCAGTGGCACAATCACAGCTCACTGCAGCCTCAACATCCCAAGCTCAAGTTGATTCTCCCACCTCAGTCTCCTGAGTAGCTGGGACCACAGGTGCACACCACCATACATGGCTAATTTTTTTGTTTGTTTTTTGGTAGAGGCAGGGTCTTACTATGTTGCCCAGGCTGGTCTCAAACTCCTGGCCTCAAGCAATCCTCCCACCTTGGCCTCCCAAAGAGCTGGAATTACAGGCATGAGCCACCACACCAGGCCTGTTCACACTCCTGTTTGCTGGGCCCCCTTGTATGGGCTGATCCCTAGAAAGGCCTCACATGTGGGAAGCTTTCCGTCACTCCCCTGCCTTTGGGAATATTTGTGATCTAATATGAATTTCCACCCTGGCATGTGGGAAAGCCTTCAGGAATCTTAAAGGGGTGCTTTAATGGAGGTGCCGATGTTAGGTATGGGGCTGGACTGCTTTTGTCCACACCACCCAGACACCCCACATGGGTCAGGCCAACTCCGGTTCCAGAGGGCGCCAGACACGCCACCCAGCTGACCCTTCTTGGGGAGGCGGAGGAGGGGCTGACATCACTCATTCACTCAGCAAAGCTCCCGAACGCCCATCCTGGGCCCAGCCCTGGGCTGGGTGCTGGGCCCCTGGACCTGAGCGAGGCCAGGCCCCATCCCAGGACACAGACATGGATGGTGACAGTGTGGAGTGGTGACTCGGGAGCCAGGGGAGGGGCCCTCGGCTGGAACTGAGACCGAGGAGGAGTTTGTCCAGCACAGGGAGAGGCGAAGGGAGGGTATGGGTCTGAGCAGACCCCCACACACACCCCTTCCCCACTCAGATGCAGTATCCGTTAGGAGTAGATTCCCTCAGCATACATTTCTGGAGCTCCTACTGTCTGTCAGCCCCTGTTCTAGGCGCTGGGGATGGTGTACTAACCAAACAGACAAAATCCCACTGCCTGGGGCATCTATTCCAGTAGGGGAGACAGGTGATAAGTAAAATAAGAAAAATATGGAATATGATAGGCGATGACCACCGTGAGGGGGACAGTC
Source organism: Homo sapiens (assembly GCF_000001405.40). Taxonomy (NCBI): domain Eukaryota; kingdom Metazoa; phylum Chordata; class Mammalia; order Primates; family Hominidae; genus Homo; species Homo sapiens. Next base: position 6,603,771 of record NC_000004.12, read on the forward strand.
ACTACAGCAAGTTGCAGGGGCTGGGGACACATTTTAAATAGGTGGGCCAGGCCGCATCAATGTGGGATCAGGCAGACAGGGAACAGGTATCTGCTGTATTTGGGATAAAGGCTGGGTCGGGAGGCGTGTACACCATTATTGGGGGGGCCTCCCCACTGGGGCACAGGAACTGAGGGGGCACAGTGCCCTCCTCCAGCCTCCCTCTCCAAATCAGACACCTTGGAGGTGAGCAGAGGCCAGGAGGGTTAACCTGGAAAAGTCCGTCCACGTGGGGATGAGAAGATTGGGGGATGGCCCCTCCCAGGAGAAGGTAGTCCAGGTGGAGGGCACAGCGTGGCACAGGCTCAGAGGCAGGAAACGGCAGGAGTGTCAGGAAGGAAGGGTTGGTGATGCTGGAGCCCCAAGGGCCAGAGGACAGAGTAAGGTCACCGCAGGGAGGAGGCTGGGTCCCAGAGGAGGCTTCCTTCCCCAGTTGCAGCAGACAAGAGTCTCGAAAAGCTTGCTTTGGTTGCTGCAGTGGATGGGTTGGTAGGCACAGGAGTGGATGTGGGGACAGCAGTGCAGATGCTGGGCAGTTACCTAGGGAGGGGCCACAGCAGCTGTGACCAGGCAGAGGCCACAGGGAAGGGAGATGAAAGGCCTCAAGAAGGCGGTGGGGGGCCTTGGTGGTGGGTGGGAGTGGCTGGAGGATGGGGGATGGGGATTCCTGGGGGATGGGGAAGGGGAGTGACTGAGGGATGGGATGACTAGGGGGTAGGGGTGGAGAAAGCCGGACAGCGGGGAGCAGAAGGTGCAGGGTAGGTGCTGGAAGGGCCATCGTTGGATGGGGATGCTGCAGGGAGCAGATTTGGGTGGGATGGGGTAGCTGGTGAGGTCAGCTGTTGACATCCACGTGGAGGCGTCAAACAAGAAGCTGTATTCGTGGATCTCGGGTTCCAGAAGAGGTCAGTGGATTTGGGTTTGCTTTTGGGAGTCATCACTTTGGTTGATGAAGGATGATTAAAGGAGCTGGGGGTGTTCAGGAGCTCCCAGTTCAGGAGGTGGGAGTAAGAGAAGCTTTGGGGACCCCAAGAACCAGCTATCTTCAGGTCGCTGAAGGGTTCTCCCAGGACTGATGTGGTTTGTGGGGGTCCAAGGGGAGAAAGCCAGAACTGGGGGCAGGGAGGAGAAATCGGCAGGATCCGAGAGATGGAAAGACACTGCTGCCTCAGCAAGTAGTGAGCACCCCATTCCAGAAAGTGTGAGAGCTGACAGTTAACAAGTCTCATCCTGCTGGCCTTGCAGATCCAGAACTCAACAGAGACCCCATCTGCGTATGACCTGCTTATTCTGACCACAATCCCAGGCCTCAGTTACCGGCACTACAACATCAGACCCACTGCAGGGGCCCAAGAGGGCACCCAGGAGCCGGCTGCCACTGTGGCGAGCACCCTTCAATTTGGCCGCAGGCTGAGGAGACGCACCAGCCATGCGGGCAGGTACTTGGTGCCTGTGGCAAACGACTGCTACATTGTGCTGCTCGACCAGGATACCAACCTGATGCACAGCATCTGGGAGAGGTAAGGTGCAGCCATTGCTGTCTCTGAGGCACAGGCATGCCTGGAGCCTGGGCATGTCAGGCCCCTACCTGGATTCTCCATTTGCTCACTTGCCTGGGGGAAGGACAGATGGTGGTGAAACCCCTTCCTGCTATTGTGATCTTTAATTTTAGAAGTGTGAGCCTGGGCCAGTGCAGGAAAGGCTTTCTTATACTTTTTCATTCCAGGGCTATTGATCCATAGAAAAAAATGAGCACTGAGGGACTCACTCTGGGAAAAAAAAATTACCACTTTTTTTTTAATTTAGAGAAACATAAAATCTCTATTCAGTAAATAGTGTTACTGTCTTTAAAGCAGGACGGGACTTTCAAAATCATCTAATCCCACCCACCCACCTGTCTACTTACCCATCTATTCACCCACCCACTTATCTACCCACCCAGTTATCCATCCATCCACCCAATTATCCACCCACTCATCCATCCACTCACCCACTTACCCATCCATCCATACATCTACCTACCCACCCATTCATCATCCATCCATCTACCCACCCACCTATGTACCTACCCATTCATCCATCCATCCACTCACCCAACCACCCATTCATTCATTCATTCATTCATTCATGTATTCATTCAGCAGCTATTTGTGGACATCAGAGTGGGCAGCTGACCTCCCAAGAAAGACCTCGTGGCTGGTTTATCCTTCCTAGGCCACGTCCGGTGGAGTCTTCATCAGGCCCAGCTGCCTCTGCCAGAATACTCACCTTGTCTCCTGATGTGACCTTCTAATGGAGAGGGGTACATGGCAGAAAGTGAGGGGACAGGAAAGGGGAGAGGGGAGACAGAAAAAGAGGAGGGAGAGAAGAAGGGAGAGGGGCATTTGTACTGAGGTGGGTATCAGGGGAGCTCAGCTCAAGGTCACTGTCAGCAGCTCCCTGCCCACAGAGCTCCAGGACTTCTCTGGGAATGGGGCCCCAGTCAGGTCTGTCCTCATCTTTCCCCAGTGGCTCCTGAGGGAAAGTGGGGCAGGTGCAGGGGTGACAGCAGCCAGCATGGGTGGCTGGCAAGGGGGGAGTTGGGCAGAGGAGCTGCAGAAATGGGAGAAACCCCAGCATGGTCCAAGCCTGCCAGGTTAGGCCAGGAGAGGCAGAATGTGCCCTGTCCGTTCCTCACTCAGGCCCCATGCCCCCTCTGTACATGCCCCTTAGGGCAGCCCACGGACCCCACATGCCTAAGCCAGGGTCCCACCCGGCATTTCCAGCACTGGAGCTCAGGCTGTCCTGTCCCGTTTGTGGCCCTGTCTGTCTCTCTTGTTTTGAACTCCAGTGAGGACAAAGGAGTTCTTATTGGGCTCCCAAAACCCCACCAGGGGTAAGCCTTGCAAAACCAGTGCCTGTCACCTGAGCAGAAAGGAGGAGCTGTTGGTATTCAGAGTAGGGGCCATCGGGAGACGACACCTGGGGCCAGGCCCCAGGCCTCGAAGGGCATAGGGGAGGTTGCTCCATAGGAAGGAGACAGCCTGTGCAGAGGCCTGGGGTGGGAAGCCAAGGGTGCAGACACCAACCCCAGGGCAGTGTGGGTTGAAGGGAGCGCTTCTGTTCCTTATGTAACAGCTTGACTGAGATGCACTTCACATAACACACAATTCACCCATTTAAAGTGGGCAATTCAGTGGTTTCTGGTGCATTCACAGAGTTGTGCAGCCATCACCACAATCAATTTTAGAACGTTTTCATTACTCCAGAAAGAAACTTCATGCTGTTGAGCAATCACTCCCCCACGGGCCCTGGCAATCCTAGACTATTTCTGTCTATATGGATTTACCTGTTCATACAATATGTGGTCCTTTTGCAACTCACTTCTTTCACTTCACATATTTTTCCCCCTTTTTATTGATTGATTGATTGATTGAGAGAGTCTCACTCTGTAATCTAGGCTGGAGTGCAGTGGCACAATCATGGCTCACTGCAGCCTCAACCTCCTCTGGGGCTCAAGTGATCCTCCCACCTCAGCCTCTTGAGTAGCTGGGATTACATGTGCATACCACCACACCCAGCTAATTTTTGTGTTTTGCAGAGATGGTGTTTCACCATGTTGCCCAGGCTGGTCTCAAACTCCTGAGCTCAAGTGATCCACCTGCCTCAGCTTCCCAAAGTGCTGGGATTACAGGCTTGAGCCACCATGCCCAACCCACAACCCACTTAGCATGTTTTCAAGGTTCATCAGTATCGTAGCACGTATCAGTACTTCGTTCCTTTTCATGGCAGAATACTATTCCATCGCATGTATGTACCATATTTTGTTTATCCATTCTTTAGTTGATGGACATTTGGGTTGTTTCCACGTTTTAGCCACTATCAATAATGCTGCTCTGAACATTCATGTACAAGTTTTTGTGTGGACATACATTTTCGTTTCTCCTGGGTACATAGCTAGGAGTAGAATTACTCAGTCACAAGCTAACTCTATGTTTAACTCTTTGAGGAACTGCCCGACCGTTTTCCAAAGCGGCTGCACCATTTTCTGTTCCTCCCAGCAGCAGATGAGGGTTCTGATTTCTTCACATCCTCGCCCACACTTGTTATTTTCTGTCTTTTCAATTATAGCCATTCTCGTGGGCGAGAAGTGGCATCTCATGATGGTTTCGATTTGCATTTCCCTGCTAACTAATGGTGTTGAGCATCTCTTCATGTACTTACTGGTCACTAGCATATCTTCTGTGGTGAGATGTGTCTTTAGATCCTTTACCTATTTTTAAATTGGCTTGTCTTTTATTATTGAGTTGTAAGAGTTCTTTATATATTCTAGCTACAAGTCCCTTGTCAGATTTATGATTTGCAAATCCCTCCTCCCATTCCATGGCTTGTCTTTTTACTCTTTTGATGGCCCCTGGGGGAGCTTTTTAAAAGGATCGTGCGGGGAAGGGGTCCAGGGCCAGAGGCCTCAATTCTTTTCTTTCTCCTCCTCCACCAGCACTCAGTAGAACCCTCCACAGCCTGCCTCCCTTTCCTTCCCCACCCTCACCACAATCCCACAGAGAAGTGGGTGCAGAGGCCATCCACCTCATTGTCCGCCCACAGCCAGGCCAGACTCAGATACAAATACATCACTTGTGCACTTGGTTAGGCCAAATATTGCATTTTACAATTAAAATACTTGACCCCCTCCTGCTCTTCTCCCATCCTCTGTCCTAACACAAACATCCTAATAGAAGGGAGGGAGCACAGAATTTAAAGTCGGGGCTGAATTTGAGTTCTGGCTTGCACACTTCCTAGATGTGTGATCTTGGGTACATGATGTCACAACTTCCAGCCTCGGATGCCTCGGGAGTGGGATGGGTTAACAGTCCCTGCCTTTGGGGGTTGGGAGAATTTAACCAGGTGAAGTCAGTGAAGGCTCTGGCCCATGACATGGGGTCTGTACACATGGGTGTCCTGCTGGACAGCTCAGAGTCAGCATGACAAAAGCCCGTTCCTGCACTGGTTTCGCTTGCAGACCACAGCCTGGGTGAGCCAGTTCCATCTCTTGGGGGTGCCCTCTGCTGACGGCTCACGGTTCCTGTCTGCAGGCTCTGTCCGTCTCCTCGTTTGTGACCCATTCTGGGACAGCATGGAGTCTAAGGCCACACTGGCTGTGGGTGGGGTCTCAGGGCTTCTAGATGAGCTGAGTCACATGGCCTCGTGAGTGCTACGCAGGCCACTCAGATGGCATCTGGAGAGAGAGGCTTGCCAGCCGGTGTCTGTAAGACCTTGTGCAGGATGAGAATGACATCTTCTCTCTCCTGCCTCTGCAGACAGAGTAACCGAACGGTGCGCGTGACCCAGGAATTCCTGGAGTACCACGTCAACGGGGATGTGAAACAGGGCCCCATTTCCGATAACTACCTGTTCACACCGGGCAAGGCCGCGGTGCCTGCGTGGGAAGCTGTGGAAATGGAGATTGTGGCGGGACAGCTTGTGACTGAGATCCGGCAGTACTTCTACAGGTGCTTCCCCTGGGGTGACCCCCACAGCCCGGCACACAGTCAGCGCACGCGTGCAGGCAGCTCAGTGAATGAGGGTCTGTCTTTGCTCTGAACCCCAGCTTCCGGGCCGTGGTTGACACGTGGTCTGATGAAGAAATGAATTGCTCTGGTGTCTGCATGCTGGCTGCGTTTGCGTGTGCTGTGTCACGTTGGTTGGGAGCTAAGTTCAGAGCTGGGAGAGAGACCCACAGACCCTGGGGCCCACAGAGCACCTGTTCTTCCATGATCAGAGCAGACGTAAGGCAGGCCCGGCATGGCAGCCCTGCGGTGTCGGGGAACCAGGCTGCTCCCAGCCGCTCGGGGTCCTGGGTGGTGCTATTGTCCACATGGCCCAAGAAGGCTCCCTGCCTTTCGGCGTACCCTGCCCTGCCCACCCTGCCCACATGAAGGAAGGGAAGCAAAAAGGAAGCATCTAGAAGGTTCCTGGAGCTTCACTTACTGATGCTCCCTTCTCCTCCAGGAACATGACAGCACAGAATTACACGTATGCAATCCGCTCCCGGCTCACCCATGTGCCGCAGGGCCATGACGGGGAGCTGCTCTGCCACCGGATAGAGCAGGAGTACCAAGCCGGCCCCCTGGAGCTGAACCGTGAGGCTGTCCTGAGGACCAGCACCAACCTAAACAGCCAGCAGGTCATCTACTCAGACAACAACGGCTACCAGATGCAGCGGAGGCCCTACGTTTCCTATGTGAACAACAGCATCGCCCGGGTATGTCCTGCAATGCCCACAAGGCACGCTCCCAATGGCGCCTTTCCTGGACCCATTAAGCATCAAATTGCAGCAGTAGAGGCCAGTAGAGGCCTCCAGTGAGAATGTTTTTTTCCTTTTTTTTAAGATGGAGTCTCACTCTGTCACCCAGGCTGGGGCGCAATGGAGCGATCTTGGCTCACTGCAACCTCTGCCTCCCAGGTTCAAGCGATTCTCCTGCCTCAGCCTCCCGAGTAGCTGGGATTACAGCCGCCTGCCACCATGCCCAGCTAATTTTTATATTTTTAGTAGAGATGGGGTTTCACAATGATGGCCAGGCTGGTCTTGAACGCCTGACCTCAGATGATCCACCCGCCTCAGCCTCCCAAAGTGCTGGGATTACAGGTGTGAGCCACCGCGCCCGGCCTCCAGAGAGAATTCTTTTAAAGCCTGTGTATCTGCCCGTTCAGGGCTTGAGCGTGCAGGCTGTGAGTCAGACTGGTGTCTGAATTCTGGTGCTACCACAGACAAGAATAGTATGTGCCTTGGCTTGTGCCTCGGTTTCCTCTCCTGTAAAATGGCTCCTTCATCAAAGGGTCATTCTGAGGATCCATGAGATGATGCGTGGCCAGGGCTTGGCCAGGGCCTGCACCCATGTCAGCTGAGCTGTATGCTAGGAAGCCACAGAGCTGGTGTCTGAACCCCAGTCTGTTGGTCTCCAAAGTCAGGGTCCCAGCCCCATGCTGCTGCTGTGCCTATGGGGAGCACCAGCTGGGGTGGCCAGAGGGTGATGCCTGACCTACCTTGCCCTTTGCCCCAATCGCCCACCTGGCGATGTTTCTGTCTGCAGAATTACTACCCCATGGTTCAGTCGGCCTTCATGGAGGATGGCAAAAGCAGGCTTGTGTTGCTGTCGGAGCGGGCACATGGCATCTCCAGCCAAGGGAATGGGCAGGTGGAGGTAGGAGGCACGGTCTGTCCTACAGCAGCCCCTCGCGGCCCCCTACAGGCATGCCCAGGTGCAAGCCGGGCCTCTCGGACAATGCCTTCCCGCAGGTCATGCTCCACCGGCGGCTGTGGAACAACTTCGACTGGGACCTGGGCTACAACCTCACGCTGAACGACACCTCAGTCGTCCACCCAGTGCTCTGGCTTCTGCTGGGATCCTGGTCCCTCACCACTGCCCTGCGCCAGAGGAGCGCACTGGCGCTGCAGCACAGGCCCGTGGTGCTGTTCGGAGACCTCGCTGGTAAAGGGGCACCCTTTCAGAGTAACATCATCACTGCCTCAGCACCAGCCAGGCCAGGGCGGGCCTTGGGAGGGGCCTGTGCCCTCATGACTCTGGGCAGCTTTTGGGCAGGAAGCGACCTCAGGGACCTCTAGCCCAAGCCCCTCATTTAACAGATGGGCAAACTGAGGGCAAACAGTGGCTCACTTAAGGTCATACAACTAGGAGGTACAGAGCTGGGACTCACCCATTTCACCATATGCCTCTTCCCTGTATCTTCTCCATTTTCTTCTCTGATGTATCTTTTCCTTTCTTAATATGACATTATGTCACCATGTCACTTTAGGTCTGGAGGCTTAGCATTTAAAAGACTGGTTTGTTAGCTGGGCATGGTGGCGCATGCCTGTAATCCTGTAATGCCAGCTACACGGGAGACTGAGGCAGGAGAATCGCTTGAACCCGGGAGGCAGAGGTTGCAGGGAGCTGAGATTGCACCGTTGCACCCCAGCCTGGGTGGCAAAGCGAGACTCTGTCTCAAAAGTAAAAATAAAAGACAAGTTGGGTCTGAATCTAGGTGTGCTGTCACCAGGTGGGGGTCTTTCTAATCTATAGTCTAACCTAAAGGACTTATTCTGTACCTCCACTGAGCTTCTGTAGATCAGATCAACAACCATGTAGTTCTGTGTCTCTATAAAGTAGCAGAACATGAGAAACATTAAACAATGATTACATTTAAAGATGGTCTTTTGGAGCTGCAAGACCTAGATACAATTTGCTGCCATTCTCACTAATCCTTAAACTCTTTTCTTTTTCTACTCACCTATGGAGGTTTTGATTAGCATGTGCTTTTAAGGTTCTCCCTGCTTTGGTTTTAGAGCCAGAACCCAGGGCAGTAGCCAGCAGGCAGGCTGTCACTCACCCATGCAACAAGCATATACTGAGCACTTGCAGTGTGCCTGTGCCATACACTGGAGATGCAGAAGAGCAGCCCGGACCCAGGAGAGTTTTCCTGGGCTGTTGGACAGGGGAGGCATGCTCGTATAGAGCCAGGATTCAGGGTGGAGAAGGAGCCATGCCATAGAGGGCCTGGTGTTTCGTGGGTGTAGAGGAGTGTGAGACCACAGCTGGGAGGAGGTCAGGGATCAGGTCCAGGGGGTGTCAATTAAGGTTCTTTGGAAGTAACAGAGCCTGAAGGGGCAGCTATTTGGGCAGAGCCTGGAGAAGCTCATGGAATCTAAGGAGGAGCTGGATACAAGGTCCAGACAGGCATGGGGCAGGGCAGCTCTAGGCATATCAGGAGCAGAGGCTCACAGCCATGTCTCCCAGGACGGCCATTGAGCCACCTCTGGTTCCCTTGCTTCAGATTCCCAGAAGAGGAAATCTGATTGGCCTAGCAGGGTCAGGTTCTGCTCCCAGACCAGTCAGTGGTTCCTTCTGTGTAGCTGGGGCTTTTCCTGCAAAGGGAGATGAGGCCATGTCTGAGAAAGCCCCATGGCTGTTGTCAGCTCCATCCCACCTGGCCTCACTCTGGTCTCTGTTGGTTGCAAGTAACGGAAACCCAACTTGAACTAGCTGAGCCCCCAGGGAGAGTGTATGGTGAGGCCCACATAACCAAGGGAAGGGCAGGGTGTAATTGGGCCTCAGGGCCTGGAGCCCTCGTGAGGCTGTCCTTGTTCGTCTCTCACCTGCACTTCTCTCTGTCTGCAGACTTTCCTTCACCTCCCACCTGGGATGTGACTCTGAACAGCTCTGGGGCTGCTCTCAAAGAGCAGCTCTGTCTTCCCCACTCAAAAGGACCTAAGACTTGGACTTTCCAGTTCCAAGTGCAAAAGTCCTAGGGAAAGATTCTGATTGGTCCTACTGGGGTCAGGTGGCCCATGCCTGGACCAATCAGCATGGCCTGGGGTATTGTAAGAAGATGGTAGCTCCAGCTGAACATCTAGACCTGAAAGGAGTAGGGGCTGAGGTGCCTTCTGAGCAGAGAGACCAGTAGATGACAAAACAGGGGTGGAACTGGCATCCCAGATCTTGAGTAGAAAACAGGGTTCTGGCCGGACATGGTGGCTCACACTTGTAATCCCAGCACTTCGGGAGGGCAAGACGGGAGGATCTCTTAAGCCCAGGAGTTTAAGACTAGCCTGTGAGACCCTGTCTCTACAAAAAAATTTTTAAAAATTGGCCAGGGTGGTGGCCCATAGTCCCAGCTACTTGGGAGGCTGAGGTGGGAGGATAGTTTGAGCTCAGGAGTTTGAGACTGCAGTGAGCTGTGATTGCACCACTGCACTCTGGCCTGAGTGACACAGCAAGTCCCTATCTACAAGGAAGGAAGGAAGGAAGGGAGGGAGGGGAATGGAATGGAAGGGAGGGGAGGGGAGGGGAGGGAAAAGAAGAGAGGGATGGAAGGAAGGAAAGAAGGGAGGAAGGAAGGAGGGAAGGAAGGAAGGAAGTGAGGGAGGGAGGGGAAGGGAAGGGAACGGAAGGGAGGGGACGGGAGGGAAAAGAAAAGAAGAGAGGGAGGGAAGGAAGGAAAGAAGGAAGAAAGGAAGAGGGAGGAGGAAGGAAGGAAGGAAGGAAAAAAGAGGGAGGGAGGAAGAAGGAAGGAAAAAAACGAAGGAAGAAAGGAGAGAGAGAGGAGAGGGCTGTGCCTGAACTTGCCTTGTTATCTTGAATAAGCTTTGTGCCCTCTGAGCTCTTTCCTCGTCTCTACTTTGAGATGGTTAGGCTGAGGAGAGTCAGGGTCCTCCCAGCTCTTAAGCTCTATGGTCTGAGCAAAGGCAGGGAAGTGGAGGCCTGGGGCATTGGGAGCACAAACACTTTGGGCTGGTGCGGGGTAGGCTACCCACAAGGATGCATGGGAAGTGGCTGGCAGGGGCAGGGGCATGTAATGTGCAGAGCTCTGAGTGCCAGGAGGAGGAGTTGAGCCCCAAACCCTCTCCTCACTCTGTCCATCTGCCTTGCAGGGACTGCGCCGAAGCTCCCAGGACCCCAGCAGCAAGAGGCCGTGACGCTGCCCCCGAATCTTCACCTGCAGATCCTGAGCATCCCTGGCTGGCGCTACAGCTCCAACCACACGGAGCACTCTCAGAATCTCCGGAAAGGTGAGGCAGGTGCCCTGGCGTCTCAGACCTGCTCCTCCCTCCCTGAGTCAAACAGGCCACCGGGCCCACCACCAGACAGGGGCTCACCTTAGAGCTATCATGGCTCTGCAAGGTCACCTGGTTTCTTATCTGGCACATGGGGAGAGTGAGGCCCAGGGAGAGTCAGTGATCAGTCACTTGGCAAGCTGGAGGCGAGGTGGGCCTGGCCCCCAGCCCTGTGACCCCAGCGCATTCTGAATGGATCCCTCTCAGCCTGCCACCCCCAGCTGAGACTAAGGAACTAGTTAAAGTCCCCCTGACCCCCAGGTTGCCTGCCAGTCCTACTTCTTCCAGGGAAACCTCCTGGAGCCCCCAAACACCCAAATTCCCACTCATCCTCCAAGTTCAGGCAGCCTAACTCTTGGGAGTTTCCACTCACTCATTCAACAGCACGTCTCGTGCCAGGCTCCGGGGAATGAGCAATGACCAAGGTGGGCAAGGTCCTGGCTTTCTGAGCGCTTGGTCTAGAGCAGAAGCAATCAAGTCACCAGGCAGTAATGACAAGGACAAGAGGAATCCCCCTGCACAGCATGATGGGGGGCTCCCCGAGGAGGCGACACCTGCTGGGAACTGACTTGTCCTGTTGCCAGAGCCCCAGCTGCACCTCCTCTGCCCCCTCTACACCGTGAGCAGTGGAAAGGCAGGGTCAGACTGTGCCTCAGCCATCCTCAGGTCCCCAAGGCCTGGCACACCTGCAGAATTAAGAATACGAGGAAAAGGGTGGGGCGCAGTGGCTCACACCTGGAATCCCAGCACTTAGGGGATCCGAGGCAGGCGGATTGCTTGAGCCCAGGAGTTCAAGACCAGCCTGGGCAGCATAGGAAGATCCTGTGTCTATAAAAATAAAAATAGAAAAGTTCTCTGGTCATGGTGGCGTGTGCCTGAGCCTGCTTTCCCAGGCACCTGCAGCCGCCTTGTGAAATGGGATCCCTCACCATTCCTGCTGTGTGGGACACAGGAGGCCTTCCCTGACTTTGGAGCTGGAACTCCTCACCACCACACCAGGAGATGTAGAAGCACTTTCACAAACCTCTTGGCTTTTGTGATCTTGGGCAGTCATTCCCCTGTGCCATTCTGAAAACCAGCTACCCCATAGCCCCATGATAGCTTCTTAAAAATGGGCCAGGCAAGGTGGCTCACATCTGTAATGCCAGCACTTTGGGAGGCCGAGGTAGCAGGATCACTTCAGGCCAGGAGTTCGAGACCAGCCTGGGCAACATAGCTAGACTCTGTCTCTACAAAAAAAAATTAAAAAATTAGGCGGGTGTGGTGATGCTTGCCTGTGGTCCCAGCTACTCAGGAGGCTGAGGTGAAAGGATCACTTGAGGCCAGGAGTTCAAGGCTGCAGTGAGCTGTAATCATGCTACAGCACTCCAGCCTGGGCAACAGAGCAAGACCCTGTCTCTAAAAAAATTTTTTTTTTCTTTGAGACAGAGTCTCAATCTGTTGCCCAGGCTGGAGTGCAGTGGTGTGATCTTGGCTCACTGCAACCTCCACCACCCAGGTTCAAGCAATTCTCCTACCTCAGCCTCCCGAGTAGCTGGGATTACAGGTGCCCACCACCATGCCCAGCTAATTTTTGTATTTTTAATAGAGACAGGGTTTCACTGTGCTGACCAGGCTGGTCTCAAACTCCTGACAGCAGGCAATCCGCCCTCCTTGGCCTCCCAAAGTGCTGCGATTACAGGTGTGAGCCACCACACCCTGCCAAAATTTTTTTTTTAATACTGATGCCTCAATTCTAATCCCAGACAGATTGATTTAGTCAGCTTTGAGGCATAGCTGCAGAGCTGAGGTTCTACCAGCCAGGGTTTAGGAAGCACCTGTGTTAACCAGGTCCTCTCTCCAGGACCTTGAACTCAGTGCTTTCCTCTGAGCCTCGGTCTTCCCATCTGTAAAACGGGAGCAATGGCAATGAGCCTTTCTGAGTGGGAAGATCAGGGATGGGACAGGAGATCACATACATCATGTGGCAAATGACAGCATTATATCAGTCAGGGTGGCTGGCGTATGCTGCAGTAACAAAGAGCCCCGAATGCCCACGGTCTTAACAGTATATATTCATTTCTCCCCCATGCTGTGCATCCAGTGGGGTTAGCAGGAAGGTTTTTCTTGCTGTGGCCACCACGCCCCCCGCTGATGGAGTTTGTATTGCAGCACGTGCTTCCTCACTCACCATGGCAAGAAAAAGCTTCTGCCGGGAAGTACTGCGTCACTTCAGCTCACTTTGCATTGGCCACAGAGGCCACGCAGCCTCCCCTGACTTCAAAGGGGGCAGGGTAGGAGAGACTGGAGTATTTGAGGACATGCCCCAATATGCCCACAACAGTGGACGAGGATGGAAACATTGCAGCTGGTGTCATGGTGGGCAGCCTTACAGTCGGCCAGACCTGGGTGGGAATCCTCCCTCTGCCGCGCACCAGCTGTATGCCTTGGGCACGTGACTGCCCCTCTCTGAGCCTTGGTTTCCTTGTCGAGTGGGGGCCATGTCAGCTGTCTCACATGGAGTCTATTAGTCTGTTCTCATGCTGCTCATAAAGACATACCCGAGACTGGGTAGTTTATGAAGAAAAAAGGTTTAATGGACTCACAGTTCCACCTGGATAGGGAGGCCTCACAATCATGGCAGAAGGCAAATGAGGAGCAAAGTCACGTCTTACATGGTGGCAGGCAAGAGAGCGTGTGCAGGGGAACTGCCCTTTACAAAATCATCAGGTCTCATGAGACTTATTCACTATCACAAGAACAGCACAGGAAAGACTCACCCCCATGATTCAATTACCTCCCACCAGGTCCCTCCCACAACATGTGGACATTATGGGAGCTACAATTCACGATGAGATTTGGTTGGGGACACAGCCAAACCATATCGAGGAGGTTACAGATAGGAAATGGAGCTGAGTGTGTAAAGCAGCGGGTATAGACCAGGGACATTGGGGTTGGTTGATGAGGGTCTTCACTGCCACCTTCCTTCTGTCCCCAAAGGCCATCGAGGGGAAGCCCAGGCTGACCTCCGCCGTGTCCTGCTGCGGCTCTACCACCTATATGAAGTGGGCGAGGACCCAGTCCTGTCTCAGCCAGTGACAGTGAATCTGGAGGTGAACTTCCCCACCCCCATCCAGACCATAAGCCAGGGAAGCAAACCCTAGATGAAGCCCCAAGAAACTGCCTTGGCAAAGAGATCCACGAGGGCTTCCTCCCAAATGGACGCTGGTATGGGCCCCACCCCGCCCTTCTTCATGGTCTTCTGGGTTTGTCAGGTATTACAACTGGCCTGGTTTTTTAGGGTTTTTTGTGTATATGTGAGACAGGATCTCACTCTGTTGCCCAGTCTGGGGTGCAGTGGCACAATCTCAGCTCACTGCAACCTCTGCCTCCCTGGCTCAAGTGATCCTCCCACCTCAACCTCCCAAGTAACTGGGATCACAGGGGCGCGCCACCACGATGGCTAAGTTTTTTTTTTTTTTTTTGAGACCGAGTTTCGCTCTCGTCCCCCAGGCTGGAGTGCAATGGTGCGCTCTCAGCTGGCTGCAACCTCCATCTCCCAGGTTCAAGTGATTCTCCTGCCTCAGCCTCCCGAGTAGCTGGGATTACAGGCATGTGCCACCACGCCCGGCTAATTTTTTTGTACTTTTAGTAGAGACAGGGTTTCTCCATGTTGGTCAGGCTGGTCACGAACCCCTGACTTCAGGTGATCCACCTGCCTCGGCCTCGCAAAGTGCTGGGATTACAGGCGTGAGCCACCAAGCCTGGCCTAGTTTTTTTATTTTTAGTAGAGACACGGTCTTGCTGTGTTGCTCAGGCTGGTCTCGAACGTCTGGCCTCAAGCAATCTGCCTGTCTTAGCCTCCTGAAGTGCTGGGATTACAGGCGTGAGTGGCCTGTATTTTCTTTCTTATTTATTCTGTGGTAAAACTTTTAAAACACAGACAACATCTGTGTAATCCAAAAACAAAACAGATTCCCCATAGAGTTGCTTTGAAAGGTGACTTAGAGTCAGACAATCCAGGGTCCACACCCAGGCCCCTCTACGGGGGCATCTCCGGCACCCCATGCCTCTGGGCCTCAGTTTCCCCCCATGTAAAATGGGGAGAGGTGAGAGTTCTTTGCCCAGAAGGTTGCTGAGAGGCCCTGGCACTAAGGGGCCTCGTGCAGTGTCAGGGCCCCCAGGCCTCGTCCCCTTCCAGGTTCCCCTCTTGGCTGATGTTGCCCTCTCAGCTCTACTATCAGGCGAGGCTTCCGCCACCTGGCCTGCCCACGCTCCCTCCCCAGAAGGCATGACCTGAGCCGCCTCATTTCTTTCCCAGTTTGCATTCTTTCTATTTCATTTCCTGCTCATGGAGAATTTCTGTGAATCTCTGTGTTTCTGCCTTGGGCCTCCTTCGACATCTGAGTCTTCAGGGGAATCCAGAGAAGCCCCAGTACCTTTTCGCCATGATGTCTTACTGGGCCACCCACCTCCTCTTTCATGATCCTCGCCACGGAGGATCCTTTCCTCACGGTCCCTGGCCTGCCTGAGAGCAGGTCTAGGCCATGGCGGGTACCAGTGCCCAGCACAGGGCCAGCCTGCCCTGGGAAGCAAGGAGGCCAGCGTGGGACCTGGAAGTTGGTCATCTGATGCTCCCCCGTTTCACAGATGGAAGCACCAAGGCCCTGAGACAAGGAGACGGTTGGGATGGACACCATGACTCCCTGCCCAACGTGGACGGTGGTGGGGTGGAAAGACCATTGAGTTAGGAACGCAGTGAGTTTGGCTGCAAGTCACAAAACACCTAACAGATGTGCTTAGAACAGAGGACAGAGTGTTTTCTCACCGAACAGGCATGTCCGATGGACCCCAAGCGCTGTCACCGTGGGCCCGATCACTGTCATCTTCCCGCCATCGCCGGCAGACTGGCTTTTGTCTTTTGCCGTCTGCTTGTTTGCGGTCACAAGATGGCACAGGCCTCCCTCATGAGCAAATTTCAAGGCAGGGTAGGGCTCAGCAGTAGTGGCCAGAAAGGCCTTGCCCTAGCGTGGCTCTCTCCCTCCGTCAGCACACAGAAGCTTCTCCAAGAGCCACCCCCAGCCCTCCTGCTCCACAGACTTTTCCAGACCCCTAAGGGCCTCCTGCCTCCCCTAGGTGTAAGGGAGGCTGGGACAAGGCCTATTGGGAAAGGGGGATGGGGTAACTGTGGCTGGCTTCCTCCCTGGACTGGGCACGGGGCCACCTGAGCAATGTGGGGAGAGGAGAACTCCGCGGTGGGGTGGGCAGCTCAAAATGCCACACCTCCCGGGCTGCTCCTCCAGCTCGGCCACCTGGTAAAGCATGCACCTCCCGCTTCAGTGTCCTCATCTGTAAAGTACACGGCCAGTCCTGTCCTCGCAGATGTGCTGTGAGAAGCAGATGAGGGAGCTGTGTCAGGCACCAGGGGAGGACCTGGGCTCCTGAGGACACCGAGTTCGTGGTGTGTCTGCCCTGCTGCTGTCTTGGTTCTCTGCTCAGCTCTGGAACTTGGTGCAGCTCACTCTCCCTCTGCTCCTCTCCCTGCAGGCTGTGCTGCAGGCGCTGGGGTCCGTGGTGGCAGTGGAGGAGCGCTCGCTCACAGGGACCTGGGATTTGAGCATGCTGCACCGCTGGAGCTGGAGGACGGGGCCTGGCCGCCACAGAGGTTTGGGGACCCCCGCTTCAGCTCCCTACCCAGGACTCCCAGCCAGGCTCAGCAGCTGGTCAGACCCGGTGCACATCCAACCATCTGCCTGTCCCGGCCTGTGCGACCTTGCGAGGCTGCTTTCCTACTCTGAACCCGCAGCCCTCCCAAATCTACTACAGTCGGTTAAGAAAGGCTTTGGGTTAGTCTCTGCCTGCCAGGGCTCCACACAGGCGTGTGTGTGCACTTGTACGTGTGCACACGCAGACCACACGCCCTGCCTGTGCCCTGGGTGACAGCTAGGGGCCCAGGGGCTTCTGCCCACCTTGGCCCTGCTGACCTCAGCCCATCAGCCGGTCCCTGCCTCATACGACATGTGCCACCGTGAGCTCCTGCACTACAGGCAGCTTCCAGGCTCCACTCCCTGTCCGCACCATGCCCTCTGCCTGGGACGCACAGGTCCCATTCACTCTGGCCAGCACCTGCTCAAGCTCCCCAGGATGCCTCCCCAGAGTCACCAACCAGGCCAAGTGCCTCCTCCACTCTCCTGGCCCCAGGGGTTTCTTCTGTCCTGTGCAGCTCGTTGTCCACTACACACAGCATGGTGGCGGGTGCATGGTGCACGCTCAGTTGGTGGTGGGAGGAAGGAAGGGACGGAGGGAGGGAGGGAGGGAAGATGATGTTGGTTGGAAAGAAGGAAGGAAGATGGATGAGTGATAGATAAGTGGACGGCTCCCTCCCAAGATCGAAGCCCAACCCCAGGGCATGCCTTCAGGGGAGCCTGGTGAGGCAAGGGCAGACTCACCAGATGGTCTCAGAAAGCTCTTGGGCTTTGAGGGCAACACCCATGAGGAATTGAGGCCACTAGGGCCAGGACCAACCTATGAATTGCCCTCAGGGTGGGCAGAAACGCCAAGAGGCCCACAGGAGTCCTGGCAGAAGGGGATGCCATAGGCCGTTGCCACGGTGGGAGCCACAGCAGACTGTAGCCAGGTGCAGTGTGGTGAGAAGGAGGCTGGGAGCCACAGCAGATTGTAGACAGGTGCAGGAGGGTGAGAGGGAGGCTGGGAGCCACAGCAGACTGTAGACAGGTGCAGGGGGTGAGAGGGAGGCTGGGAGGAGGCATCCCAGGCCACACTGGACAGATCACCTCTGTTCCCCTAGGTGACACCACCTCTCCCTCGAGGCCACCAGGAGGCCCCATCATCACCGTCCACCCAAAGGAAATCCGGACGTTCTTTATTCACTTTCAACAGCAGTGAGCCCTGGGCAGATGCCCCGGCCCCAGGGCTTCCCCCAGGAACTCCATGTAACAGAACAGACCCAGGACAGGGAAAAGCAGTGCGGAGGGATGGGACTGGGGAGTCAGCTGCTCATCTGCAGGCTAATGGCAGGAAATGGTCATATTTGGGGTTTTTCCCTAATTTTTTTAAACAAAAATTACATTACAAGATCCAGGTTCTTCCCCCCCACACTCAATCAAGCCAGCCCTCTCCTCTTCTGTCACGTAAAGGATATTTGGCACACTCATGCGTCATTCATTCACAAAACACAAACCCAGGACTTTCTGCCTAAGGCAGAGCACAAGACTCACAGCAGCACCGAAGCGCATCTGCCGTCCGGGCCCTGCCAGGCTTGCCAGGCTGCCAGTGGTAACTGTGGACCTACTGCGTGCCACGTGTTTTCATAGACTCATCCCATGCTGGCAACAGCCCTGCAAGGGGCTTGGCTCTGCCACAGGGCAGGAGAGGAAGTTGTAGCGCCTAGCGAGAGTTCCAGCCCCAGACGCCCACCTGTGCCTCAGGGCACCGCCTGCCGAGCAGAGAAGGCACAGCAGCCGTCAGAGTCCATGAGAGGTGAAACCACACAGCAGGGATGTCCAATATCAGAACTATTAATATCAATAAAAGTATAACCTTCCCAGGTCTATGCCCAAGAGAATTGAAAACATCCATCCACACAATACCTGTGCTCCCGCGTTCATAGCAGCATTACTCAAAAGTCAAACGGTAGCAACAACCCAAATGTCCATCCACAGATGAATTAAGACATGAAGTGTGTTCTGTCCATACAATGGAATATTATTTGGCCATAAAAAGGAAGGAAATTCTGACGCATGCCACAGCCTGAGTGAATCCTACAAATATTACGCTAAGTGAAAGAAGCCAATCACGAGTTTATGTGAAATGTCCAGAATAGGCAAATCTGTGTATCAGAGACAAAGCACATTGGTGGTTGCCAGGTACTGGAGGAAGAGAGAAGAGGCATGACAGCTAACAGGGACGGGCTTTCTTTGGAAGATGATGAAATTGTGGAATGATGGTTGCACAACTTTGTGAATATACTAGAAACCAATGAATTAAAAACTTTGGAAGATGAATTTTATGGTCTGTGAATTATATCTCAATTTTAAAACTTTTTTTTTTTTTTCCCGAGACAGAGTCTCACTCTGTCGCCCAGGCTGGAGTGCAGTGTCAAGATCTCAGCTCACTGCGACCTGCACCTCCTGGGTTCAAGCAATTCTCCAGCCTCTGCCTCCCGAGTAGCTGCTACTAGAGATGCACCACTGCGTCAGCTAATTTTTGTATTTTTAGTAGAGACGGGGATTCACCATGTTGGCCAGGCTGATCTGGAACTCCTGACCTCAGGTGATCTGCCTGCCCCGGCCTCCCAAAGTGCCAGGATTACAGGCGTGAGCCAATGTGCCCGGCCTAAACCGTTTTAAAGAGTAAACTGTAAGATGTAGGAAATTATTTGGTACTCTAGGGCTGAAGGAAAGTACCCAGAAAGGACCAGCTTGGAAGGAGTCAGACCTCTGGACAACGTGCAGTTTGGCCACCAGACAGCAAAGACAGTCTCTGGTTTGGCCAGGCAGGAGCTGGGCTGGAGTTGCTGACCAAGCAATAGGCCACCCCTGTGAGGTGGGGTCAGGTGAGCAGCCACCAGAGGCATGGATGTGCAGTGGGAGGTTGAGGCACAAGGAGTGAGGCAGGAGCCCTTTAGAGCATGTGGGCTGCATGAGGCTTGGTTTCTGTGTCAAGAAGACTATGGAGGCTGGGCAGTGGTTCATGCCTTAATCCCAGCACTTTGGGAGGCCAAAGCAACCGGATCACTGGTGGTCAGTAGTTCAAGACCAGGCTGGCCAACATGGTGAAACCCCATCTCTACTAAAAATACAAAGTTAACCGGGTGTGGTGGTGTGCGCCTGTAGTCCCAGCTACTCGGGAGGCTGAGGCAGGAGAATCAATCACTTGAACCTGGGAGGCGGAGGAGACCTCCGCCTCTGCACTCCAGCCTGGGTGACAAGAGTGAGACTCCGTCTCAAAAAAAAAAAAAAAAGGAAGACTACGGAGGCCAGGCGTGGTGGTTCATGCCTGAAATTCCAACACGCTGGGAGCCCTAGGCAGAAGGATCGCTTGAGCCCAGGTGTTCCAGACCAGCCTCGGCAATATAGTGAGACCCCATCTCTACAAAAACTATTCTTTAGACGAGCGTGGTGGTGTGCACCAGTGGTCCCAGCTACTCTGGGGGCTGAGGTGGGAGGCTCACTTGAGCCCAGGAGGTCGAGGCTTCAGTGAGCCATGATCATGCCACTAACTCCAACCGGGGTAATAGAGCAAGACCCTGTCTCAGAAAAAAATAAAGAAGACTATGGAAATGTTATCCCCAGCGCAGCCAGGCTGTAGAAAAATCATGTGCACTGAAAGTACCATCACCCATGCTGACCATCCCCGTCCAGAACAGAAACAGCAAGAGAGCCACTTCCCCCTGCGGTCCCTCCAGCACCCAGCACCCTCAACTGGGAAGAGTGAGAAGAATATAGATGACAGGGGAAAACCCACCCACAATAGACAGAATATTGGCTAAAATCTAACATCCATTTGTTGCTTTGTTGTTATTTCATTTCATTTTACTTTTTTAGACACAGGGTCTCGCTCTGTCACCCAGGTGGGAGTGCAGTGGCACTATCATAGCTCACTGGAACCTCTTAACTCCTGGGCTCAAGTAGTCCTCCCATCCCACCCTCCTGAGTAGCTGGGACTACAAGCATGAGTCACTACACCCAACTAATTTTTAAAATGTTTGTGGAGACGCAGTCTCACTATGTTGCCCAAGCTGGTCTTGAACTCCTGAGCTCAAGCGATCCTCCCACCTAGGCCTCCCAAAGTGCTGGGATTACAGGCTCAAGCCACTGTGAATGGCCTGTTTTTTGTTGTTGTTGTTTGTTTTTTTTTTTTTTTTTTTTTTTTTTTTACAAACCACCACCACCAAACTCCCAATAAACTACGTTGCTCACTGACAATCCCCAACAGGTTTATTGCGGAACTTGACAGGATGATTCTGAAGTGCACTGGGGCTAGGTACAGTGGTTCGTGCCTGTAATCCCAGCACTTTGGGAGGCCAAGGTGGGTGGATCACTAGAGGCCAGGAGTTCGAGACCAGGCTGGCCAACATAGTGAAACCCCCTCTCTAAAAAAATACAAAAATTAGCCAGGCTTAGTGGCAGACGACTGTAATCCCAGCACTTTGGGAGGCCGAGGCGGGCTGATCACCTAAGGTCAGGAGTTCGAGACCAGCCTGACCAACATGGAGAAACCCCGTCTCTACTAAACATACAAAATTAGCCGGGCATGGTGGTGGGCACCTGTAATCCCAGCTACCCGGGAGGCTGAGGCAGGAGAATCTCTTGAACCCAGAAGGCGGAGATTGCGGTGAGCCGAGATCGTGCCACTGCGCTCCAGCCTGGGCGACAAGAGCGAAACTCTGTCTCAAAAAAAAAAAAACACACACACACACACACACACAAGTGCACATCTTCGTCCGTTTGGGCTGCTGTCATAGAATCCCGTACACTTTGGGAGGCCAAGGTGGGCGGATCACAAGGTCAGGAGATCGAGACCACAGTGAAACCCCGTCTCTACTAAAAATACAAAAAATTAGCCGGGCGTGGTGGCGGGCGGCCTGTAGTCCCAGCTACTCGGGAGGCTGAGGCAGAAGAATGGCGGGAACCCGGGAGGCGGAGCTTGCAGTGAACCGAGATTGTGCCACTGCACTCCAGCCTGGGTGACAGAGCGAGACTCCGTCTCAAAAAAAAAAAAGAATACCATACACTGAGTGGCTTATCAACAACAGGAATTTATTTCTCCCAATTCTGGATGCTGGGAGTCCAAGGTGCCAGCAGATTCGGTGTCTGGGGAGGGGCTGTTTCCTGGTCTATAGATGGTGCCGTCTTGCTCCGTCCTCACATGGCAGAAGGGGCAAGGCAGCTCTCTGGGCTCGGTTTCTAGGAGGGTGCTAATATAACAGTACTGAGTCTACCTTAAAGAAAAATTGTGTTTGCTTGAGTATAATTACAGCTTTGCTTACGCTTACACACTATTCATTAAAAACAGCCTCAGGGAAAGAGGACCTTCAGCAGAGATAAGAGAGAAGTGCACTGACCAGCAATCCTGGAAGCGGCTAGCCGCAGGTTTCCACCCACCAGATGAGAATAGTTGGGCTGAGGTCGAGGCAGGAGGATCACGTAAGTCCAAAAGTTTGAGACCAGCCTGGGCAAAATAGGGAGACCCCGTCTCTATAAATAGTAACAAAATTTAAGTAGGTGTGGCACACGCCTGTAGTCCCAGCTACTCAGGAGGCTGAGGTGGAAGGATCCCCTGAGCCAGTGAAGTCAAGGCTGCAATGAGCCATGCCTGGGCAACAGAGTGAGACTGTCCAAAAAAAAAGCAAAACTAAGACTAATCTGGCTGGCCTGGTGCAGCCAGCACTTTGGGAGGCTGAGGGGGAGAGATCATTTGAGCCCAGGAGTTGGAGACCAGCCTGGGCAACTTGGTAAAACCCAATCTCTAAAAAAAATTTTAAAATTAGCCAGGTGTGATGGTGCGTGCCTTTAGTCCCAGCTACTGTAGAGGGTGAGGTGGGAGGATCACCTGAACCTGGGGAGGTCAAGGCTACAGTAAGCCGTGATCATGCTACTGCACTCCAGCCTGGGCAACAGAATGAAACCCTGTTCCAAAAAAAAAAAAAAAAAAAAAAAAAAAAAAAATAGCTGCACTTGCAAAAGGTCACATGACATCCCCGCAAGACAGCAATCGTAACTACCTGCCTGAGACTGCGCACATAGCTGCTGTTCCACAAGAATGCTTTGATCATCATTCGCACTTCCCCAGATTTCCCTTAAAAACGTGCATCTGGAGACACAACTTGGAGAGGTGATCTTTGAACACAAGAGTTCAGTGCCCCTGCCCCCACCTCCCAAGCTGCTGGCTTCTCGAATAAAGCTACCTTTCCTTTTACCAAAACTTGTCTCTCGAATGTCGGCGAGTGAGTGGCCTGAACCCGAGTTCAGTTACACTAATCCCCATAACCTAATCACCTCCCAACATCCCCACCTCCTAATACCATCAACTGGGGGATTAGGGTTCGGTATATGAATTTAGGGGGACAAAAACATTCAGACCAGAGCAAACAAAGAGCTCAGAAGCTGGACCGCGCACACGGAAGCTGATAGAAGAGAGATGGGGCCGGGCGCGGTGGCTCACGCCTGTAATCCCAGCACTTTGGGAGGTCGAAGCGGGTGGATCATCTGAGGTCGGGAGTTCGGGACTAGCCTGACCAACACGGAGAAACCCCGTCTCTACTAAAAATACAAAATTAGCCAGGTGTGGTGGTGCATGCCTGTAATCCTAGCTACTCAGGAAGGCTGAGGCAGGAGAATCGCTTGAACCCGGGAGGCGGAGGTTGCGATGAGCCAAGATCGCGCCACTGCACTCTAGCCTGGGCAACAAGAGCGAAACTCGGTCTCAAAAAAAAAAAAGAGCGAGATGGGGTGCCACATGGTGAGGAAGAATGTTGCATGGCAGAGGTGCTGTGACAACTCCCCCTCACTTGGAACAAAAAGAAACTTCACCCTCCCTCGCATCGTACGCAGACAGCCCCCAGCTGAAACCCCAGCGGTCAATACAGGCGTGAAAAGATGGTCAGCCTCCTTAGCATTCAGGTCTGTGCAAATGAAAACCACAATAAGACACTGTTTCACATCTGCCGTGTTTTCTATTTAAAAGATTAAAAATATGGGCAATTTTTTAGTGGACAATCATGGAAACTCTCTCAGACTTCTAATGTGAGAGTAAACAGAAGGAGCAAACTTAAGAAACTAGTTCCATGTTATCTTCTAAAGTTAAAGATACTCATGCTCTAGACCCAGCAATTCTGTTCTAGGTATGTAAGCTAGAAAATGATGTTTGGCCAGGCGTGGTGGCTCACGCCTGTAATCCTAGCACTTTGGGAGGCCAAGGTGGGCAGATCACTTGAGGGAGGTCAGGAGTTTAAGACCAGCCTGGGCCAACATGGTGAAACCCCATCTCTACTAAAAAAAAAAAAAAAAAAAAAAAAAAAAAAGGCCGGGCGCCGTGGCTCATGCCTGTAATTCCAGCACTTTGGGAGGCTAAGGTGGGCGGATCACGAGGTCAGGAGATCGAGACCATCCTGGCTAACACGGTGAAACCCCGTCTCTACTAAAAATACAAAAAATTAGCCGGGTGTGGTGGCGGGCACCTGTAGTCCCAGCTACTCGGGAGGCTGAGGCAGGAGAATGGTGTGAACCCGGGAGGCGGAACTTGCAGTGAGCCGAGATCGCGCCACTGCACTCCAGCCTGGGCGAAAGAGCAAGACTCTGTCTCAAAAAATAAACAAATAAATAAATAAATAATAAAATAAAAAATTAGTTGGGTGTAATGGTGCATGCCTGTAGCCCCAGTTACTCGGGAGGCTGAGGCAAGAGAACTGCTTGAACCTGGGAGGCAGAGGTTGCAGTGAGCAGAGAGAACGCACCATGGCACTCCAGCTTGGGTGACAGAGTGAGACTCCATCTCAAAAAAAAAAAAAAGAAAAGAATCATGTTCGTGTGCACAAAAATATGTAAGACTGTTCAGTGGCATTGTTCATGATAGCTGTAAATGAAAACCATTCATAGGCCCCTTACCAGTGCTTGGATAGAGGCTGGTTTATTTGTACAAGAGAATACTACAGAACAGCAGGTCTCAAAGTGCGGTCCCCACACCAGTAGTGCCAGCATCACCTGGGGAGTTGTTAGAAACACAAAGTCTCAGGCCTTATCCCAGATCAAATAAATCAGAAACTGTAGGGATGGGCCCTGGAACATGTGTTTTAACAAATTTCCTGGGTTTTTCTGATGCACACTCAATTTTAACACTCACTGCCATAGAGCAATCAAAATGAGTGAACTATCCTTACCTGCATCAATACAGGTGAATCTCAGATAGAGAGACAGAGGTGATAGATGATAGATAGATAGATGATAGATAGATGTTAGATAGATGATAGATAGACTATATTGAGCAGAAGCAGCAATATACAAATGAATAACTATGATTCCATTTACATAAAGTTCAAAAGTGGGAAAGACTATACCGTATTCTTTATGATTGCATTCCTAGTGGATAAAACAACAAAGAAAGTGAAGAAATGACTGGCCAAGGCTGGGTACAGTGACTCTGTCCTGTAATTTTAGCACTTTGGGAGGCTAAGGTGGCAGATCACTTGAGCCCAGGAGTTCAAGACCAGCCTAAGCAACATGGCAAAACCCCATCTCTACAAAAAAAAAATAAACAACAGGTGGTGGTGGCACATGTCTGTAGTCCCAGCTACTCAGGAGGTTGAGGCAGGAGGATCGCTTGAGCCTGGGAGGTTGAGGCTGCAGTGAGCTGAGATCATGCCACTGCACTCCAGTCTGGGTGACAGAGAAAGACCCTGTTTCAAAAAAAAAAAAAGAAAAGAAAGAAGAGAAGCAAAGGGAGGGAAGGAGCAGGGAGGGGCTGAGAAGGGAGGGGAAGGGAGGGGAGGAAAGGGAAGGGAAGGGAAAGGAAAGGAAGTGAAGGGAAGGGAAGGGAAAGGAAACTAGAAGTCACAAGAGGGGTTACCTCCAGTGGGGCGAGGGAGATCTGAGTTAAGAAGGAACACACCTGGATTTCTAGGTGTGGCATGGTTTTATTTCCAGACTTAGTTGATTGTTAACAGTGAGTTTCTTTCATAGATGAAACTATATTGTATACACATATATATATATAAAATGTTTCTACTCAATTCTCTTATATATGATATACATGGTAAATGCACATGTATATAAGAGAATATAAACAATGTTATATATATGTTATTGTCACCAAAAAATATTAAAAAATTTAAAAGAAAAATGCAAAAATGTGAAATATATAAATGGAAAAAGATAAAACAAGTCCAAATTCACATCTTGTATCTAACAGCTCTTTTTATATAATCCAGACTGTACTTAGCTCAAACTGGCTTAAACAATACAAGGATGTTTTTGGTTGTGGCAGGGCTAGTTAGCTTTCTGCTGGCATCCATTCTTCCCCTCCATGATATAAATGACAGTTTTAGCTGAGAAGTGGCTTCCCAGACAGGGTCCACATTCCCCAGCTTTCCTTACATCCAAAGGAAGCATATGAATCCTTCTCACTAAGGTAATGAAAGAGAATGCCTCTGACCATTCCAACACCCCAGCTAAGACCCCAGACATGTGAGTGAGACCTTTTTGGGTTTTTCAGCCATTCCAGGTAGCAGCTCAACCCAGCAGAGTGAGTGACTCTAGGTGATAAACTATACATGAAGCAGAAGAACCAACCAGCTGAGGCCTGCCCGAACTCCTAACCCACAGAATTGTGACAAATGATTGTTATGGTGCTAAGTACCATAAGATTTGGGCCAGGTGTGGTGGCTCACACGTGTAATCCCAACACTTTGGGAGGCTAATGTGGGAGGATCACTTGAGCCCGGGAGTTCAAGACTAGCCTGGGCAACATGGTGGGACCTTGTCTCTTAAAAAAAAAAAAAAAAATTAGGCAGACATGGTGGTGCACACCTGTAGTCCCAGATGCTCAGGATGCTGAGGTGGGAGGATCACTTGAGCCTGGGAGTTCAAGGCTGCAGTGAGCCATGATCATGGCATTCCACTCCAGCCTGGGCAACAGACTTAGACCTGTCTCAAGAAAAAAATTTAGGGTGTCATGAACACAGCACTAGATAACTGAAATATATAACTTCTTTGTAAGTCATATTTATCATTACACAATGCTCCTCTTGTTTCGTATTTTAACCTTAAATTGTGCTTTATTCCTTAATTTTTATACATTCCTTGTCACTTCATTATAGGTGTGTTTCTTATATATAGCACATACCTTGATTTTAGGTTCTTTTTGTTTGTTTTTTTCGTGTTTTTTTTTTTTTTTTTTTTTTGAGACGGAGTCTCGCTCTGTTGTCCAGGCTGGAGTGCAGTGGCACCATCTCGGCTCATGGCAAGCTCCACCTCCAGGGTTCATGCCATTCTCCTGCCTCAGTCTCCCAAGTAGCTGGGACTAGAGGCACCTGCCACAACACCCGGCTAATTTTTGGTATTTTTAGTAGAGATGGGGTTTCACCATGTTAGCCAGGATGGTCTCGATCTCCTGACCTCGTGATCTGCCCGCCTCGGCCTCCCAAAGTGCTAGGATTACAGGCGTGAGCCACCGTGCCCAGCCATGATTGGATTTTATTAAATATTTGTTCCCTTTTCTATTTATAGTGCATTTTACTTCATTGTTTTCTCTCCTCATTTTCCCTTTTCTTTTCAATTTTCCAGAGTCCTATTTTATTCTCTTTTTTCTCCTCATTACTTTGAAAGTTCTACTAGTCTTTTCAATTTTTTTAGTAGTTTTGTTCTGGATTGTTTTAGGCATAATAATTACAAATAAGCCTCTATTTCCTTTCTGGAATAACAAAATAAAATAATCATCATCCTTCACCACCACAAAGATGGCTTTGTTGCCCACTCTCCTTCCTCTTTCTCCCATAGCAAGATAAAATCTTTGGACCATGTGTACATTCCCATTCTTCCCATCCATTTATAACTTCAGGCTTTGGTTTTGTCAAGCTATTCAAGTCTCTGGAGAAGCAGCAAACAGAAAGTGGAGGAAGCATGGCAGTTTAGACACTTCAGGCCCACAGCAAGCAAAGGGCAAAGGAGAGGAAGCCAGTCTGCTTATGACTTCCCTAGGGACGGACACCAGCTATTAGGCTCTTCAGGCTGATATAACAAATTACGCCAGACTGGATGGCTTAGACAACAAACATTTATTTCTCATAGTTCTTGAGCCCAGAAAGTCCAAGGGTAAGATGCTACCAGATCTGGAGGCTGGTGAGGACTGTCTTCCTGGTTTGCAAATGGCCATCTTTAAACTGAGTGGTTAATTTGATGAGATCTGCTTACCCTGCTTGCTTTGGGTCACTTGCTTTTTGTTATTTTTTCTTCCTTTTTCCATGAAGCTGAAGGCCACAGTAGCTGAAGTATGCATCACTGAATTCTAAAACTTAAACCTTTACTGACTACTGTATTTTTTATTTTACTTTTTAAGAAACAGGATCTCACTCTGTTGCCTAGGCTGGAGTGCAGTGGTATGTTCATAGCTCACTGAAGCCTCAAACTTCTGAGCTCAAGCAAACCTCCCACCTTGGTCCCCCAAAGTGCTGGGGTTACAGGCATGAGCCACTGCACCTGACCTTTACTGGCTACTTTATAGATAGCATTTATAGGTCACCATGGTAATGGTTACTTCAGTTATTTTTCAGGAACTTGGGCCAGCTCCTGTCATGTTCAAACCAGCTGAGACCACCAACTCTTCAACTGGGCCTGCGCAAGTGCCTGAGAGGTGGCCTTTGGACATCAGAGGGCCAAATACTCCACCCTCAGATCATGCTAACACCACCATTTTCTGTACATAGGTCCTATGAAATGTCATGAACCCTGACTACACTTGTGCAAAATGAATCTGTTACTTTATTTTTCCCCACTGCCAATCACCTTTCCCCAAGACTTAAACCACCCCACTTCTCTAACCCATAAATATCCCTAAGCCTTATTTTCAGAGAAGTGGATTTGAGAGCTGTTTTCCCACATCTTCACCTGGTGCCCTTGAGAATAAGTATCTTTTCTTTTGCAGAACCCATGTCATAGTGATTGATTTACTGCACATGGGCAGAACGGACCTGGACCTGGCCAGTAACAGTCTTCTTGTCGTAGCCTCACATGGCAGAAAGTAGAGAGTAAGACCTCTTGCATCTTTTCTTACAAGGCACTAATCCTGTGATAGGTACCCCACCCTCATGACCAAATCTAACCCTAATCACCACCCAAAGGCCTCATCTCCAAATACCATCTCATTAGTGGTTAGGATCTCAACATAAGAACTTGCAGGGGACACAAACATTCGGTCCATAGCACCAGGCTTCTCCCCATCTCAGGCGGTGGCACAGCTCAGCCTCTGCATCTGCTCCCAGGACCAGCAATGTTGAACAGGTGCCCCTAGTAGGGACAGGTGAGTCCCAAAATTGGGGCTGAGCCCAGGAGGGTTCTTGGCTTTACCCAGAAAAGAATTTCAGGGCAAGCCGGTGGTGTTAGCAACTTTTATTGAAGCGGCAGAGTACAGCAGCAGCAGAGGTATCACTCATTGGCAGAGCAGGGCTGCCCATAGCCAATGTGCCCAGAGTAGCAACTCAGAGGCAGTTCCACAGTCATATTTATACCTGCTTTTTTTTTTCCGGGCAGACTTTCACTCTGTCACCCAGGCTGGAATGCAGTGGCACAATCTCAGCTCAGTGCAACCTCCACCTCCTGAGTTCAAGCTATTCTCCTGCCTCAGCCTCCCCAGTAGCTGGAATTACAGGCACGTGTCACCACACCCAGCTAATTTTTGTTATTTTTAGTAGAGATGGGTTTTCGCCATGCTGGCCAGGCTGGTCTCAAACTCCTGACCTCAGGTGATCCGCCCGCCTCGGCCTCCCAAAGTGCTGGAATTACAAGTATGAGCCACCATGCCCGGCCTATACCCACTTTTAATTATGTGAAAATTAAGGGGGGAGATTATACAGAAATTTCTAGAAATAGGGTGGTAACTTCTGGGTCATAAGGCTGTTGTCATGGAAAGTGGCAGTAATGTCCGGGTGTTGTCAGTGGGCATGGATTCTGTAGAGGTGCTTTTACCTCTTCCCCTGTTTAGCTAGTCCTCAGACTGGTCTGATGTCTGAGCCCTGTCTCCAGAGTCCCGCCTCCTGCCGTCTCACTAGGACTACACATGTGCAGGCAGCTCTAATCCTTCCCTGGAGGCCGCCCAGGTGTCCAGGGGCTGTGCTGCCTCTGGGAATCATTAAAGGTCGCTCTGTGCCCAAAGCCTCTCACACTGGGCCCTCAGCATCACGTCCTCTCCCAAGAGGGAACAAAACAATCCCTTCTCTGCTCTACTCTGCAGAATTTACAGCTGAGCCATAGGACTGGGAGTTCCAATTCTTCCCCCATGTCGCCCTGCCTTTCATCACTTGGTCCAGGACAAACTGTTCTCCAATTTCCAGCCTGGGGAAAAGCAAGTTCTGCCTCATGGCAGCATTTACCAGCTGAAACGCCCTGGTTTTGTTTGCACCTGTGTTTGTTCTCAGGCTACAGCTAATGATGCCCTGGGGCTGCCCACAGTCAAACTGGTTTGCAAAATTGCATCTTTGACTTCAACAATTTCTAAAGAATCTCTAAATTTATAAATAATTCACTCAAGAGAAAGAAAAATGAATCCAGACAAACTCTGCAATGCACCAAAGAAATGGAATCTACATAGAGATTGCACTATAGGTGAATGAGGCAAAAACAGGAAGCTATTGCAACATTGGGGGAGGCGGGAGTTGGTGGATGTGCATAAAGTCCTGGTCCCAGCCTTACAGAATGCTCACTCTTCTCAAGCACACACACAGAGTGTGCTGCAATTGCCCAGGCCGAAATTTTTACAAATTTCAGAGAATCACTATCAAACCGAACTCCATCTCTAAGAAGAATACAATTAAGTTAGACATCAGTAATAGAAGAGCATAAACAGCTCTAATGTGGTTGAAATTTTTAAAACACAGTTTTGGGTTTTTTTTCTGGTTTTTGGTTTTTTGTTCATTTGAGACAGAGTTTCGCTCTTGTTGCCCAGGCTGGAGCGCAGTGGCACGATCTCGGCTCATTGCAACCTCCACCTCCTGGGTTCAAGCGATTCTCCTGCCTCAGCCTCCCAAGTAGCTGGGATGACAGGTGCCCATCACCACGCCTGGCTAATTTTTGTATTTTTAGTAGAGACAGAGTTTCGCCATGTTGGCCAAGCTGGCCTCAAACTCCTGTGATCTGCCTGCCTCGGCCTCCCAAAGTGCTGAGATGACGGGCATGATCCACTGCGCCTGGCCAAAGCACAGTTCTAATAATTTATGGATCAAGAAATCATAATTGGAATAAAAGTACACTTAGAACTAAATAATGAAAATGCCAATATCAAAAGCTGTGTGATGCAAGTAAAGTCATGCTTGATGGGAATTTAAGATCTTAAATGCTATGTTAGAAAAAAAAAACCCATTAATGAGTTGAGTTTCACCTAAGAAAATTTTTAAAAAGCACAGAATAAATCAAAGAAAGTAGAAAGGAGATAATAAAGATAAGAACAGAAATTAATGAAAGAGGCTGGGCATGGTGGCTCACTCCTGTAATCCCAACAATTTGGGAGGCCAAGGCAGGTGGATTGCTTGAGGTCAGGAGTTCAAGACCAGCCAGGCCAACATGGCAAAACCCCATCTCTACTAAAAATAAAAAAATTAGCTGGGTGTGGTGGTGGGTGCCTGTAATCCCAGCTACAGGAGGCTGAAGCAGAAGAACTGCTTGAACCCGGGAGGCAGAGGTTGCACTAAGCCGAGATCGCACCACCGCACTCCAACCTGGGCGACAGAGTGAAACTCTGTTTCAAAAAAAAAAGAAAAAGCAATTCGAAAGAAATAAATAAAAGAGAAAACAAAGAAACGCTAGCTCATCAGTCCCTGGATGCATGTTGTGCACCTGGCATTTCTGCCCTGCACAAGAACACCTGGAGGAGTGGGGCCCAATCTAACCTCACCCCAGGGAAGAGGTGCTGTTTTTGAACTCATCCACCTTTCGGGAGCCATTTGGTTTTTTGATGGGTTTATTTCCTCCCGTTTAAATAGCAGTTTAAAGCAGTTTTGGGTTCACAGCAGAAAGTATAGAGACCTCCCATACAACATCTGTTCCCCAACCTGCATACCCTCCCCTTCCCATCAACATCTCCCACACAGCGGTAAGTTTGTTGCAACTGATGCATCCACATTAATGCATCATAATCACCTGAAGTCCTTAGTTTACCTAAGTGCTCACTCTTGGTGCTGTACATTCTATGGGTTTGGATGAATGGATAACGACATGTGTCTACCATTATGGTATCATACAGAGTAGTTTCACCACTGCCGTAAAAATCCCGTGGCTCCCCCCATTCATCCCTCCCAATCCACTCAGATCTTTTTACCATCTCCAAAGTTTTACCTTTCCTAGAATGTCATACAGTTGGAAGTATACAATATGGAGTCTTTTCAGATTGACTTCACTTAAATAATATGCATTTTAGTTTCCTCCATGTCTTTTCATGGCTTGATGACACATTTCTTTTTAATGCTGATTAATATTCCACTGTCTGGATGTACCACAGTTTTTGTATCCATTCACCTATGGAAGGACATCTAGATTGCTTCCAAGTTTTGCCAACTACAGTTAAAGCTGGTAGACACGTCCACCTGCAGATTTCTGTGCGAGCCTAAGTTTCCAACTCATTTGGATAAATACCAAGGAATGTGATTGCTGGATCCTATTGTAAGAATATGGCTTAGTTTTGTAAGAAACTACCAAACTGTCTTCCAAAATGGCAGTATAATTTTGCATTCTCACGAGCAAGGAATAAAAGTTCCTGTTGATTCAAGTCCTCAACAGCATTTGGTGTTGTAGGTGTTCTGGATTTTGACTATTCTAATAGGTGCTTAGTAGTATCTCATTTTTGTTTGAGTCACTTATTTTTATTCATATAAAAAATGTATGAGCTAGCTGTCTCCGATATGTCAAGTGTGAACCCCAAATATCTAAGACATGCATCAGTCAATTAAGAAAGTTTATTATACGCAAATCAATAAATGTAATCCAGCATATAAACAGAACTAAAGACAAAAACCACATGATTATCTCAATAGATGCAGAAAAGGCCTTTGACAAAGTTCAACAACCCTTCATGCTAAAACTCGCAATAAATTCGGTATTGATGGGACGTATCTCAAAATAATAAGAGCTATCTATGACAAACCCACAGCCAATATCATAATGAATGGGCAAAAACTGGAAGCATTCCCTTTGAAAACTGGCACAAGACAGGGATGCCCTCTCTCACCACTCCTATTCAACATAGTGTTGGAAGTTCTGGCCAGGGCAATTAGGCAGGAGAAGGAAATAAAGGGTATTCAATTAGGAAAAGAGGAAGTCAAATTGTCCCTGTTTGCAGATGACATGATTGTATATCCAGAAAACCCCATTGTCTCAGCCCAAAATCTCCTTAAGCTGATAAGCAACTTCAGCAAAGTCTCAAGATACAAAATCAATGTACAAAAATCACAAGCATTCTTATACACCGATAACAGACAAACGGAGAGCCAAATCATGAGTGAACTCCCATTCACAATTGCTTCAAAGAGAATAAAATACTTAGGAATCCAACTTACAAGGGACGTGAAGGACCTCTTCAAGGAGAACTACAAACCACTGCTCAATGAAACAAAAGAGGATACAAACAAATGGAAGAACATTCCATGCTCATGGGTAGGAAGAATCAATATCGTGAAAATGGCCATACTGCCCAAGGTAATTTATACATTCAATGCCATCCCCATCAAGCTACCAATGACTTTCTTCACAGAATTGGAAAAAAACTACTTTAAAGTTCATATGGAACCAAAAAAGAGCCCGCATTGCCAAGTCAATCCTAAGCCAAAAGAACAAAGCTGGAGGCATCACGCTACCTGACTTCAAACTATACTACAAGGCTACAGTAACCAAAACAGCATGGTACTGGTACCAAAACAGAGATATAGATCAATGGAACAGAACAGAGCCCTCAAAAATAACGCCGCACATCTACAACTATCTGATCTTTGACAAACCTGAGAAAAACAAGCAATGGGGAAAGGATTCCCTATTTAATAAATGGTGCTGGGAAAACTGGCTAGCCATATGGAGAAAGCTGAAACTGGATCCCTTCCTTACACCTTACACAAAAATTAATTCAAGATGGATTAAAGACTTAAACGTTAGACCTAAAACCATAAAAACCCTAGAAGAAAACCTAGGCATTACCATTCAGGACATAGGCATGGGCAAGGACTTCATGTCTAAAACACCAAAAGCAATGGCAACTAAAGCCAAAATTGACAAATGGGATCTAATTAAACTAAAGAGCTTCTGCACAGCAAAAGAAACTACCATCAGAGTGAACAGGCAACCTACAAAATGGGAGAAAATTTTCGCAACCTACTCATCTGACAAAGGGCTAATATCCAGAATCTACAATGAACTCAAACACATTTATGAGAAAAAAACAAACAACCCCATCAAAAAGTGGGAGAAGGATATGAACAGACACTTCTCAAAAGAAGACATTTATGCAGCCAAAAGACACATGAAAAAATGCTCACCATCACTGGCCATCAGAGAAATGCAAATCAAAACCACAATGAGATACCATCTCACACCAGCTAGAATGGCAATCATTAAAAAGTCAGGAAACAACAGGTGCTGGAGAGGATGTGGAGAAATAGGAACACTTTTACACTGTTGGTGGGACTGTAAACTAGTTCAACCATTGTGAAAGTCAGTGTGGCGATTCCTCAGGGATCTAGAACTAGAAATACCATTTCACCCAGCCATCCCATTACTGGGTATATACCCAAAGGACTATAAATCATGCTGCTATAAAGACACATGCACACGTATGTTTATTGCGGCACTATTCACAATAGCAAAGACTTGGAACCAACCCAAATGTCCAACAATGATAGACAGGATTAAGAAAATGTGGCACATATACACCATGGAATACTATGCAGCCATAAAAAATGATGAGTTCATGTCCTTTGTAGGGACATGGATGAAATTGGAAATCATCATTCTCAGTAAACTATCGCAAGGACAAAAAACTAAACACCGCATGTTCTCACTCATAGATGGGAATTGAAAATGAGAACACATGGACACGGGAAGGGGAACATCACACTCTGGGGACTGTTGTGGGGTGGGGGGAGGGGGGAGGCATAGCATTAGGAGATATACCTAATGCTAAATGACGAGTTAATGGGTGTAGCACACCAGAATGGCACATGTATACATATGTAACTAACCAGCACATTGTGCACATGTACCCTAAAACTTAAAGTATAATAATAATAAAAAAAATGAAAGAAATGTGAAAAAAAAAAAGAAAGTTTATTTTGCCAAGGTTAAGGACACACACCCATGACATGGCCTCAGGAGGTCCTGATGACATGTGCCCAAGGTGGTTGGGGTACAGCTTAGTTTTATACATTTTAGGGAGACATGGGACATCAATCAATATATGTAAGATGTACATTGGTTTGGTCCAGACAGGCCAGACAACTTGAAGCAGGGCAGGGGCTTTCAGTTAATAGGTAGATAAGAGACAAACAGTTGCATTCTTTTGAGTTTCTGATTGGCCTTTCCAAAGGAGGCAGTCAGAGATGCATCTATCTCAGTGAGCAGATGGGTGGCTCCGAGTTCTGTCATTTGTCCACAAGGAATTTCCTTGTGAGGGAGGTAGGTAGCTTTTTAATCTTAGTAGCTATCTTTTTTAGGAATAGAATGGGAGGCAGGTTTGCCTGATGCAGTTCCCAGCTTGACTGTCCCCTTTGGTTTAGTGATTATGGGGTCCCAAGATTTATTTTCCTTTCACACAAGCCCCAAAGTTGGGTTTTTACAAGAGCAACCAAAATATTAAGAACCTGAGAAAAGTCAAAACAAAACATATACTTACGTTTCTCTGAATCCTTAATTCTGCTGTAGTCAAAACTGTGATGTGTCCCTTTACCTTGAAAATGGAAGCCAAATCCATGGGATTTATGTAAGCTGGATTTCTGAAAAGTTTATTGATGTTTGGGAATGGGACAACAAGCTAGGAAATTAACGTATCTCTCCTCATTCTGTGTTGAGTGGATGTTAAGGCAAATTTACCAATATGCGCCAAGCTCTGCCCAGGGCGTTAGGGCATTAAGGCCACAGAGCTAAGACCCCAAAGAGCCTAGGATCCAGTGGAAGGGCTCAGAGGCTCTGGACAGCGCCTTGCACCACACACTGAACATGGGTCTGCTGGGGCCTCAGGACGGAGCAGCCAGGCTCCACCTTGGGGTGTGGGGAGGCCGGTTTGGTGAAAAGACACCCAGACCCTTCTGACTGTCATCCAAGGAAGAAGGAAAACTACTCTTTAAAAAGGCAGAAAGGGCCAGGCGCACGGCTCATGCCTGTAATCTCTGCACTTTGGGAGGCCCGAAGTGGAAGGATCACTTGAGGCCAGAAGATCAAGGCTGCAGTGAGCCATGATCCCACCACTGGACTCCAGCCTGGGCGACAGACCGAGACCCTGCCTCAATAAAAAAAAAAAACTTTTTAAATAATAATAAGTAAATAAGGCCCGGCACGGTGGCTTACGCCTGTAATCCCAGCACTTTGGGAGGCCGAGGTGGATGGATCACGAGGTCAGGAGATCGAGACCATCCTGGCTAACACGGTGAAACCCCGTCTCTACTAAAAATACAAAAAATTAGCCGGGTGCGGTGGCAGGCGCCTGTAGTCCCAGCTACTCGCGAGGCTGAGGCAGGAGAATGGTGTGAACCCCGGAGGTGGAGTTTGCAGTGAGCCGAGATCGTGCCACTGCACTCCAGCCTGGGCGATAGAGCCAGACTCTGTCTCCAAAAAAAAAAAAAAAAAAAGTAAATAAAACGGCTGAGGGGACTCAGGTCCCCCTGCGTGAAAGGAAGGGGCTTTAAGCGTCCACCTGGGGTAGCTGCATTATCACGTAGGATCCTCCTCTTCTAGTGTGGAAGGCCCTTTTTAATTTTCATTTATATTTTATTTATTTATTTTGCGACGGAGTCTCACTCTGATGCACAGGCTGGAGAGCAGTGGCGCGATATGGGCTCACTGCAACCTCCGCCTCCCGTTTTCAAACGATTGTCTCAGCCTCCCAAGCAGCTGGGGTTACACGCGTGCAACACGACGCCCGGCTAATTTTTGTATTTTTGGTAGAGACGGGGTCTCGCCATGTCGGCCAGGCTGGTCTCGAATTCCTGACCTCAAGCCATCCACCCACCTCGCCTCCCAACGTGCTGAGATTACAGGCGTGAGCCACCGCGCCTGGGAAGTGCGGGAGGCCTTTTTAAAAAATGTAAACTCGCGTGCTCAAGAAGCCCTATCGGAGGGAAACACCCAGAAGAGGCCACCCTCCAAACACAGGGTAAAACAGGGGTGACGCACAGAGGTAACGGGAAAGCAGGAACGAGCGAGAGCGTGCGGTCCCGTACCTGCGCGTGCCTGCGTGCGCGTCCGTGCGGCCGCGACGCCGCCGCCGGTGCCTCTCTTTCTAGACGTGCGCGCGCCCGCAGCTCGCCCCCCTGACCGTAAAGAGGCCCGGCTGTGTCGTGAAAGGGGCCGCAACGCGCAGAGCGCTGGTTGACGGCCGGGACTCCATTTTGTTCGCCGTTACTCTGCGCGTAAGTCGCTTGTCCGTGGCTTCTCTGAGAAGAAAAGTTGAAAAAGGGTAAAAGTTTTCAGGAATATTCGGGCTCTCTATTGCTAAGCATAGCGAGTGTCGGTTTTCTCTCTCCAACAGA
The DNA here is from genome assembly GCF_000001405.40 of Homo sapiens. NCBI lineage: Eukaryota > Metazoa > Chordata > Mammalia > Primates > Hominidae > Homo > Homo sapiens. Next base: position 6,640,829 of record NC_000004.12, read on the forward strand.
CATCGCTATTGCGGTTCCGAGGCAGTGGGAAGAGATGCGGCCCCTGGACATCGTCGAGCTGGCGGAACCGGAGGAAGTGGAGGTGCTGGAGCCCGAGGAGGATTTCGAGCAGTTTCTGCTCCCGGTCATCAACGAGATGCGCGAGGACATCGCGTCGCTGACGCGCGAGCACGGGCGGGCGTACCTGCGGAACCGGAGCAAGCTGTGGGAGATGGACAATATGCTCATCCAGATCAAAACGCAGGTGGAGGCCTCGGAGGAGAGCGCCCTCAACCACCTCCAGAACCCGGGCGACGCGGCCGAGGGCCGGGCGGCCAAGAGGTGCGAGAAGGCCGAGGAGAAGGCCAAGGAGATTGCGAAGATGGCAGAGATGCTGGTGGAGCTGGTCCGGCGGATAGAGAAGAGCGAGTCGTCGTGAGCGCGGTCGGCGGTAAGTCGGGCACCCGCGCCAGGCCGAGGAGCGGCCCCAGCTTGGCCGCTCTTCGAGAGCGATGATTTCATCGAGATGCACCGGAATCGGGGGTGGGGCGGGAGAATAAAGGCGTGCTCGGGTCAGGGCCGATCTGGGCCCCGTCTTCGTGTTTTGTTTTTTGACGGTGGCGGCGTGGGATAATCAGAGTGGCCGGGTTTGGGCGTGATGCGTGTTCAGTGGAAGGGTCATAAATCTCAGAGTCGCCAAGGAAACAGAAACGGACAAGGTCCCGGGCCGTCCAGCAAGCGGGGGTGGAAATAGAGGATTTTCGGGGAAGACGTTGGACAAGTCAACGTTGCTAGAGACTGGAGTGAGTCAGGTGGTGGCCAGAAGAGGTGGCGTCCTGCACAGTGGCGTTCGTGAGGGTTTGGGGGTCGTTGTGCCTGGGATTAACCTCTCGATGATGAATTTCTTCCCATTGTGCTTTAGGTTTCCAGCCAATGGATTCTGGTCAACTGGTGGAGATTGGCTGACACCCTGGAGAAGCCGAAACCAGAGAGCCTTTTGTTTTCTCTTTTTTCCTGTCTATGCTCTGTCTCACTTAACACTACGTTTTCTGCTATGGTCTGTGGTTGATGACCTCAATATGAGTTTCGATTGTTAACGTGTTTTTGTTTGGGAAGTAATTTTGTTTGAAAATGCTCTCACATACAGGAATTAGGGCCTAGATTGTAAGCTCTTGCAGCAGTCACATTTGTTCCCGGGCTTTGGTGGTTATTTCTAAATTTTTGAGGTGCTTTGCTATTTCTTGTGTGACCTGATAGCTCCCTGGAACTTTGGGTCTGTGTGTGACACATGAGACTCACAGTTGGAGTTCTCCAGCTCTGGAGGTGCTGAAGGAGCTGCATTAATTCTGGAAGACGACTCCATGCAGCAACTACTGAAGAAAGGACCAGACTTCAACGGGGAGTGTGGATGGGCCGACCTGGCTGGGACTCGTGAATCTGGAGAAGAGCTGGAGAATGGATAGTATTGTCTGTATTTGGAGACTTTAATTTCTGTGTGAGACCAAAGGAGGAGAGATGTGTTTTGTTCAAAATTTAAATTTGTTGTGGTACACTATCTTATGTAACCTGTCTGGTGAGTTTGTTTGGACAACCTAACTCAGCTTTATTTGACATGGAACCTAAAATAGAAGATAAGATCTTGATATTCTGTACAAGTTGATGTAATACCCTGATGCGTTTTAGAGGACTTGGCATAAAATGAAAGATTGGCAAAGGCCCTTGAGGGGCTTGGGGATGACAGTATGGAACTGTCTGCATTGGACCCTAAACTGGACTAGAAGAGGCATCTTCAAGGTTCATACGTTGTCCAGCTGTAAGTTCATTTGAGTAGCAGACCTAACAAATATTTGAGGTCAGAACCCTACCATGTTAAAACAAACAAAAACTTACCATGTTAATAAAAGTATTCATTTGCTTGAAAAGACGAAAGACCTAAAAGGTTATTGAGAAATGTTAGTCCTTTAAGAATGAAATCTGCTGTCTCCCAGATGGTTCTCACTGTCAAATGGAGGGTGAACATCTTAACGGTTTCTGAGGCTCTTAGTCTCTAATCAAAGGGAAGCTTTCTCTCTCTGCTGTTGGGAACCGGGTGAGGAAGAAACACACTTGGTTCTTAGTGTGGGAAGAAACCACATGTAATCCTGTGGTCCAGGCCTCTGCCTTCAGAGAGCCAAAGCACCTTCAGTCTTTCCAATTGGAACATTGTTTTCTAGGCCTTGCACTGGGAATATAGCGATTACAGTTGCAGGGTGAGGGATGACATAGAGGAGATGTGATACCCCACCCTCCTTCCAGATTGAAGCCTTTCTGCCTCAGCTGCTAGAAGTGTTGCTGACAAACACCCTTCAGCTGGTTAGCCCTCTGGGCAGTGCCTTTTCAGAGGAGAGCTGCGTTAGCCAAAGTCATGCCCTTTTCCCTGGGTAGCCTACATCTAGTGAGTAATGGGCTGGAAATCTCAGGTCGCTATTTCTCTTACCCCAATTTGGGACAACTTTGAGGGACATGGTGGCTTCTGAGCTTGTGGGGTCTGCTGAGGCTTTTGTTAGGATTACATCACGCAGCCCACCTCCTCCCCCGTCCCAGCCTTGCATTCCTCCTCTTCCACAAGTGTTAATCCCTAAAAAACGTGCATCTAGTTTTCATCTTGGAGTCCACTTTCTGGGCAACCTAGTTGGTAGAAATCAAACAAAGCCATGTGTCCCTAGCACTAATAAAGATAGAATGTCCCAGGAGAACACTTGAGGGGGAGGTCTAGGAAAGCTTTCCAGAGCAAGTAACTCTTTCAGAGCTTGGCCTTGAAAGAGGAGCACAGCTTCCGAGGTCAGGAAGAGCAGGAGAGGCATGCTAGGCACAGGAAACAATGGAAGATGTTCAAGGTTTTCTGTGTGAGTTCCACACAGAGGAGGGAGAAGAAATGTATAGGACAGAATTATGAACTGGGAAACAACCACGAAAACTACATTTCGTACATTTGCCAAAACAAGAAATGTAACATTGGTACAACACTACCAACTAGACTTTTCTCTGCTTTCACCAGTTTCCCCACTAAGGCCCTTTTTCTGTTCTGGGATACTACATTGCATCGGGAAGTCGATTGTTTTCAATGAGTAAGATTTATAAATGACACGAAAGTGATCCTTCATCTCTCCCCAGCTTCCCAGTTCCCCTCTCAGGAAACTAGAAGTTTCTTATACATCCTTACAAATACTAATGTGTTTGAACGGCTTCCACTTTTTTTTGTTTTTGGTGAGACAGGGTCTCTGTGTCTCACAGGCTGGAATGCAGTGTTGTGACCACTCACTGCAGCCTTGACTTCCTGGTGTCAGGTGATCCTCCCACCTCAGCCTCCCTGGTAGCTGGGACCAGGCATACACCACCATTTCTGGCTAATTTTTGTATTTTTTTTTTTTTTTTTTTGTGGAGGTGGGGTTTCGCTATTTGTCCAGGCTGGTCTTGAACTCTTGGGCTCAAGTGATCACCTTAGCCTCCTGAGTAACTGGAACACCACCGCGGTTAATTTTTGTATTTTTTGTAGACAGTTGTTTGCCATCTTGGCCATTTTGGTCTCAAATTCCTGAGCTCAAGCCATCCACCCACCTTGGCCTCCCAAAGTGCTAGCAATACAGGCATGAGCCACTGCGCCCAGGCCACCTGTTTGTTTTGTTTTGTTTTTTACATTAATGGTAGCACACTGTATAATCTGTTCGTGTCCTTCATTTGTTTACTTGGAAGTCTTTTCCTATCTAACATCTAAATCTGCATTCTTTTTTTTTTTAAGGCTGCATAGTGTTCATTCTTATGCCAGAGTTTGAAAACTATTGTCCTAAAATCTTTCCAGTAACTCCTTAGTTCCTCTTTTTTATGATTCTGGTCACAACTGCAATGCAGCCACTAATTCCCAATTGCCCCAGCTCCTGAATTTCATACTCCTGGCTTGCTAGCAATTGGAGGAGCAATCCAATCTTGCATTTTCTAAGCAAAGAATGTGGTAAGAAGCATTCTGAGAGACAGTCTTACGTGGCTGTACAGTCATTAAATTTTCTGGCTGGAGTTGCCATATTTATTTATTTGTTTATTTATTTATTGAGACAGGGTCTAACTCTGTTGCCCAGGCTGGAGTGTAGTGGCATGATCTTGGCTCACTGCAACTTCTGCCTCCCAGGGCTCAAGCAATTCTCCTGCCTCAGCCTCCCGCGTAGCTGGGGTTACATGTGGGTGCCACCATGCCCTGCTAATTTTGGCATTTTTAGTAGAGACAGGGTTTCACTATGTTGGCCAGGCTGGTCTTGAATTCCTGGCCTCAAGTGATCCACCTGCCTTGGCCTCCCAAAGTCCTGGTATTACAGGATGGCAGAGCTGGAAATAACCTCAGAGAGCAATGAAGCTTTTCTGGGTTAAAATGTAGAAGTCATTAGTGCTGTTCACCAAATAAATTCCAATTCTCTGCCTTCTAGGCACAGAGTAAGATGGCACTTTCTGGCCCCCTTGGGGTTGGGTGGGCCCACGTGATTAATTCTGGCCGATGAGCTACAAAGGAAACTTACATCTGTTGCATCCAACCCAGAACCTCCAAAGCAACACCCTGCAGAGCTGTCTCTTCCCTCTGGCACAGGAACCAGCAACATTCCAGATGGTGGCTGAGCTTAATGACCACAGTTCCCTACCAATCTATGATGAGTATATACCACAAACAAGGAAAAACCTTAGTTGTTTTAAGCCACTGAGATTTGGGGATTGTTTGTTACAATAACAACTTAGACTAAGATGACTGATACAGATATTCATTATTTCTTCCATTCCTTGTGTTTTGATGAAAGGGTTGTTCTCCCTTCTACCTGAGGCCCGTTGATCACATCCCTCCCACTAGCCCAGGCATTGTCCAACAGGTTATCTTCTGTCTCTGGCTTTCACGTGGAGCTCTTGACTTTCCTCTGCCTTCTAATGACTTCAAGGTGAAAGAAAGCGCTAGTTCAAACTCCTACTCCTGGCCATTCTCCCCCTTCCAGGCAGCAGGTAAACATGGAGTGGCTTGAGTTTCTACCATCTTCCAGAGATAAATGGGGATTTATTACCCTGGTTAACACTGTGGCCAGGTAAATCTACAAAATCCATCCAGTGCCTGCTTCAGTCACTGCCTGATATGGTTTGGCTGTGTCCCCACCCAAATCTCATCTTGTCCTGGGAGTGACCCGGTGGGAGGTCACTGAATCATGGGGTGGTTACCCCCATACTGTTCTTGTGATAGTGAGTTTCCACGAGATCTGATGGTTTTACAAGGGGCTTTTTCCCCTTTGCTCTGCACTTCTCCTTCCTGCCGCCATACGAAGAAGGACAGGTTTGCTTCCCCTTCTGCCATGATTGTAAGTTTCCTGAGGCCTCCCCAGCCATGTGGAACTGGGAGTCAATTAAACCTCTTTCCTTTATAAATTATCAGTCTCGGGTATTTCTTCATAGCAGCATGAGAACAGACTAATACACAGCCCAGCATATGTTAGACCCTCTCTGAGTCAATTCTCTTTTCCCCGTCTCTGATTTCCATAATGTTCTGTGGTACCTATTTACTGGTTTATATCCCCATTGCTTCCTCCTTCAAACTCTATACCATGGTTCACAAAATCCTGCATTCCATTATTCCCAAATTAATCCATATTATTCTTTGCCTCTTCAAAGAACATTTCTTTACCAACTCTTAACAGCTGAAACTAGATTTTCCCCAAGCCCTGGGCTTCCCTGTAGCCTTGTTGGTGATGGTTCCTTACAGCACTTGCCCACTGCCTGGGGCAGATACTGCGTTCATCAGGACTGCATTTTTGCCAGAGAGGAGTGAAAAAAGAAAAAAAGAGCTTAGGGTTTTGACAAGGACATCACTGCAACAATACATGATGTACTCTGAGTGGGGAAGTATGGAGGTGAAGAGCAGGAGAGCAATAGGCGAAAGTAGCTGGTAAAGTGAATGGAGATCCCAGCATGTTAGTGACTACAGTGAAAGTGTCACCTGGAGGATGGGATGTGGCCAGAAAATAGGAGGGCTGATATTGGAAAGCAATTTATCATATTAAAAACTCTGATTGTCAAATAAAATGTATCTGTGGATGACATCCTGCGAGCTACGTGCTTCTGGGGCCTCAGATCAATTCTTGTTTTAACACCTGTGAAGCATTTACTATGTGCCAGTTACCTACAATTCCTCAAAAGCCTTTCACGACCCCTCAGTGGGGCAGATGCCATTATTAAAATTAGTCTCGTCTTATCAATGAGGCACAGAGATATTAAGTAGGCCAGGTCTGAGACAATAACAAGCCCCAAGTCACTCTTGGGAGTGAATGGCCAAGCAGGGTGGAGGAGCTCCTTGGATATGAGGGCCCAGGTGTGGGGCTGGTGGCTGTGTGAGCATGGAATTCGCTCAGGACGATGGCAGGGCTTGGGGTGGAGGGGAAGGCCAGGAGCCAGGTGCCCAAGTTTGCAGTGAATGACGGGACTCCAATGGGGTGAAAAGAGATTGGAGGATGACAGAGGTGAGAAGAGGGAGAGGACAGTCAGATGACCAGGGAGTGCTCCCAAGGAGCACCATTTTGGACAAGAGGGAGGAGAAGTAGAGTGTGGACATGGCCTGGGAGAACACTGCCCCCAAATTCTGATTGACACACGAGGGACATATAGAAATGAGTGGCTTTTCCCTCACAGGCCTGAGGATGAAATAGCACTATTCTCAGGGGTAAGGTCGGGGGAGGGCAGAGCTCCTCCAAGAAGTCAGGCACATGCTGGAGGCCCAGGAACAGGTTTGGGGGTGAAGAGGAGTGGAGAACATCACTGGAAACTTGTCCTAGGCTGAGTTCTCCTTGGTTCATCAATGGGAGAAACAGCAGTGACAGGCTAGTAAGTTTAGTCCTGAATTTAGTCTCTTTGAGGGAGGACAGGCATGGCCTTGGTGTGATCGCTATGGAGGCAAAGATGTGGCAGTTGGAGACTGTCACTCAACTGTGCTTCCTGCAGTAGCTTCTATGAATGAGCTTGGAGAGGCACCACTGCTGGTCATTTGGGGCCTCACAGGAAAGGGGTTCTGCATCCCAAACCCAAAGAGTTACGGGAGATGGCTCCAAAAGAAGCCATCTTACAGGGAAATGAGACTGAGGCCCCAAACCTTTCTCAAGCATCTTCAGTAAAGGTCCTTCCTCAGAAAGTGAGTGCCAGTCACGTGGGCAAACACCAGCTGATGACTGTCACCTTCCTGTCAAGGACACTGGCTCCACAGGGACACCACTGGGAAAGCAGGGGAAGGACAGAGCGCAGTGAGGAAAATGCCGGCATCTTCACAAGATTTGGGCTGTGGCTGCCTGCACATTGGGGCTGGCTGACAGCAAACAGGCAGGAAGCATCTGAGCGGGTCTTGTTTGTGGTGTTTTTTTTGTTTGTTTTTTTTTTTTGAGATGGAGTCTCGCATTGTCGCCCAGGCTGGAGTGCAGTGGCATGATCTCGGCTCACTGCAAGCTCTGCCTCCCGGGTTCACACCGTTCTCCTGCCTCAGCCTCCCGAGTAGCTGGGACTACAGGCAGCCGCCACCACGCCCGGCTAATTTTTTGTAATTTTAGTAGAGAAGGGGTTTCACCATGTTAGCCAAGATGGTCTTGATCTCCTGACCTCGTGATCCGCCTGCCTCGGCCTCCCAAAGTGCTGGGATTACAGGCATGAACCACCGCGCCCGGCCCCCTTGTTTGTGTTTTTATTTCTTGTTTTCCTTTTGTTTTTTTGAGACATGGGGTCTTGCTTTGCCCAAGCTGGAGTGCAGTGGTCTGATCACAGCTCACTGCAGCCTTAACCACCCAGGCTCAAGCGATCCTCCTGCCTCAGCCTCTCCAGTAGCTGGGACCACAGGCATGTACCACCTCACCTGGCTAATTTTTTTATTTTTATTTTTTAGAGAGATACGGTTTCCCTACGTTGCCCAGGCTGGTCTCAGACTCCTGGGCTCAAGCAATCCTCCTGCCTCAGTCTCCCAAAGTCATCCGAAGGTTTTGAAGGAAATATATGGCCAAAGAAATTCCAAGGTGAGTCTGCTAAAACTTGGGGTTGTTCAGCCCCTGAAGGAAGTGCTGAGCCCCAGCACCTGCACCAGCATGAAGAAGGCTTCAGAAACTGCAAAGCCCCTGGAGGGGGCAACCTCTGAGGCACATTTCATACAAGGCCTGAGAAGATAATAGATAATAAAGTCTCCCTGAGGCAAAAGCCAGGGACCTAGAGGGAAGGAGGCAAAATAGTTTCTGCTAGAGAGCAAGACCTTTGATGATCCCCAAAGGCCATAGGCACCATGTATTTCCCATTCCTCCCTTTTCCTCCCTATTCTGTGTGTTAGAAGCAAGCCAGCCCATACTCCAGGAGAGAAGAATTATGCTCCACCTACTGAAGAGATGAGTAGCAAGAAGATTGTGGACATATTTTTTTAATCTTTTCAAATTCCTTTTTATCATGTGGACGTATTTTTAAAACCACCACCACTATTGTCGTTATGAGGTAGGGGGCGGGACTCGACTCTGGAGGCAGGGTTTAGACTCCAGACCAGACTGAGACTAGCTGAAACAAGGAAGAGTTGGAAGCCTCTCCATGAGACACGCCCACCAGTGCCATCAGTTTACCATTGCCATGGCAACCCCCAGAAGTTACAGCCGCTTTCCATGGCGATGACCCAATGACACAGAAGTTACCACCTCTTTTCTAGAACTTTCTGCATAATCTACCCCTTAATTTTTTTAGTGTATTACTTTATTTATTTTTTCTTTTTATTGAGACAGAGTCTTGCACTGTCGCCCAGGCTAGCGTGCAGTGACGCGATCTCGGCTCACTGCAACCTCCGCCAACCAGGTTCGAGCGATTCTCCTGCCTCAGCCTCCCAAGTAACTAGGATTATAGGTGCCTGCCACCATGTCCAGCTAATTTTTTTGTATTTTTAGTAGAAACGGGGTTTCACTATGTTGGCCAGTCTGGTCTCGAACTCTGACCTCATGATCTGCCCACCTCAGCCTCCCAAAGCGCTGGGATTTCAGGAGTGAGCCACCACACCCAGACTTTTTTTTTATTTTTTGAGACAGAGTCTCCCTCTGTCACCCAAGCTGGAGTGCAGTGGCACGATCTCAGTTCACTGCAACCTCCACTTCCTGGGTTCAAGCAATTCTCCTGCCTCAGCCTCCCTAGTAGCTGGGATTATAGGCATGAGCCACCTCACACCCAGCTAATTTTTGTATTTCAGTAGAGACAGGGTTTCACCATGTTGGCCAGGATGGTCTCAAACTCCTGATCTCAAGCAATCCACCCACCTCAGCCTCCCAAAATGCTGGGATTACAAGCATGAGCCACCGCACCTGGCATCTACCCCTTAATTTGCATGTAATTAAAAGTGGGCATAAATATGACTGCAGAACTGCCCTGAGCAGCTCCTCTGGGCTCACTGCCTATGAGCACACCACCTGTGCTGCTACTGTGCACTGCTGCATCAATAACTCTTGCTGTCTACCACCACTGGCTCACCCTTGAATTCCTTCCTGGAGGAAGCCAAGAACCCTCCCAGGCTAAGCCCCAATTTGTCCTGCATCAGTTATATTCCCATGATATGATGTCTCTGAGACATCATAGATTCAAAAGAATCTAAACTGCCAACATTAATAATAGTTTCTAGAGTTTCAAGGTTTCTAGACACAAAAATCAATAAAAATCAGTAGTGTTTCTCTTTACCGGGAACGAAGAGGAAATATATTTTCTGAAAGGTACCACTGATAATAGAACCCAAAAACTTTTTTTTAATGGTGTGTTTCCTTGGGATACCATAACAAACTGCCACAAATTAAGTGGCTTAAAACAGAAATTTGTTTTTTCATAGTTCTGGAGTCTAAAATTAAGGTGTTGGCAGGGCCATGGGCTCTCTGAACCATCTGGGCAAGAATCTTTCCTTGCTTCTCCCTGGCTTCTGGTAATTGTCAGCAATTCTTGGCATTCCTTGGCTTGTGGCTGCGTCAGTCCAGTCTGCCTCCATTATCCCATGGCCTTCTTCCCTTTGTCTTCATGGAAGGACACCAGTCATTGCATTTAGAGCCCGCTCTCATCCAGTCTAACCTCATCTTAACTAGGTCTGCAAAGAACCTATTTTCAATAAAGTCACATTCTAAGGTTCTGGGCAGAAAAATTTTGCAGGGACATTATTCAACCCAGTACAAATGGTTGGAAAATATATATTCGTATATATTAAATTTTTAATATGTGAAAAACCATTATGCATAAAATTATGTTGAAATACATTAAATAATGACAAAATAGATTAAGAAAATTAGTATCATAATTATTCTCCAAACTGCTCCCACAAATCAAGGCAGTCCCAATAAAAATCTCTTCAGATGGGTCTGTTTTGATTGTTTGGGTTGAATTTACAAAAAAAATTAATTTGAGGGCTGAGTACAGTGGCTCATGCCTGTAATCCCAGCATGTTGGGAGGCCAAGGCAGGAAGATCACTTGAGGCCAAAAATTCAAACCCAGCCTAGGCTACATAGTAAGACCCCATCTCTACCAAAAAAAAAAAAAAAATTAGCTGTGTGTGGTGGTGCATGCCTGTAGTCCCAACTACTCAGGAGGCTGAGGCAGGAGGATTGCTTGAGCCTGGGAGTTCCAGGCTGGAGTGAGCTATGATTGCACTACTGCACTCCAGCCTGGGCAACAGAGCAAGGCCCTGTCTCTAAAACTAAAATAAAAATAAAAACCATGAATTTGGCTGGGCATAATGGCTCACACTTGTAATCCCAGCACTTTGGGAGGTGGAGGCAGGCATATCACTTGAGCCCAGGAGTTCAAGATCAGCCTGGGCAACATGGCAAAACCTAGTCTCTACAAAAAATTTAAAAATTAGCTGCATGTGGTGGCAAATACCTGTAATTCCAGCTACTCTGGAGGCTGAGGCAGGAGATCTCTTGAGTCTGGTGGGTGTGGGGAGGAGCACAGGGAACTCACAAATTTGAAATTTAGATGGACAAGCAGAAAGCCAGGATATTCCTGCAGTAGCACCAGATGGGAGGCCTTGCTATACTTTACCAAATATTAATATTTATTATAAAGCTAACAGTAATTAAGTCAATGGAGTAATGGCCCAGAGATAGGTAAAGACCAGTGGAACAGAGTATACAGCCCAGATACAGATATGAGCAAATATGGACA